>NC_000004.12:188921381-189522251 GCF_000001405.40 Homo sapiens | reverse complement strand
AGCAATGAGTGGATAAAGAAAATGTAGTATATACACGTCATTGAATACTACTCAGCCTTAAAAAAGAAGCAAATGATGTCTTTTGCAGCAACTCAGATAAAGCTGGAGGGTATAATTCTAAGTGAAGTAACCCAGGAATGGAAAACCAAATACCACATGTTCTCACTTTGTAAGTGGGAGCTAAGCAATAGGTATGTAAAGGCATACAGAGTGATAACATAAGACTATGAAGACTCAGAAGGGGAAGGTTGGGAGTGGGGAGGAAAGATAAAAAATATATATTGGGTGCAGTGTACACTTCTCAGGTGATGGATGCACTAAAATTTCAGACTTTACTACTGTACAATTCATCCATGTAACCAAAAACCACTTCTACCCCAAACGCTACTGAAATTTTAAAAAGTACTTAAAAAATTGGGGGATGTTATGGAAGTCAGGGTTATCTTCTGAAGAAGTTACACAAAGACATGAAATTCGGGAAGAGACGTGAGAGCCCGTGGAATATATTAGAATTGGAGATATCATTGCAAACTCATAATTTCTAAAAACATGTAAATGTATGTGCATATGCATATATATGTTTTCAGGGAGCAAAAGGTTTTTCCCTACCCTCTTAGGTTCAGTATCTGGGAGCCTGCAAATTAAACAGATAAAAGTCAGATGAACCTGAAAAAAAAGTTTATTCACATGTCTATAGGAGCTTACTAAAAGTAGCTAGATATATAGTTAGAGATTTATAACAGAACTTACTCAGATAAAGAGAGAAGTAAGCAAGGGCTTCTATGGAAAGAACAAGTGGGGTTTTTTAAGGAAGACAAAGGATTTCTAGAAGAACAAATAGGAGGTAAGAAAGTTCGTGATATTTGTTTATGGAAGTGCATGTGGTCTTTCCATCTTCTTCATGGCCATAAAACTTCCCCAGAGAGCAGTTTATGATAAGTTTACTCTGGGTCTCCTTCCGTGGAGCAAAAACCTCCCCACAGTTATGCAATCTCACTTTCCCAAAGTTTCTGCTTTTAGTCAAACAAGGAAAGCTCCAAAAAGCCTTCTTTCTGTATCTGTTGAATCTCAAATGTCTTCAGTTTAAAATAATCTTAAACCCTGGGACTCTGAATAGGTCCTTTTAGTGTGCTCACATAAAGGTATGTGTATATGCGTATATGGCTGTGTCAATTTTTGTATTTCCTAGCTCTGTCTGCTAAAAGAACCTAGAAGGAAAGATGCCTCACTACCACCAAGAGGCTGGGCTTTGCTCTCTAATATCATTTCCATAAAGAGAACTAGGGATCCTTGGAAGACCTGTTGTTTTTGTGACTTGGGCATGGTAGGTTCAAGGTGAATCCCAAACACCTTGTTATACCACAAAGTAGGATAGTGTTTAAAACAATGGCGGAGGCATACTGCAAGGCATTATCTGAAGGGGGCTCCAATGACCCGAATCTTGGGCGATGTGAGCACCAGAATAAGAATAGTAATGAGTTATAAACCATTGAAAGAATAAGAATTCAGGAGCTCATACAGATATAAAGTGATAAACAGGCACAGAAGTTCCTGCTAGTAATAGAATGCTATATGATGACTGGCAAATGTGTAAGAAGTAATAAAGTTAGAAAAAAACCTTTATTTTGTAATCATCGGAGTAAAGACTGGATCAGGCTAGAATTATCCTTGATAATAAATCTAGGGGGAATATTTTGCTGAGGAATAATGCATTTCATGCCCTTAAAGTGTTTTGTCTACCCACAGACTGCTTATTACTAGCAAAGAAAAAAGAATAATTTTTATAATGGAGAAACCAGACAACAACTTGCTCAGGTGATCAAAATTATCACTAATGTGGACATATGGACACCCCAGATGTGATACTTTGTTTTGAGAGGAACAAAATATACCTCTGTTGTATTCCAGCTGAGAATGCATCGCCTGAATCTAACCATGAATAAACATCAGACAACCCCCAAATGAGAAACATTATGTTTATAAATAACTGGGGCTGTATTTTTAGAAAATGTTAATGTCCTCAAAGACAAAGGATATAGAGATTATTTTTTTTTCCAAATGGAAAGAAACTAAAGAGACATGATAAGTAAACACAATTTCTGATCCTAGAATGGATCCTCAATGGAAGGAAAAAAAATGCTATGAGGCGTATTATTGGGTCAATTTAAAACCTAGTAAAGTGAATGGAAGAGTAGGTAAAACATAAAGATATAACTATACAAAATAAAAATAAATGATTGCATCAACTTACTAAAATTTCAAATTATATGATTTATGTAAAAATATAAATATTAGGACATATAAACTGAACAGTAAAGGTCAAGGTCATAATGAATGTTATGATGTTATGAAACTTAACTGCAAATGATATACATATATACACACACATATATACACATACGTATATACACATATATACATATACACACACACACACATATGTGACAGAGACAGAGACATAAAGATAGAGACAGAACAGAGATTGAGAAAACAAATGAGGCATGATGTTAACAATTAAGTAAATCTTATTAAAGGTGTTTGGGAGTTCTTTGTATTATTCTTATTCTTGTAGCATTTATTTAAATGTGAAACGATTTTCAACTAAAAAAATATAAGTCACTGAACTGAAATTTTAGGGGTTTATTAAAATACCCAGAAACAGTTAAAAAACCTTCCAGGATAGCTAAAAATTAGTTTCTAGTTAAGAAATGTATACAAGTCTTGAATTATTTGCACCTTTCAGCTGGATTTGTACCATATCAAGTAAATGGTTGCTAAGGATTTCAACAGATTACTTTCACCCTAGCAGAAAAGTGAGGGTGGGAGGGACAGGTAGAGGTCATGGAGTAATGAGAGAATGTCCAGTCAGCAGAATAAGAACAGGGCTCTGAGGAAACCCGACCTCAACTCTAAACTCCGGAAAACAAAGAGTCAATCATTGGTGTAATCCAAAGCTGCAGAACATAGAGATCTCCAACTCTTAGGCAAGCTTTCAGCAAATCAAAGATTAGTCTTCAGTCTTTGAGGGTATGAGTTTTTCTCAGTTTCAAGAAAATAGACTCTTCTTTTTAGTGTTTGGTGGAATTTGCATCACCATCTAGTCCTGCTAGATGGTGACATATGAGTACTTCCAAAAGCAAAACAAACAAATATGAAGAATCTCTGATATTATATTTACCATGGTGATATTTTAAAGAGTTTTCCTCACCTCTCTCTCTCTCTCTCTCTCATCTATCTATCTATCTATCTATCTATCTATCTATCTATCTATCTATCATCTATCATCTAATTACTATATAAATAAGCTATTATTTAGGTTTTCTTTCCTTTGTGAGCTGTTGTTTTTTCCAGCCGCATGTGAGTAGAAGGCAGATCAGGATGTCCTACAGCCCCCGAACGCTGAGTATGAACAGGGACCCCCTTCATTCCCACATTTGTAATCTCTCATCTATATTGGCTTTCAAGTGGATTTCAAAGATCATTAAAAAATTGTTCTTGATCAGTAAAATTTGTCAAACTGCATATTCCCTTCTGTAGTTTTCCTTAATGTTAGGCTTTGAGAGCAAAAATAGCCATATGTGGTTGAGGCACTAGAAAGGAAATACAGATAAATTATTAACATTTTTCCTGGTCGGAGCCTGATTCGTATCATTTTGGCATTTCATAACTTGGCATTTTAGTTGTCTTGAATATAAAGTGTTAGACTGTAGAGCTACTCTAAAGATCACCTAGACCTATGTCTTCATAAAATGAATAAATTAAGAACTGGGTGGAAAATTAGGCGTGAGCAAGCTGATTAAACTCACACAGTGACTGATATGAAGCACCCACTCGGAAGGCTTTCTCTGCGCCAGACACCATGCTACATCTGCTGCATCAGAAGAATGGGGCAGCAGATTTGGTTTGTCAAAACTCAGATTACAGAGAGACAACACATCTTGCATGGCTAAGAGAATTGTCCAATCAAATAATCATGGCGTTAAAAATAATTGTAACATGCTCCTATTCCATCCCTTCATTTTTCAGATTAAAAATAAACAGCAACAAATAACTAAAGTCCAGAAAAGTCTAATTGGTTCGTCAAAGTATCATACTTAGCAAAATGACTGTGGGAAAATCACCCTCTTTAAGCCTCAGGTTTGTTAAAAAACAAAGTACAAAGGGATATTAGAAATATGTTAGTTCACGCTTATAAAATACCTAGCGTTCAATTAAGTTTGGCCTGAGTCTGTCTCCATACTTTGAGTTCCTAAGTAAGGACATATAACCCACCTTAGTATGTGAACACACTGGAACCCACCATGGGAGTATATAATTTTGTAATAGATAGCCAGGTCTCAGCCCATCACAGGCAGTCAAGTGATCAGACCATGTGCAAATAAGGCCCAGCTGAAGCCAATCCAGCCGCCATTTCTGTACTTCTGTGTTCTGCCTATAAAAACTCACGTCCCATCACCTGCAGAGCAGAGTGCTCTGAGCCCCTTTTGGTTTAGAGTGCTACCTGGTTCATGAATTACCCTTTGCTCAAATGAACTTTTAAATTTAATTTTTTAAAGCTTTTCTTTCAACACTAGCATAGTACATGACACGTATAAAGCACTCAGTGAGTGTGGATTGTCATTGTTGAAATCATGCCTTGAGTTTTATTAATAGCAATTCTATTTATCTATTGTCCCAGCTGAACGTAGAACCCAAGCCTTCTAACTCAGGTGTGGTGCGTTTCCTGCTCTCCTGCCTTTCCCTGCCACTCTGGGGCCTCGCTTCTTAAGATGCAGGTTTGAGAGCAGGGCCTTCCTTATTTAGGGCAACTGAATTGAAGGAGAAAGCAAGCAAGCCTTGTGAGAGCGAGTCTGAGCTCTAATCAGAGCTGCAGATGTTCTGGATCCAGAGCTTGTCACACCTGGTGAAATCTGGTTTTATTTAAAGTTATGATCAAAGTTCTGCACGGTTCATACTGAGAGGTAGTTCTCTCTCCCATGTGTGCCCCTTGCTTTCTTTTTGCTCAGCTTTAAAACATTTTTTCTATTCACATGAATGTATTCAACAGGCAGATTGTTTCTTGCCTGAAAATTCTTCCCTTGAATGCAAATAACATTTCTTGATCTCTCACAGCTGGTTCAAGAAGTAGGCTTGATGAATCACCTAAAGGAGTTTAAAAAAAAATAAAGAGAAGAAAAACAAATGCAAAACATTTTACAGCCCTTGAATAGCCATTAACAATTTAACTTATGCAAAATATGCTCTGTGTGAGGAACTGCTTAAGACAGAAGCCACAGGTCTTTCTCGTGGGCTATGGAAAGACAAGGTTAGACCTTTGATGCTTTAAAAATGCAGAAAAGCTAAGAGCAGATGACATTTCCATGCCAATCTTGTGAAACAAACATGGGTTAAAAAATCCTTTAAAACCATAATAAATGTTCTGGATAAATCAAAACCTTTACCCTCCTGGCGAGGGAAGGTATTTTTCCAAATTTATGGACTAAAGTCCCTTGCTTTAGGCCTTCTCAATGCTTTTCTAGGGAAATTTGGTACTTATAAAATCCACTAGCAGTCCTCAATTTTATTCACCAATAAAAGCAGCTACTAGTATTAAGTCTGTTCCTCTTTCCCTCAGAGAGGTGTTAGGAGATTGTCAGAGGCTGTAAGCACCTTTGTCAGCAGGCACAGAATGACAGATTTGGCACTGCTGCTGAGGTCACAGGGCTAGGTAACATATTAGTGCACAGAAGTAAAATAGAGAATACACGTGTCCTGCTCCCATGGAGCTTCCATTCCAATGGATACATTCCTATGGCAGGGAAGGAGAACTAGCAGCTTCCAGTGGATGTATTCCCATGGCAGGGAAGGAGAACTAGCAGCTTTGGGGGAACAAACTGCAAAATAACATTTTTATCTAATGCAAATGTCTGCAAGCAATTCTGTGTGTCTTCAAATAATTCAAGGGGTAACTCTAGGTTGACATGTGGCTCTCCTCTCCCAGTGAGGTGAGGATGTGAGAAAAAGAGAGTTGTGAAGGACAGAGGTTGGGTTTCACATTGCCTGAGAGGTGATGAGAAGATAGCAGTGTATGAAAAGAAGGAATGGAAGTGAGATGGGACTCAGGGGGCACAGACTCTATCTAAAGCTGTGGGATTGGAAGGAAATGAACCCATTCACTCACCCATTTCTTCATTCGTTCAGCAAATATTTATCCTAATCATGTTTCTATTCTGATTAAAACTCTCATTTTGTTTTATTTTATTTTTATACCTAGAGTATAAAATAAACTTTCTTCTTGAACTCTCATGGCTACCATAATATGGTCCCTGCCTGATTCCCAAATTCATCCTGTGTCTGTTTATTCTACTCATTGGACACACTTTTCTGAGCCAAACTCTTCCCTGTTGTAGACTGTCCATCCCACCACACCTGCTACACACACAGGCAACACACATTTTCTATGACTGGTTGTTTTCCATCTTTCTGGTCCCAGATGAAGTCTCAACTACTCTGAGGGACCTCCCCTGACCACTCTGTCTAAAGCAGAGATCCCTGCCCCAGTTGCTCTCCATCTCAGCACTCGACTTATTCCTTAATAGCTTTCATCACATGTGTAATTGCTTTGTTTTTGTACATCTTGTGTATGTTTATCTCTAGACCACACACAGCACAAGAGTGACCATGTCCACCTTGTTCCCCTCTCATTTGCAGCACCTGTTGCACTGTCCAGTATGGCATAAGTGCTGAGTAATGAAAGGTTAGAAGACAGAAGGGGGCTGTGG
The DNA here is from genome assembly GCF_000001405.40 of Homo sapiens. Lineage (NCBI taxonomy): Eukaryota > Metazoa > Chordata > Mammalia > Primates > Hominidae > Homo > Homo sapiens. Next base: position 189,515,490 of record NC_000004.12, on the reverse strand, counting down.
CTGGGATGGTGAATGACAGAGAAGCTAAGCAAAGAACTCTGAGGAATGCAAGTCCTTTTAATGATCAGGCCCAGAGAGATGTCAAAACAAGACTGTAATCATGTCCCAATTCCCTCTTGAGCTATGAATTCATCTCTGGAAACTGCTGCTGCTACAAGTGCCTATAAATTAACCTAATAAGGCCACGCTGGACATAACCCACACCCTACATAACAGTGTGTGGCTAATCACTGATCAACGTATTTTCTGTAAGCCAGTGAGAATTCCTGACAAAGCCCTTTGTATCAGCCCACTCCCTGTCCCCGTTCATTGCCTTTAAAAACCCACTTGTAACTGCTGCTATTTGGAGTGGATATTCAGGGCAACTTGAATCTGTGCTCCCGGGTTGCAGTCCTCAAGTTGGCCCCAAAGATCTCTCCACTTATATTAATTTTGCCTCAGTTTCTTCCCTTTAGGCTGACAAGGCTAATCAAGAAAATAAAAAATCTTACTCTGAAAATCGACGTGTGGCCTTTGTCCCTCAGGGACACAGGCCCTCAGGAGGAGAGCACCCTGCTGCAGGAGGGGGGGGGGGATGGTGGGGGGCAGGTGGGAAGGTAGAGTCAGGTGAGCCTTATACATCAGGGCCCCTAAGTGCTAATTCTGGAAAGAGGTTATTGGTGGTGGGTTCTGAGTACCTGTGACAACAAGGTCTGTCAGTGTAGGTCCTGTTGTCATGTGTGGCCTGTGGGCTATGGTTCATACACACTATCTCCTTTGCACTGGGAAGAAGCGAGAAAGCGATGGTGTTGGTAGACATGGGAATACGCTGAAGTGTGAACGTGCTGGTCTTGGTCCCTGGCATCTCATTGAGCCTAGGCGAGTGCCCAAGTCACCATCGACATCCCTCCAGAGCAAAGTTTCAGCATCCACAATATCCTGTCTTCAGCGAGTGAATCTTGGAAGAAGCCTATTTTACAGTCCCTGTGGAGCCGTCGGGAAGTAAGTGTGCAGAATCCCAGGCTGCGTCCTCCTCTGCTCCCTTCACCCTGCTTGATGGACCCAGGTACTCCTCAGCATGGGCTCCTCTCCCGCCCCTACGGCTCTGCATCCTGTGTGTTGCATGGTAGAGCCTATGACCTTCAGCTCACAGCGTGCAAGCCTGGGGCTCTGAAGAACCTGGAGGTGCTTTCTCCTCCATTCCTTCTGCAGCTCCCCCAGCAAGCTCAGGAGTAGATACGCACATCAGTCCCTAAGACCCGCCTTGGGAACCTGGTGTTTCCAAAGCAGTTATTCAACATAAAGTCTAATAAAGATGGCTTTGGCTTTGACTCGTTGGTAGATGGCTGTGAATTTGGGAAAGGACTTGACGGTAGGCTCCTGTGGCAGTTGCCGTTGCAGTCCTCTTTTCTGTTTCCTAATTTCTTCCACACCTGAGATAGAGACAAGGCCAGAGTTGGGATTCATAGACTCCAAGGCAGCGCAGTGACACGGAGATGCTGGATGAATTTCATAGACTATAGCATCATCATAGTGCATCTACCTTGGAACAAAGAAAGAGGCTGCTCTGTGAGAAGAGAGGGCATAGGCTCTGAGGCTCATGACTCAGCCCGGCTCTTGTGTAAAGAAGCCAAAATGCATTGGGAAGAAGAAGGAATGCTGTCCTGCTCTGCTGCATTCAGTAAAAACGAATCTGCATAAGGAGGGTCTGAGAAAATGCTTCTCTGGGGACACCCGAACACATGTGTGATGTGCCAGAGGATCACAAAGCACTGATTTTAAAAAGCTGAACGTTAAAAAAAACTCCTATTCTTTCATGAAGAATTAATAATGTTTCCCTCCTGGCCATTTCTCCCACAACAGGGAAAATTGTTCTTTGTTGCAACATGAAAGCCAGTGAGAATGGCACACATCACAGAAATGAAGACACCACGCAGGGCTTAATTAACAGCGAAAGGAATTCCCAGGCTATTTATAAAACATCTCAAACTAGCCTTTTATCAGATCTGTAATTTCTATAAAATGCATCCCTGCTGAGTAGGGACTAACAAGCCTGAGGACATGTGATTCCACGCCGTGTCGAACTGGCTGTGTAAACAGGTGTCCCACTCTGTTCCCAGTCACTCATTTCCACCTGACCATTAACATTGCTGTGGATCTAGGAGGTCTCCAGGCACTGCCACGATATATCAGTATTTCAGATGATAATCAGCGATGGTGAAGGAAGCCTGAAGATTTAGTGTCGCTGTTATATATTAAGTGCTTACTAAATGTTAAACACCATTATTATTGATGTTGCTGTTTTTAGTAGAAGGGCCACTGGCACCACAACCCAGACAGTCTCTTCTCTCAGTCGAGAGTCTCCGGTCTGTTCTCGTGGAAGGAGGCGAGCCTCCCTCCTTGGTTAGGCAGCCCGCTGTCCCTTGGTGTCCCCTCCGCACTCACGGGCACCTCATCTTTCCTCCTCCTTCCTGCATTCTCTGTGTGAGGGGAAGCTGGCCTGGGAGGGCTGAGCTCTAGAGGCATCTTCTGTGTGATTTTTAACAAATTGCTTTGCTTTTTACTGCCTTGAGTAACAAGGGCCTAATGTCCTCAGACTATTTATGGAGAGATTTCTATCAGTGTCTTATAAACTTAGGTCAAGTAGATTGGATTAGTTCGGATTAATTGAATTAATCTTTAAAACTTGGTAAATTTATATAAATGTTTGGTTAATCCATGTCTGGTTATACAGTGAACTTTGAAGAACTGTGGACAGCCAGATTTTATGAGATGAGGATAAAAAGAACATGACTTTTCCACTGAGACTTTCTTAGTTTATGGATAATAATAATAAACACCAACCATGTTCAAATTAACACAGAAATTGCTGATCTATTACATTTATTTTATCTCTTTAAAAGGTAGCTTAGCATGATAAGCAAAACAGGAAAATCTCTGGCAGGGAAGTCACTATTTTAATGTCAAGTTGGCGTTTCTCTAAGTTGTTAAGATTGTAGCTGCTTTTTCTTTCCTTGGCAATTAAACCTGAGTCCAAAGTAGAATTTTAATTTGGTCAATAATCATCTAACTTGTAAAATTTCAATAAATATTCTTAAAATGTTATTTTAAAATGTACTAAAATAAGGTGCCTATGTGGCCTGGCTTGCTCTGAGCAGCCTCAGCCTAAAACATCTGGCCTATGCCTCTTGCCCAGGTATTTCATTAATAGAAACGCCCTCACTCTCAAAAGTATCCTGGTTTGGACAATAAATTGTAATAAATTGTATGGTCACCATATTCATTATGGAGACATTAAACTGTAAACCAATATCAACAGCAATGACAATGACAACAAAAATAGTATTTATAGAGTCACAAGGAGGAAACCGATTTAAACTAGGCCATATGGAAAGAACAGTACGAAGGTCAGTGGGGAGAAGAACAGGGTAGATCAGTTTATCTGCTTTGGGTGAGGAGTGGGAGTGGCGAGCGACCTGGTTAGGAAATGAGGTCCAGTCGTGCAGTGGAGTCCTTCAAAGCCATGAAGAGTCTGGATGGGTGAAGTAGGACACGGAAGGTTGTTGAAGGCTCCTGAGCAAGTATGTGACAGATTAAAGCTGCTGTAAGGAAGTGAGCATGTCAAACGTACATGCAGAATTTTGCAGTGGGAATGGCACCTCTCCTAGACAAGAACCACTGGCAATGGAGCGCACAGGCACTGGAAACCGCAGGCTGGGAGCCGTGAGCCAGCAGCCGACAGGCCGTCCCGGCAGCCATCACTCACAGGAGACTGGGGAGAGGGAAATCATGGTTGTAGAAACAGCTTGCAAACTGAGCGGAAATGAGATTGGAATCTGAAGCTCAGATAATCTGGTAGTTCTCTGTGCCTACTGTCATAGAGCTTCAGTGCCCTTTTCCTAACGGCTTTTGTGGCTAAACAGAATCCTTGACAATTTCGCTTGGGACCTAAGTAAGCGACCCCTTCTTTATCCCTAGGCCATATTCAAGACATATTGGTATTTAAGGGCTAAGAGAGTTATGAATACTTTAAGGTTGAAATCAAGTTAGATTTTACTTTATATATAATATATATTAGTTTATATATATATTTTACTTTAAATATATGTGTGTATATATGTGTGTGTATATATATAGAGAGAGAGGATATATACATATATTTAAACTTTAGAAAACTTTAAGTAAAATCATGTATGAGAGTCCCATATGGAGTTATTAAAGGTTCATTTAATATGCTCAGGAGACAATTTAATCTTTTGAGCTCAGCATCATTGAAAACCATAGTGACACTCCTTCTTAAATCATATTGTATCAGTGACACAGACAGTAATACAGATATTATTTTGTTTTCACCCAGGATTGATTTCTTACATCTTTATATTAAGAAATTATCTGCCACTGTGTAAAATGCTAAAAAACAGAGAAGGTAAGGCGAATCTAACGGCACATATTAAATGGCAGGTTTCCAGATAATCTTCTATGTATTTTAAAATGTTAAGTGATCAATTTTCATAATCCACCAAAATCCCTATTACTTATTTTCCTTCTTTTTAAAGTGTCTGATTCTTTGTCTTTACCAGCTTAGAACTAAGTAGTAGTAAAACCTTTGGAAAGTGGAGGTCAGACAATGTATAGGAGGAAAAGAAGGAAGTACCCACTTCCATGTGGCTTACATAACCATCTTAAAATCCCAGCTAACAGGTCAGGAACTTGCTATGCATGTGGGCAGCAAAGGCGAGGGGAAATCTTTTGCCTCTGGTTGGCCTTGAGGCTCTGTGCAAGCAGTATGTGTAAATTGCCTAAGTGTCAAATGCATGTTCAATAACTTTGCAGAGACTCTCTGCAAAGTCATTGAATATTTATTGGTTCAATAAAATTTCTTGTAAACTACTATCTCATTCTTACACTAACCCAGAAAGGATCTTAGTTGTCACACATCACAGGGAATTTAGACCATACAGCATTAGTCCTGGAAAGTCACTAAACAAACAGCAGCAGCAACAACAAACACACAACAGCAGCCAGAACAAACTTTGCAGAGGATATCTAACTTACAATGTTGCCGAGTTATATTTTCTAAAATCACTAGTTTTCAATAAAATAATTATGAGCCATAAAAAGGAAAGTATGGTCCTACACAGTGAAAAAAGTAATCAATATAAGCTATCTCTAAGGAAGCCCTGATGTTGGACTTAGGGAAAGAAGACTTTATATAGCTACTAGAAGTATATTTACAGAATTCAAGAAAACAATGTCTAAAGTATTAAAGGGAAGCATAATGACAATTTGTAAACCAAGATAGTATATCAATAAGAAGGTAGAAATTATTTAAAAATATAGAAACTCTTGAACTGAAAAATACAATAATAGAAATAATGCAAATTTCACTGATGGGACTCAATAGCTGATATGAAGTAGTAGAAGAAAGAATCAGAGCACTGGAAGACAACTCAGTTGAAAATTATCCAGTCTGAGGAACAGAGAGAAAAAATAAGGAAGAAAAATGTACAGAAGCTGAAAGACCTGTGGAACATTATTAAGCATACTAAAATAAGCATAATGGATGTTCAGAAGGAGAAGAGAGAGAAAAAGGAGCAGATAGAATATTTATTAAAATAGTTGAAAACTTATCAAATTTAATGAAAAACATTCATGTATATATCCAAGTAGAAAGAACCTTGAAAACAGCACACACACACACACACACACACACACACGCACACACGCACACACACACACGCTGATTCATCCTGTACAAGGGATTCTCACCAAGGTTGAGAGCTGACTTCTCATCGCAAACCATGAAGGACAGAAGACAACAGGTGGGCATATTCAAAATAACAACAAAGACCAACCAAAATATCTATATTCAGCAAAAACAATACTTTTAAAATGAAGATTTAAGACATTTCCAGATAAAAACAGATAATTCATTGATAGCAGATTTATCTGACAAAGAATAATAATAATAATAAAGACAGTCCTTCCGGCTGAAACAAAAGGATGCTAGATGGTAACTTTAATCCACACAAATAAATAATGAGAAAAAGGGAGATAAGATTCAACTTAATAAATTGAGTAATGAAAGAGGGGGCATCTCTACCAACCTTGCAGAAATAAAAAGGACAATAAAGGAGTAGTGTGAAGAACTCTATACCAACATATTGTGCAACTTACAGAAAACTGACGAATTTGTAGAAAAATAGAAACTACTGAAACTAACTCAAAAAGAAATTAAAAAATCTGAATAGACATATAGTAAGTAATGTGATCCAGCTAGTAATTTAAAAAAACTTGTCACAGAGAAAAGCTCAGGCTCAGATGACTTTTATTAGTTTTACACAATTTATAAAAAATTAATACCCAGCCCTTTATGAGTTCTTTCAAAAAATAGGAGAGAACTCAATTCTATGAGTTAAGACCACCCTGATATTAAAACTAGACAAAATATTATTTAAAAATGCCAGAGCAACATTCCTTTTAAAATAGATGCAAAACCTTTAGCAAAATCCTAGCAACCAAATCTAGCACCACATAAAATGGTTTTTACACCATAACCAAAGGGCACTTATTCCAGGAATACTAGACTTGTTTAGAATTCAAAAATCAATCATTATAGTGTATCATATTATACATACAGAATAAATGACAAAGACTACATGCTTATCTCAATAGATGTAGAAAAAATGCTTGACAAGAACCAACACCTTTTCATGATAAAAAAAAAAATAACCAACTAGTAATGAAGGAAATGTTCTCAACGTGATAAAGGGCATCTTTGAAAAACACTCAACTTACACCATATTTAATGATGGAAGGAGTGAATGCTTTCTCTGAAGATCAGAACAAGACAGGATACCCACTCCAGCCACTTCAGCTCAACATTGTACTGGAGGTTCTACCCAGGTCAATTAGGCAAGGGAAAGAAATAAAAGACAATCATATTGGAAAGGAAGAAGTAAAACTACTTGTGTTTGTAGATGACATGAACTTGTATATAGAAAATCCTAAGGAATCCAGTAAAGAACAGGCCTAACATACAAGTATAGCTGAGATCAATATGATAAATTAGTTGCATTTCTATGCACTAGCAATGAACAATCTGGAAATAAAATGTTAACAACACTTCTACTTACATTAGCATTAAAAAAGAGAATGTTTAGGAATAAATGTAACAAAAGGAGCGTAGAACTTGCACAGTGAAAACTGCAGAACCTTGTTGAAAAAGTGTAAGAAGACCTGTGTAAATAGAAGGGCATTCTGTATTTCTTAAGTGGAAGATTTAATATTACTTAGATAAGCATATTACTCAAATTGATTTACAGATTCAATGAAAATATACAATTTTTCTGGATTTTTTACAAAAATGGAAAAGCTGATAATCAAATTCATATGGAAATGCAAAGACGCAAATAACTAAAGCATTCTTAAAAGTGAAGAACAAAATTAAATTATTCACATTTTTCTGATTTTGAAACTTTCTGCAAGCTACAGAATTCAAGGCAGTATAATACCAGCATAAAAATATAGTTGGACAGAATAGAGTTGAGAGTCCAGAAATGATTCTCTACAGTATGGCCAATTGATTTTTAACAAGGGTTCCAAGATAATTCAACTGAGAAAGAGAAATATTTTCAGCAAATAGTGCCAGAACCGCTAGATAGCCACATGCAAAATAGTAAACCTGGATCCCTAACTCACGCTATTCAAAAGAAAAAAACAAAATATTTCAGAGACATAAATGTTAGAGCTAAATGTGTAAAACATTAGAAGAAAGCATAGAAGTAATTTTTTTGACTTTTAGGCAAATTGGACTTTTTAATTTGGTGATTTGGTAATTAGGTAAATTGGACCAACAACCCAATTAAAAATTAGTAAGAGATTTAGGACGTATATTTCTTAAGAATAAACACAAATAACAAGCCCATGAACAATGCTTAACATCATTAGTCATTAGGAAAATGTCAATCAAAATCACCATGGGATTCCACGTTACATCTAGAAGGATGTACAGTCAGACATCTTGAGGAGGATAGGAAGAAACTGAAGCTCCCAGGCATTGCTGAGGAGTGTGAAATGGTGCTGCCACTTTGAAAAACAGTGTGACATTTTCTCACAATGTTAAGCACAGAGTTGCTATTTGATCCTATGATGCTTTTCCTAGGTACATATCCAAGAGAAATGAAAACATGTGGCCACACAAATATTCACATGTGGTCACACAAATACTCACATGTGGTCACACAAATATTCACATGTGGTCACACAAATACGCACATGTGGTCACACAAATACTCACATGTGGTCACACAAATACTCACATGTGGATATTCATAGCATCAATATTCATAATAGTCAAAAAGTGGAACCACCACCAATGTCCATTAACTGATGAATCAACAAAACGATGGATCAAAGCAATGGAATATTATTTGTTAAAAATATTGATATGTGTTACAACATGTGTGAACTTTGTAAACATTATACAGATTGAGGATCCCTAATATGAAAATTTGAAATATGAAAAGCTTCAAAATCTGAACTTTTTGAGCACCGACATGTCACAAGTGAAAAATTCCACACCAGACAGGTTGCAGTGAAAACCCAAATGCACAATGCACAGTTTCTTCAGCATCCCCAAGGGAAAAATAAATTTACCTTCTAAATACCTATATAAGGTATATATAAAACATAAGTGAGTTTTGTGTTTAGACTTGGGTCACATCCCAAGGATATTTCATAAGGTATTTGCAAATATTCCAAAATCTGAAAAATGCCACAATCTGAAGCACTTCTGGTCCCAAGCATTTCAGATAAGAGATACTCAACCTGTACTAAGAAAAAGAAACCAGACACAAAAGGCCACATGTTGTATGATTTCTTTCATATAACATGTCCAGGATGGGCAAATGATGGAGACAGAGTGTACATTAGTGTTTGCCTAAGGGTGAGGACTGGGGAAAATGGAGAGTGGCTGCTAATGGGCGGGGGCGTTCTTTTTGGGGTGATAAAAATATTATAACATGTTGTAGCGATGGTGGCACAACTCTGTGAATATATAAAAAATTATCGAATTGCAGGGTTCTTTTGTGCTACCAGGTGATGAGGCTTTGAAACCAGGGACAGAGACATGGATACAAGAACCACCGATGGTGACAAAAAAACGAGGCTCCCCTCCTGTCAGTGAGAGAGGGGCCAAGGCGAAGCTGGACACCGGACGGAGCAAAGTGTGGACACCTGCTGTGCAAACATCTCCACGTGGACAAAAGCCTTCTGCCTCACAGAGAACCAGACCAGACCTGGGCTTTAAATACGTGAATATTAGGGTATGTGAATTTTTTCTCAGTTTTTAAAAAGTGTAATGACCTTTTGATTTTTAAAACTTTCTGTTATTTTCAACCTCGGGGCATTGCTGGTCTGCATGAGCAGAACGTTTGAAAAGCAGTAACGAAGTGGGCTGAGGAAAGGACGAGAAGGAGATGTAAGCTTAGGATGTCAGGATTCCCAATTCTCATATGATTGGGGTATAAAGTAAAATTGATTTTTTCTGTAAGGATTTTCCAGTGTCTCATATTAAATCTATTCTCCCTACCCGTTAATAACACATTCCAGTGTCTAGTGACTTCTGCTTCCTAGAATGTAATCCAGGTTTATTTGGAATATGAAGCTCATATTGATAGACCAGTCAAAATTCACCCCTCTGGCAATTGGAGCTTTGCTGGTGACCTTTGCTCTGTGAATGTTGTAGGGGTGTGTGTGTGTTTGAGTGTATGTGTATGTGTGTGTGGGTGTGTATGTGTGTAAATGTGTGAGTGTGTGTATGTGTGTCAGTGAGTGCATGAGTGATTGTGTATATGTGTATATATGTGTCAGTGTATTGTGTGAGGGCGTGTGTGTGTGAGAGTATGTGAGTGTGTGTATGTGTGTCTGTGAGAGTGTGTGTATATGTCTGCGTGTGTGTGTGAGTGTGTGAGAGTGTGTATGTTTGTGTGTGTGTGACAGTGTGAGAGTGTGATTATATATGTGTCTGTGTGTGTGTAAGCGTGTGTGTATGTGTCTGAATGTGCATGATTGTGTGCATACATGTGGCAGTGTATGTGTGTGTGTGAGAATGTGTGAGTGTGTAAGTGTGTGTGAGAGAGTAAGTCTGTGTGTGAGAGAGTGTGTAAGTGTGTATGTGTATGTGAGTGTGTGTGTGTAGTTGTGGGCTGGGTATGGTCTGGCTTTGAGATCCCTCCAGCTGCACGACTTTCCTTTTAGGGCTAGCTCCTGTGATGCTGGGGCAGGGGCAGGGAGAGGACCAGTGAGGGAACTGAAGGATCTTCTTCCTCACAGGTGCACGTCAGTGCAGAGGGTCAGTGCGGAGGGTTAGTGCAGAGGAGCCAACCTTGTTCTCGCTGCACTTTGCTCTGGGTTGTTCTAATGTTGGTGGCTTTGGTCCATTTGGCGATGTCTGCGCATGTGGGGTACACACCCATCTTAGTCCAGCATTCAGCTTCGCCTAAGCCCCTCTCCCCAGCCTAGTTTTCCTTTAGCGTCCCCAGGGCTCTGGCCCCATGTCCTTGTCCCTGGGTTGGAGCATCTTTACCTGGTGACACCAGAGTGCCTTCTCCTCGAGCATCCCTGTGCATTCACATGGGTTGTGGGAGCCACCAATGGCCTTGTCTAGGCCCTCCCAGTGCCGTGGGAAGCTGTGACAGGGAATGACCCCATCCCCTTCTTTCCTGTAGGATGTAACATGTCCCATCAGATCCCGTTGGCTTGCTCTCTAGCTGAGAAATTAGCAGTCATCTTTATGTTCACATGTGCTCACGCTCTCGGGTTGTAGAGGCCAAGCTCTCCTGGGGCTCTCCCATCCAGCTCTGCCCTGGGCAGCAGTAGCTGCACCTCCATCTGTGCGAGTATCAAGCCAAGTAATGATGTTCAGGCTTCCCTTTCCTGTGCTCCATCAGATTCAAAGCCTTCCTGCCTTGCTGAGAATTAGTACATTGACTCCTCATTGCTCTAAAGGGGAACTCATCCTCTTTGGTTGCCTTTGTGGGCTGGGGAAGTTCTGGTGGGGTGGGTGGTGGTTAATGGTAGGATTGCCAGTTCTGCTGCCTCTTACGAAGCCCTGCCAGGAAGTTCCAGGGGTTTGAGGCCCTCATCTTTAGAGTAGGGAGCTAATCAGTGCTTTAGTTTTATTTTGGGATCATAACAGCATCTCCAAGAACCAGGAAAGTCCCCTCTCTGTGCTTGTTACATAAGGTAGTTTCTCTGCTTACAGTGGTTTATGGGATATGTGCATTCTGCCATCATCTAAAGGAAACAGCCCTTACAACATCAGGGACTGGTTGAATAATTTCTCTGATTCTTCTTACAAGAACTAGAAAGAAGCAGTGAAAATACCAGGTCATATTTCTTACACTATTAGGAGTTCTGATGAAAGTTTTGGTAGGAGAAAAGGCTGAAGTAAATCATTAGATTAAAATAGTTATGAGGATTCTCTCTGATTTCATTTATCTGTTTTAGTTCCAGATGAACAACCAGGTCTCATATTCTTATATGTTATTGTAAACATTTTTTATGTGTTGCATAGTAAACTGTTTATGAGCTATTTGGAAGCCCATGTATTATGTTTTCTTGTAGTCCCTGCAATGCTGTGAACATAATGAGTGTCCAATATCTATATTTTCTTAGTTTCACTTTTTTCTTACTTACAAATTAAAAAGTATGGTACCAACTCCTTACTGTATGATCTCAAAACATTTTGTATTATTATAAATGAAAGAGTAATTCTTCAGGCTATCAAATACTGATATGAGATTACAGCAAAACGAATTATTCTTCTTTGATAGCTATAAAATCTAAAATAAAACCTTATGGCATCTGCCAACAATTCCACATTGGCCTCAGTTGTGATCTGTTTCCCATGCTCATTAGACACTTCAACGTGGTTTACGTGGGTGAGATTAAGCAGATTAGCCACCTGCGTGGGAACGTAGACGCGGAGAAATGTTCCTGGGTTCCGGCTTCCAGTCGCGATTCCATCTCTATGCTATGTGAGTACAGAGGTGGCCAGGGGATGATGAAAATCACTGAGTCATTGCAAATAATTTAATTATAAATAGAGGTTTTATGAGTGGTGTTAATGTGTGCCACCTCAGCTAACCTGACAATAAAGGTTTCACAAGCTATAATGACATCTGGAACCAAATCACACGTAGGAATTATGCAGCCTCAATAAAAGCCACTTAATTAGCATTGCAAATAGCGTTCCAGCATTTATGAGCCGTCGGCACATTTGCATACAGATACGTAATTACATAATTACATCTGCCGTGTTTGTTCCATAAGACCTTGCCACTTTATTAGCAGAATATGTAAATCAGGAATTAACTCTCTCTGCCTTTCTCATTCTCAGTCATCTAAAGACATGTGGTAAACCACGGGGATTTGGGGCAAGTTTTGTGTGAGGACGTCATCACCTTGTGTTAGGCTGGCTTGCGAACAGAAACGCAGTCCATGACTTATTTAGTGAAGGGGATTTTTGAATAGTTTGCAGATACCATTTCCTAATGAATGAACGTCATTTATTAGCTAACTTGGGCTTTCCCTACTCATCTTTGAAATCCTTTACTTGCTCTGTCACCCTGGAAATATGGCCTATTTATATCGTGATGGTTTAAAGAGGCTCGTTCAAGACTTGCTCTTACTTGTATCCTTCAGAGAGTGACAGCTATCTTGTATTCTAATTTAATAAAGTCCACTGGAATGGAGGCATCTAATCACAATGGAGTCATATCTGGTAAGCGTTTTAGACACAGAAAGCTGAGCAGATTTGGCAGCTGAACACAGAATGGAAAAGAGGGGCACCCAGTTTAATTTATTGTCAATTATTTTGAAGGAAATGCTAGTTGAACTAATTTAATAAATTGTATTAGCACAGTTTCATGTACTAGGAGATAAGGTTTTTATATTTCAGATCTAGAAGTTGTGAATAAAAAATTCACTGTGGGTTTGTGAATTACTCTCAGCAAATCAGCTTTAAAATGTGCAGTTACATGTGCTGTGGTGGCTTCATATGGTTTGAACTTAGGCATCATAAGTGTGAGAGAAGTCTAAGGCACTTTTTGATAAATAGGAAATGCCTGTCTTACATCATGGGTTATTGGAGCTAAAATTCTTCCAGGACGTTAGATTAGTCGTAGAAGTAAGTGACAGAGTCTCTGAGGAAAAGCGTTTGAATAGGATGAGATGTGATAGCGTAGGCTCCACTGTTCATTCACCCTTTCATCTATTCAGTTAGCATTTATGTAGATAGGTGCCAAAAAAGTGGGAGGACTGAGCTGGGTTATTAAGCTGGAGGCTGAGGATAAGGAAGACTACTGTGTTAAGTCCGACCATAAAAATTCTACAATTTAAAATTCAAAGTCACTGTCAAACATGCTTTCTGAATGCTCATCTTTATGGAGTGTTGGGCTGGCTACAGTTCAATTTTAATAAAATGGATATTGTCCTAAATTTATAGAAATTTTAATTAAATATAAAATCCACATGCAAAAATAGTTAAATGGATATGTATGAAACTATGGTTGAGTATGTGTTTGTGACTTACTGGAGGAACATTTCATATTTAAACAGTTAAAGGGAGAAAAACCTGCATGCCTTTGACAGGAAGCCTCTTGATGTCTCTTCTGTCTTGATGATGGCAGCCACTAAATTAATGCCTTTTATTATGTGGGAGAGCAGCTCTCTCATGGAGTTGAGCTCACTGAGAACCTCTGTACGTCTCTCTAGCTCATCTTTTCTCTATTCTACTCTACTTTTGGCAAAATTAATTACATGGTAAGTCCTAGGAACTTCCTGTGTTCTAGAGAGAGACTCTGCAGACCAGATTTTCACCCACCAGCTTCCCAAGGAATGGAGAATAGTGCCATGGTGCCTGGCCTTGTTAACAGTGGAAGAGAATTATATTATTTAAAAACCTGAAACATGGTCTACATATGGATTGTATATAAAAAAGGATCCCATAAAGAGAAAGTTGGTTCTTTTGGTGGCCCCTTTATTCTTTTTTATGGGATATCATTATTCTTTTACAGATTATTTAGCCATGATAGCAAATACTTTGTTAATATTATTGTTATTTAAAATGCCTTTGTGAGTAATATGTAATTGGGTTGATAATGGAGTAAATACAACAGAAAGCGTCTTGTTTTAAGCTTCCCTTAAGTTCTTCATTGCTAGAATCTTCTGGTTTTTCCTTTTTGTGGAGGATAAAGATGGAGTCTCTCTATGCTGCCCAGGCTGGTCAGGAACTCCTGAACTCAAGCAATCTTCCCACCTCAGCCTCCCAAAGTGCTGACATTGCAGTCATGAGCTATTGTACCTGGCCATGTTAAAAATTTTAATGACCCCCGAAGTCAATGACATCCATTACAAAAAAGGATCTCACTCTGGCCACTTGACCTAGCAGGAGAGTGTACACTCTGAACGTGGGTTTATCAGTTCTATGTCATAGTGTACACTCTGAACGTGGGTTTATCGGTTCTATTTCATAGTGTACACTCTGAACGTGGGTTTATCGGTTCTATTTCATAGTGTACACTCTGAACGTGGATTTATCGGTTCTATTTCATAGTGTACACTCTGAACGTGGGGTTTATTGGTTCTATTTCATAGTGTACACTCTGAACGTGGGGTTTATCGGTTCTATTTCATAGTGTACACTCTGAACGTCGGTTTATCCGTTCTATTTCATAGTGGACACCCTGAACGTGGGTTTAACGTTTCTATTTCATAGTGGACGCCCTGAACGTGGGTTTATCGGTTCTATTTCATAGTGTACACTCTGAACGTGGGTTTATCAGTTCTGTTTCATAGTGGACACTCTGAACGTGGGTTTTTAGGTTCTATTTCATAGTGTACACTCTGAACGTGGGTTTATCAGTTCTATTTCATAGTGGACACCCTGAACGTGGGTTTATCGGTTCTATTTCATGGTGGACACCCTGAACGTGGGTTTATCGGTTCTATTTCATAGTGGACACCCTGAAAGTGGGGTTTATCAGTTCTATTTCATAGTGGAAACCCTGAACCTGGGTTTATCGGTTCTATTTCATACATGGGTTTATCAGTTCTATTTAATAGTGGACACTCTGAACGTGGGTTTATCGGTTCTATTTCATAGTGGACACCCTGAACGTGGGTTTATCAGTTCTATTTCATGGTGGACACCCTGAACGTGGGTTTATCGGTTCTATTTCATGGTGGACACCCTGAACGTGGGTTTATCGGTTCTATTTCATGGTGAGTGCTCTTTGAGGTAGAAAAGGTGACCACACAGATTACTCTTGAAGTTTTTTGCTAGTGTATCCATGAGCGCTTTTCCTTTCTTCCTGTATTTAGCTCAAGGTAATTTTTAGGGTTATAGAAATGTTGTAGCCCAAAACACAAAAATACCAGTTCATTTGCTCATTGTTGACCTTGAAAGTTTTCATAGAACTGGTGATGATGGCTTCAATGCTGCTGCAGCCAGGGCAGGCGGTGCTTCTCATCCCCTCCCTCTGGACTCCTCTGCATGCATTTCCAGAAGTGGAAAACTTTCCCCAGCTTGTCCCCCATTCCCACTGTGCCAACGATGTGGTTTTTCTTGCTATGTGCTCAGAGAAGCTGAACGATGATTATGACATGAGGTCGTCTGATGCTTATGCAGGCAAGAGGCAGAATTCTAGACGCAACTCAGAACCCTGTAAGCCAGGGACCCCAGGTCAGGCCCCGGGCTGGCCACCGTGGTGCTGAGGCTGAAGGCTGGCCCTGGAGAGCCACTGGGGTGCATCGGCTGCATCCTTCTCTGTGCAGAATGACCTGGACTTCTTCGAATTGGGTAAAACTCTCTGGCTTGTAGCTTTAAAGATGCTTATGAACTTATAACCCCCCGCTGTTTCTTCTTAAATATCAGAAACAGTAATAAAGATCATTAACATTTTTCTAATAGAAAGGTGAGAAAAATAAAGAAATGCTTAAAGGGTAATTTGGCACTTTCAGCTTAAGTAATGGAAATGAATTAAAATTATGACTAAAATTACAAGAATAATTACAATGTTAATGAACAGTTTTTACGATATTCTTGATGAAGTGTCTCAGTGCTTATTTCCTGAATCCAGCAGCATTCCCTGGAAAGAGGTGGAAAGTATTGCTTTTATGCCAGAGCAGCCACAGCCATTAACTTCTTTCCTCTCACCTATTGCAAAAGCACCAGTTCCTGAATTTTATGGCTTTTATTAAGTTACACAGTGAAGAAATTTGGTCCAAAACTATTAAAAGTGGATTTACCCCATGGAAACAAGTATATTATTAATGCATTTGATTTGGTAATAGCAAAAACAATATATCAACAAATTCCAATAATATAATTTTTATATTTCAGAGGCATCTTATTGTTATGTCTAATCTCTGGCACTTTCACTGAAAATAGTAAGATAAAAACATACAGTAAATGAAAAAAGTGTTTTGAAAACTTACTAGTGAACTAAAAGATAGCCAGTTTCCAAGTTAAAATGGGTAGTAGAAAGAAAAAAAAATGTATATCAGCAAGAGTTATGTCCACAAACAGCATTCGCTCTTGGTTTTTTAAGCAGGATGATATTTAATACAGGGAATTAAATGCCTTCAAACATCCCAGAGATCCTTGTGAAGTGCTGGGAGAGAGAAGGCCAGGGCAGGGGTGTGAACTCTCAGCTGCACGCCAAGTTTTCCGAGATCAAAGGGTCACAGATCCAGAAAACTGACACTGATGATAAGATTTTTCTTCAGTACTTAAGAAGGTGGTTTTCAGAGCACTCGGAAGCCACCACAGAAACCCCACGTGTGCCATTTGCCTGCCTGTTCGCCTGCCACTCCCAGAGGTGTGTGAATGTGGCTTTGCCTCTCTTCTCCATTCCAAATCCTTCACGAGGGTTTCTCGTGGGCGGCTCTGCCAGCCAGGGGTGCTGGTGGGTGCAGCTTCCAGGCTTCCCAACTCCCTGATGCCAGGAGGCTTAGAAGGGGCAGAGCAGGGTTCTGTGACCAGAACATCAGAGCCCAGCACGGCTGTCCAGGACGGCTCCTGTTCTCTTGGTAAGATAAGGTATCTCTGGGCTTGAGGGGTTTGTTATTGTTTACGGAAGCAAATGGCACAATTAGATAAAGCAGTAACACTAGCCCTGCATGGTTTTGCATGGTCTTGCATGGTCCTGCATGTCATTTAGCCAGAGCATGGGAAAGGCCACCCTGGTGTTCACAGCAGCAGCCATTCCTGCCTGCACCTCCCTCACCTGCGCACGCAGTGCCCTGCTCTGCTGCTCTGTGGCCCCCCGGCTCTGATTCGCCCCCCATTGCAGAGCTGCACTTGCTACGCAGAACTGAATCTTCCGTCTTGTTTCCTAATCACTTCTTCCCAACTTTCCCTCATCCCTACATGCTATTTTTCCTGTTGGTGTCGCTTCTCACCAGGTCTGTAAAAATCTCGTCCCACCCATCACTGGGCTGGCGCAGGCCGTTTTAATTGAGCGGTTGGTGGACTTAGCGCTCTCTCTTCTCAGTTCTGGACTGTTCCCAGCTCAGCTGCATTGAGGGAAGAGCAAACACTCAGGTGGCCCATAGCCTTTGTTTTACTCCCTGCAGGTTTCAGTTTGCAGTGGGGAGTCATCCGCCACATCGAGTGAATTGCTCTGAGAATTTCTCTGCTCAGATAATCTCCATCTCTGCCCTGTCACTGCCACTTGCCCTTATGCTGATGCTCTGGACTTCGCTGTCAGCAGAAGAGCTTAATCTCGGAAACGTGTTCTGACATCCTTCCTCTGAACCACGCTGCCTGTTTCCCCTCCTTAGTGACTTCTCTGATGTTATCTGTACCTTCAGCTTTTTCCTCATCTTCTCATGTATTATTTTTTGCCCTTTATACTCTTCAGAAACACTACTTCAACTGCATGGAGATATTTAGACATGAAATTCCAGTGTATAATGTTAATCCCTAAAGAAGGACTGACTGGAACCCAAGGGTTATTTTTTTATATCTTGGAATCCCTGATGACTAGTCTGGTGAGGGACACACAGGGGACCCCGGATTGTTAAGTGAGTAGATGAGTCTAACTCCGTTTCCTCTGCGGCTGTTCCTACAATGCTGGAGGAAAATCATGTTTTGCTGACTGAATATCCACTCGTAATTTCTATTTTAAACTGGGCCTTTAGTCCGTCATTGATCTTTTGCTTATTCTAGTTTGGCACTGTCTCTACCTGTGTCCCTAGAAAACCCTGCTCGAGGGAAATAGGAGGGGCTACGCCTGAGGATGAGTGCAGCTCAGACACACAAGTGAGGGACAAAGTGAGGCAGGGAAGGAGGGACAGCAAGTCAAAGGGAGTGTCACTGAGCTGGTCACAGCAGTGTCCCTCTGAATGTCACTAGAGAAGCCACCAGAAGGTGCTGCTCCTCCAAACAGCCCATCCAGAGAATGGAAAGCACCACAATTTATCTGCTAGTAACTGTCTTCCCTTGGTCAGATTTCACCCATGAGGTGTCACACCCCTTCCACTTCTGGGCACTACATATGTGGACATTAAGAATGTCCTGTGGCATTGTGGACTTTAGAATCGACAAAAAACCCTGCTGAGGACTGAGAGAGGTGCATGGCCCAGGCATCAGGTGCAGTTTACGACGGACATCCTCCTTCTTGTGGCAGAGCAGCAGAGCAGCAATCACCTGGTTCCAGGACCAGGAACCGGCACAAGCTCCAGCCAGGGACTTTCTGACCGGAACACAAGCCAAGTGCACACATCTAGGCCGGCCACAAGTCTAGGCTGGGCACACATCTAGGCCGGCCATGCGTCTAGGCTGACCACGCGTCTAGGCTGGCCACACATCTAGGCTGGCACACGTCTAGGCTGGCCACAAGTCTAGGCTGGCATACATCTAGGCTGGCCACGCGTGTAGGCTTGCACACGTCTAGGCTGGCCGCACGTCTAGGCTGGCACACATCTAGGCTGGCCACACGTCTAGGCTTGCACACGTCTAGGCTGGCCACAAGTCTAGGCTGGCACACGTCTAGGCTGGCCGCACGTCTAGGCTGGCACACATCTAGGCTGGCCACACGTCTAGGCTTGCACACGTCTAGGCTGGCTGCACGTCTAGGCTGGCACACATCTAGGCTGGCCATGCGTCTAGGCTTGCACACATCTAGGCTGGCACACATCTAGGCTGGCACACATCTAGGCTGGCCACGCGTCTAGGCTTGCACACATCTAGGCTGGGCACACGTCTAGGCTGGCACACGTCTAGGCTGGCACACGTCTAGGCTGGCCACGCTTCTAGGCTGGGACACATCTAGGCTGGCCACGTGTCTAGGCTTGCACATGTCTAGGCTGGCTGCACGTCTAGGCTGGCACACATCTAGGCTGGCCACGCATCTAGGCTTGCACATGTCTAGGCTGGCCGCACGTCTAGGCTGGCACACATCTAGGCTGGCCACGCGTCTAGGCTGGCACATGTCTAGGCTTGCACACATCTCGGCTTGCACACGTCTAGGCTGGCACACATCTAGGCTGGCCACGCATCTAGGCTTGCACACATCTAGGCTGGGCACACGTCTAGGCTGGCACACGTCTAGGCTGACCATGCGTCTAGGCTTGCACATGTCTAAGCTTGCACACGTCTAGGCTGGCCACGCATCTAGGCTGGCCACGCGTCTAGGCTGGGACACATCTAGGCTGGCACAGGAATTAGTCTCTCTTCTTTCCACTTGGAGGCTTTCACAAGTTATTATTATTATCGTCATCCAGTAACAGCAAGGCCTGATTCCCACAGCAGTGTAAGGAGCATGTGCATATTCAGATTTCTATTATTTCCAAGGGGAAAGATCTTATATTTCTGTTTTACAGTATACTTTCATGTAAATGTGAGTTTTATGGCAAAAAGCTACCCAATGAGTGGGTTTAGATAATATATTATACTAACTTTGAAAATGAGACAGAGACTTATAAAAGTAGAAAGCCTTGCCCAAGGCAATAGGGCAAGAGTGTTTTAGTGAAAAGAAGTTTTGATTGGAACCCGAAAGACTTGAATTTTACTTGAAGCTCCATATCCTACTTTTATCATTTTTTTAACCCAGAAGTACCAATATCCAGAGCAACCTGGCATGACGGACTCATCGATGCTTTGGTCTTCACATTATACACCTCACCAACTTATGGAAGTTTATGTGTTTGCACAGATGACTAGGAGAGAAAGAGGGTGAGAAAAATGTGGATTACTTGACTTAATATTTTTATGTGTTAGAAGCAAAACCAAGCCAGTTTTCTCTATGTTGAAAACATCAATAGGTAGAAATTGAAGAAAAGTCAGATTCCCACTAACAGAACACAGAAAGACAAGCTCTTTCTCTCCTTCATCTTTTCTCTAACAACAAACCATTTTGGTTTATAAGTTGCAATATTTTATGATATTGAAAGTCTTATTTTATACATATAAATCATATCCAGTGATTGTCTTCAGGTTGAAATACGTAAGTTAAGATTAAAAACCAAGGTTTTTTTCTCCAAGAATATAGTTTTATGCCACATTTCATAACTAGATATTCTGTCAGAAAATTAGAAAGAACTGTGATCAAAAGTAACAGAGTCTAGTAAAAGTAGTCTGCAATTGCTAACAATACTGGTCTTAATGCTGTAAAAGTATAAAGAAAGAAATGAATGGAACACCATGAAAATGTTGGCCTCTTTCAGTTGCCAAGAAATGATGTAGCTTTTATGTCTTAAAAATATATAGTTTGCTCCTTTTTGGTCCAAATAGTCATTTAATAAGAGTTATCTCTGCACGTCCAAAATAGATTGAGTTAGTTTCCATTACTCAAGTTGAATACAGCAAACCGTTCCATTCATCCTGTTTGCCTTTTGGTTTTCTCACCATCTCTCTGCATTTACATCTGCATTATAACTTAACCAGGGGTGACCTTCCACAATGAATCTTATATATAGGCTGTTTTAAGCATTTCTTAATAACAATTTTCCAGACTATCTTAATTTCCTAGCCAAAAAATAAAGTAACATAAAATAGCCCAGGCTTCATGCCAGCATCAAATATGGGTGTAAATTAAACTGCTTAGTTGGAAGCCAATTCTGAATTTTTTCTTGATCAAGATGAGATAATTAGCACATCTGCAAAGAGCATGTAGTTTTTGTTATCTGTGAAGACTTTGCCACAATGAATACATCATTACCTGCACAAATAGGAAAGTAGAATGCTGCAGTTCATTTTCCGAGCTGCTGTGAGGAAGAACAGCAAGCAGACCTTATCTTTTTCTTATAATTAGCATTGCTGAAACAATTTAAAAGCAGAACCAAACAAAGATAAAAATATAGATTGGTAACAAGTTGGGAAGAGTTTATTGTAAAAGAGACCTGTAATTACTTAAAGAACGGGAAGACCTGTGGTTTAAAAGTGCGCAACATTGAGTAATAGGAAGTTCCAGACCTAACCATACTCCAGGAGATAATAAGAAAAGAAATATAAACCAAGGAATTAGGCTTCCTTAGAAAAATCGAGCTGCAGAAAAGGAATATATTTACACCTTGACAATGAAATATGCAAAATACCTCTTTAAGTTGCTGATAAAGTTCACAAGGCCAAGCTCCAGAATAGAGTGGAGCCAAGAGCTTAGGGATATACTCTTTCATCTTGCAACATGATTTATCTATTTTATGAATATAGGTGTTGTGATAAATAAAACTGTGATAGGGATGACAGCATTCTCCAATTTGCCAGTGGGCTATGTTCCAAGATTGTTTGGATAACAAAAGCCGAATTAAAGGATATCGTGCAGTTGTGTTCTGACTTTGGGTGCCCGGAACACAGAAGCAGCCCCATGCTGCATACCCAATGGCGCCCATGGCTGGAGCGGGGAGATCCTGAAGTGTGCCCAGGTAAGTGGAGATGGAGAGGCCTGGAAATTAGGGACTGAGGGTGATGGCAGATAGGATTTTCCTCTAAGAAAAACCTCAAGGCTCTCTCTTGGTCTTAGGTCAGCCCCCGGTTATATTCCCACTCTCCATTTTTCCTCAAAAGGGCCATGGGGACTGGTCTGTCTGCTCCTCTTTTCACTGCTGCCATCTGAAGCTCCCAGCCGTGACTTCTCTACTCCTCGGCCCACTGGAGAAAATGATTTAGTGGGTCACCTGCCTTTCCTTTGCTGAAGAAGCTTAAAGCTCTTTTGCAATTTTATAGCAATTTTTACCAGTAGCAACATTTATTCTTTGAACAGCTGTTTTTGAGGACATACTATGTTTCAGGCATGTAATTAGACAGTAGTGACATAAAGATGAGGGAGTTCAGTTGCAAAGGCATGGTTCTCTGCAGAAGGAAGTTAGTGCCAGACAACAAACAGACAACTAAAATAACACACAACGTTTTTATCTTATCCATTAGAATAACTACTATCAAAAACAAAGACAAAAAACAGAAAACAATGGGTACAGGAGAGAAATGGAAAAACTGAAATCCTTGCATGCTTCTGGTGGGAATTTAAAATGGCTCAACAGCTATGGAAACATTATGATGATTCCTTAAAAAATTAAAACTAGAATTACCATATGATGCAGAAATTTCACTTTTGGATATATACCCGAAAGAAACCAAAGCAGGGTGTGGAAGAGATATTTGTACACTCATGTTCAGAGCAGAATTATTCACAATAGCCACGAGCTGGAAAGAATCCATGTGGCCATCAGTGAATGATTGGATAAAGAAAATGTGGTATAGTCATGCACTGGAATATTATTTAGCCTTAAGAAGGAAGAAAATTCTAATACATACCATAGCATGAGTGAACTTTGAGGACATTAGGCTAAGTGAAGTAAGGCAGTCACAAAAAGATAAATATGTTATGATTCCACTGATATGAGGTACTTAGAGTAGTCAACTTCATAGAGACAGAAAGTCTTCATTGAGAACAGTGGCTCTTAGGGCCTAGGGGAGGGGAATATGGGAGAGTTGCTTAATGAGTGTAGCATTTCAGTTTTCCAAGATGAAAAATTCTGGAGATTGGTTTTACAACAATGTGCATGTACTCACCAGTACTCAACTGTACACTCAATAAGGAACACGTGAGTATCATAAAAGTATCTATTTATAGAGGACTAAGAGGATGTAGACAGAAAACACCAACAACTGGAGTGGGGGGAAAGCATACCTAGAAGAGTTCAACAGTGAACACAGTGTTACCAGAACACAGGCAGGGAAGAACAAGCGGGTATGGACAACATGTCGCAATGTGCCAGGACAGACGCTGCTTCCTGCATGGCTGGAATGGAAACAAAGGGGAGAGAAAACGGTGTAGAAGAAAGTACAGGGCATGAGATTTCTGGAATGTGTATCTGCAGAAGGTGTTAATTTGGAACTGCAATTGGAAGTGAATGTCGGTCTCCTCAATCCTCTCATTAGCTCTAATCACCACAGCCCACCTACCCGGGTGAGGGTCAGCCACAGCCCACCTACAACACCGAGGGTCAGCCACAGCCCACCCACACCACCGAGGGTCAGCCACAGCCCACCCACACCAGTGAGGGTCAGCCACAGCCCACCCACACCAGTGAGGGTGAGCCACAGCCCACCCACACCACCGAGGGTCAGCCACAGCCCACCCACACCAGTGAGGGTCAGCCACAGCCCACCCACACCACCGAGGGTCAGCCACAGCCCACCCACACCAGTGAGGGTCAGCCACAGCCCACCTACACCAGTGAGGGCTAGCCACAGCCCACCTACACCAGTGAGGGTCAGCCACAGCCCACCTATACCACCGAGGGTCAGCCACAGCCCACCTACACCAGTGAGGGTCAGCCACAGCCCACCCACACCACCGAGGGTCAGCCACAGCCCACCCACACCAGTGAGGGTCAGCCACAGCCCACCCACACCACCGAGGGTCAGCCACAGCCCACCCACACCAGTGAGGGTCAGCCACAGCCCACCCACACCACCGAGGGTCAGCCACAGCCCACCCACACCAGTGAGGGTCAGCCACAGCCCACCCACACCACCGAGGGTCAGCCACAGCCCACCCACACCAGTGAGGGTCAGCCACAGCCCACCTACACCAGTGAGGGCTAGCCACAGCCCACCTACACCAGTGAGGGTCAGCCACAGCCCACCTATACCACCGAGGGTCAGCCACAGCCCACCCACACCAGTGAGGGTCAGCCACAGCCCACCCACACCACCGAGGGTCAGCCACAGCCCACCCACACCAGTGAGGGTCAGCCACAGCCCACCCACACCATCGAGGGTCAGCCACAGCCCACCTATACCACCGAGGGTCAGCCACAGCCCACCCACACCAGTGAGGGTCAGCCACAGCCCAGCTACACCAGTGAGGGTCAGCCACAGCCCACCCACACCATCGAGGGTCAGCCACAGCCCACCTATACCACCGAGGGTCAGCCACAGCCCACCCACACCAGTGAGGGTCAGCCACAGCCCAGCTACACCACCGAGGGTCAGCCACAGCCCACCCACACCAGTGAGGGTCAGCCACAGCTCACCCACACCACCGAGGGTCAGCCACAGCCCACCCACACCACCGAGGGTCAGCCACAGCCCACCCACACCAGTGAGGGCGAGCCACAGCCCACCCACACCAGTGAGGGCCAGCCACAGCCCACCCACACCAGTGAGGGTCAGCCACAGCCCACCTACACCACCGAGGGTCAGCCACAGCCCACCTACACCAGTGAGGGCCAGCCACAGCCCAGCTACACCAGTGAGGGTCAGCCACAGCCCACCCACACCGGTGAGGGTCAGCCACAGCCCACCTACACCACCGAGGGTCAGCCACAGCCCACCTACACCAGTGAGGGTCAGCCACAGCCCAGCTACACCAGTGAGGGTCAGCCACAGCCCACCCACACCACCGAGGGTCAGCCACAGCCCACCCACACCACCGAGGGTCAGCAGGGCAGACGCAGGTTGAATGGGAGTAGTCGCTGCATAGATGGGATCCGCAGAGTGAAGGGTGAGGGAGGAGAGTAGAAAAACAAAATTGAAAACACAGTAGAAAGGGCTTGGGCTTCCTCATTCAGTCCAAATGTGCATTTTGCCCAGGCACAGTGGCTCACGCCTGTAATCCCAACATGTTGGGAGGCTGAGCAAGGTGGGTCACCTAAGGTCAGGAGATTGAGACCAGTCTGGCGAACATGGGGAAATCCTGACTCTACCAAAAATATAAAAATTAGCCAGGCCTGGTGGCGAGTGCTTGTAGTCACAGCTACTCAGGAGGCTGAGGCAGGAGAATCGTTTAAAACCAGAAGGTGGACGTTGCAGTAAGCCGAGATCACGCCACTGCCCTCCAGCCTGGGTGAGACAGCAAGACTCCATCTCAAAAAAACAAAAACAAACAAACAAACAAAGAAACGCATTTTGCACCCAGCCAGGAGGCAGGAGCTACCTGTACAACACAAAAGATTAATAATATATTTGTAACGTAGAGTTTTTGAAAGAGGTACTTTTGTGAATGCAAAGCATTGTTCCCATGAGAAAAAAAACTAGACCAAAGGTAACTATTTTTTGAGACACAAAAACATTAACCAGAAATGTGGCGAGAGAGTTTTAGCAATACTGAACTTGAGGCTGGCACTTGATTTGTTTTTTACGTAGTTCTCCCTGCTTTTTTGGGCCAGTGACTGCTTTTTCCTATCACTGCTGATGAGTTCATTTTCCTCATTGCTCAGGATGACAGATTCACACTCTTCTCCTGGCTTGTGTGTAGCACGTACACAATGCCTCATTGTCATCAAGCCAAAGTCTGCTTTTTCACAGTGGATCAGCTCAACATCACTTCATAAACGCACGACTTCAAGGGAATCCCAGTAGTCAATTTCCCTTGAATTTTAATTTAAAAATTCCATTTTACTGATTATAGAAACGAAAGACATAATACTTTATAAGTAAATTAGGACATGCAAACATGCAGTTGAAAACAACCACAACAAAAACCCCTTAGTGTAAACAAGCTTCATTTAAATGTTCTTAGATTTCTCATTGACACCACAGTGGGTATCAGTTGAGAGCCTCTCATGGTCTTTCCAGTTCTAAAGCTACATGAGTGTATTTCTCATGTTAAATTATTTATCAACCAATGTCTTTGGCTTCCAAACACTGGGATTTCTGTTTTTCAAATGACATTCTAAGATGTGAGTTGATTTGCAGCTTAAGTGAAAGATCTTAGAGCATTTGGAATCCATTCTTCAGCGACTCTGGTTTCTGTTCCTACTTTCCTAAAAGTGTACCTCAAGCGACAGCCTTGGAGGAAGGCATGGATCGTGTTTTGAGTATGTTTGGTTCCCTCCACCTGCCTCCAGTCCCCTGTGAACATCTTCCCAGAATGCTTCACTACTGAGGCAAACCAGAAGCAGTGAAATGACTTCAGATTCTGAAAACCCCTGCCCTGCCTGGCAGCGAGAAGGCGGCACACTCTGCAAACTAAATGGGTCTGTAGTTTCAAAGAAGTGAGGGCTTCTTTTTTTGTTTTGTTTTGTTTTGTTTTAGGGTACATGTGCACAATGTGCTGGTTTTTTACATATGTATACATGTGCCATGTTGGTGTGCTGCACCCATTAACTCGTCATTTACATTAGGTATATCTCCTAATGCTATCCCTCCCCCCTCCCCCTACCCTACAACAGGCCCTGGTGTGTGATGTTCCCCTTCCTGTGTCCAAGTGTTCTCATTGTTCAGTTCCCACCTATGAGTGAGAACATGTGGTGTTTGTTTTTTTGTCCTTGCGATAGTTTGCTGAGAATGATGGTTTCCAGCTTCATCCACATCCCTACAAAGGACATTAACTCATCAATTTTTATGGCTGCATAGTATTCCATGGTGTATATGTGCCACATTTTCTTAATCCAGTCTATCATTGTGGGACTTTTGGGTTGGTTCCAAGTCTTTGCTATTGTGAATAGTGCCACAATAAACATATGTGTGCGTGTGTCTTTATAGCAGCATGATTTATAATCCTTTGGGTATATACCCAGTAATGGGATGGCTGGGTCAAATGGTATTTCTAGTTCTGGATCCCTGAGGAATCGCCACACTGACTTCCACAGTGGCTGAACTAGTTTACAGTCCCACCAACAGTGTAAAAGTGTTCCTCTTTCTCCACATCCTCTCCAGCACCTGTTGTTTCCTGACTTTTTAATGATTGCCATTCTAATTGGTGTGAGATGGTATCTCATTGTGGTTTTGATTTGCATTTCTCTGATGGCCAGTGATGGTGAGCATTTTTTCATGTGTCTTTTGGCTGCATAAATGTCTTCTTTTGAGAATTGTCTGTTCATATCCTTCACCCACATTTTGATAGGGTTGTTTGTTTTTTTCTTGTAAATTTGTTTGAGTTCTTTGTAGATTCTGGATATTAGCCCTTTGTCAGATGAGTAGATTGCAAAAATTTTCTCCCATTCTGTAAGTTGCCTGTTCACTCTGATGATAGTTTCTTTTCCAGTGCAGAAGCTCTTTAGTTTACTTAGATCCCATTTGTCAATTTTGGCTTTTGTTGCCATTGCTTTTGGTGTTTTAGACACCAAAGCATGAACTAGAGTGGATAAGACCATCTGGCCCCATGGTGAGAAGACGAAACATGGAGAATTCACTCAGTTTTGCAAGGACAGAGTCCAGCATGAGGAAGATAATTTAAAGTATTCTGGTGACAAACGATCTTATTTCCAAGCCTGATTTAGTTAGTGGCAACTAACCACAAGTGTGATCCAGCTTTTGCCAGCACGGATCTCCTCCCCCAGTGGTAGGAAGATGGCTGAGCCAGGGGAGGCTGAACGGCAGCATCTTCCCCAAATTATCTGCATTTGCTTCCACAATGCTGCCGCTTGCTAAGAAGGAACAACTTCCAAAGCAGCAAAAACAACTCTCACGTTTTACTAGTAGTTTATTAGTAGTAGTACTAGTACAGATGCTCCTACTTGACATAATAGGGTTACATCCTGACAAACCCATCGTAATTGGAAAATGCATTTAATATATCTCACCTACAGAACATCACAGGTCTCGCCTACCTTAAATATACCCAGAACACTTACATTAGCCCATGATTGGCAGAATCATCTAATATGAAGCCTTTTATAAAAAAGTATTGCATATCTCATGTCATTCATGAACACAGCGCACTGTGGAGTGTGGTGTTGGTTGATTCCCCTGGATTTCCCAGCTTCCTGGAAGCTGGGGCTGGCCGCCCCGATCTGCATCCCAAGAGTCTTCCTACCACATGCTGCTAGCCCAGGCAAAGAGCTCAGTTCAAAATGCGGTGTCTACTGAGTGCCCATCACCTATGCACCATTGTAAAGTCGAAAAATCTTACACTGTAGGATTACTAGTATTGTAGTAATCATTCTGCACTATTTGGAAATATTTGTACTTGAACACTGCTAGAAATAAGAAAGTGTTGGTGATCTTCCTTTGTAAAATAAAATTGTCCTAATTAAGGAAAAAACAAATTTATCATGACTGCATTTTGTTATTATGTGGGCTTATTATTGTAATAATTAGCATTACTATTGTTTCATAATAGCCAGCTTTAGGTAGTATAAAAGCATGGACTGTATTAGCTAGAAAACCAGGTTTTAAGTCTACACTCTGCCTTTTATTAGCTGTGTGTCTTCAACTTACAGCTGTCCCTCGGTAAACCCAGGGAATTTGTTCCAGCACTGGGTCAGCCCTACAGAGCTCGCATAAATTAACAGTTTGCCCTCATTATATGTGGGTTTCACATGCCCTGAATACTGCATCTTCTGATCCATGTTTCATTGAAAAAAGTCGACCCACATAGTTTAAACCCATCTTATTCAAGGGCTGTTTTTTTTTTAAAGAGAAATGTAATTTATTTCAGGTAATAAATGTATTAAAGTACCAAAACAACATTAATTTTTAATTTCAAATTACAATTCAATCCTGTAATAACACAGATAGGAATGGGGTGGACGGGGCCAATACTCATGTGGTTTCTCTTTGGTGTATTCAGACCAGTGTGCTGTATAGTGCCATGCACACAGGGGACCGGACAGGATTTGACTGACAGTATAGCTTAATTCAGATTATAGCATAGTGGGGCTTTTAAAAAGAATTTTATTATTAAGATTAAAATAATGGACTGAAAAAGTTCCCCCAGGTTCATTAAGTTTAACACATAATATAAAGTCCTCTTTCTTTCTTCTTGCACTGCCAGTCCTTTCAAATAAGCATTCTGTCCTGTAGCCTTCATTTTCAATCCATATGCCCTTAGCTCTCAGAAATCTGCCTTTTTCTCTGTTTACTTGTCTGAACCTGAACTCCATTTTTTTTTTAAATTTGACTTTAAGTTCCAGGATATAGGAGCAGAACATGCAGGTTTGTTATGTAAGTATACCTGTGCCAGGTGGTTTGCTGCACCTATAAACCCGCCGTCTAGGTTTTAAGCCCCACATACCTTAGCTGTTTGTCCTAATGCTCTCCCTCCCTTCACCTCCCACCCCCTGACTGACCCTGATGTGTGTTGTTCCCCTCTTTATGTCCATGTGTTCTCATTGTTCAACTTCCACTTGTGAGTGAGAACATGCAGTGTTTGGTTTTCTCTTCCTGTGTCAGTTTGCTGAGGATGAAGTCTTCCATCTTCATCCATGTCCCTGCAAAGGACATGAACTCATCCTTTTTTATGGCTGCATAGTATTCCATGGTGTATATGTGCCACATTTTCTTTATCCAGTCTATCACTGATGGGCATTTCCGTTGGTTCCATGTCTTTGCTATTGTGAACAGTGCTGCAATAAACATACATGTGCATGTGTCTTTACCATAGAATGATTTATAATCCTTTGGGTATATACCCAGTAATGGGATTGCTGGGTCAAATGGTATTTCTGGTTCTAGATTCTTGAGGATACGTCACACTGTCTTCTACAATGGTTGAAGTAATTTACATTCTCATCTGCAGAGTAAAAGCATTCCTATTTCTCCACAGTCTCACCAGCATCTATTGTTTCCTGACTTTTTAATAATCACCATTCTGACTGGCATGAAATGGCTCTCATTGTGGTTTTGATTTACATTTCTCTAATGATCAGTGTCAGGCCTCTGAGCCCAAGCCAAGCCATCGCATCCCCTGTGACCTGCACGTATACACCCAGATGGCCTGAAGTAACTGAAGAATCACAAAAGAAGTGAATATGCCCTGCCCCACCTTAACTGATTACATTCCACCACAAAAGAAGTGTAAATGGCCGGTCCTTGCCTTAACTGATGACATTACCTTGTGAAAGTCCTTCTCCCGGCTCATCCTGGCCCAAAATCACCCCCACTGAGCACCTTGCGACCCCCACTCCTGCCTGCCAGAGAACAAATCCCCTTTGACTGTAATTTTCCTTTACCTACCCAAATCCTATAAAATGGCTCCACCCTTATCTCCCTTCGCTGACTCTCTTTTCTGACTCAACCCACCTGCACACAGGTGATTAAAAGCTTTATTGCTCACACAAAGCCTGTTTGGTGGTCTCTTCACATGGACACGCATGAAATTTGGTGCCATGACTCGGATCGGGGGACCTCCCTTGGGAGCTCAATCCCCTGTCCTCCTGTTCTTTGCTCCGTGAGAAAGATCCACCTATGACCTCAGGTCCTCAGACCAGCCAGCCTAAGGAACATCTCACCGATTTTAAATCAGGTAAGCGGCCTCTTCTTACTCTCTTCTCCAACCTCTCTCACTGTCCCTCAACCACTTTCTCCTTTCCACTCTTCAATCTCTCCCTTCTCTTAATTTCAATTCCTTTCATTTTCTGGGAGAGACAAAGGAGACACATTTTATCCATGGACCCAAAACTCCGGTGCCGGTCACGGACTGGGAAGGCAGCCTTCCCTTGGTGTTTAATCATTGCAGGGACACCTCTCTGATTATACACCCATGTTTCAAGGATGTCAGACCACGCAGGGACGCCTGCCTTGGTCCTTCACCCTTAGCGGCAAGTCCCGCTTTTCTGGAGAAGGGTCAAGTACCCCAACCCCTTCTGTCCTTGTCTCTACCCCTTCTCTGCTTTTCTGGGGACAGGGCAAGTACCCCAACCCCTTCTCTCCTTGTCTCTACCCCTTCTCTGCTTTTCTGGGAGAGGGGCAAGTACCCCTCAACCCCTTCTCCTTCACCCTTAGTGGCAAGTCCTGCTTTTCTACTGGGCAAGAATCCCCAATCCCTTATTTCTGTGCCCCAACCTCTTATCTCTGTGCCCCAATCTCTTATTTCCGTGCAACAACCTCTTATCTCTGTGCCCCAATCCCTTATTTCCGTGCAACAACCTCTTATATCTCTGCACCTCAATCCCTTATTTCCACACCCCGACCTCTTATCTCTGTGCCCCAATCCCTTATTTCCATGCCCTGACCCCTTATTTCTGTGCCCCATCCCTTATTTCCCTGCCCCGACCTCTTATCTCTGCGCCCCAACCCCTTTTCCCACTTTTCTGGAAGGTAAGAACCTCCGAACCCCTTCCCTCCATTTCTCTACTCTCTCTTTTCTCTAGGCTTGCTTCCTTCACTATGGGCAACCTTCCACCCTCCATTCCTCCTTCTACTCCCTTGGCCTGTGTGCTCAAAAACTTAAAACCTCTTCAACTCACACCTGACCTGAAACCTAAATGCCTTATTTTCTTCTGCAATGCCGCTTGACCCCAATACAAATTTGACAGTAGTTCCAAATAGCCAGAAAATGGCACTTTGAATTTTTCCATCCTGCAAGATCTAAATATTTCTTGTCGTAAAATAGGCAAACGGTCTGAGGTGCCTGATGTCCAGGCATTCTTTTACACATCAGTCCCTTCCTAGTCTCTGTGCCCAGTGCAACTTGTCCCAAATCTTCCTTCTTTCCCTCCCGCCTGTCCCCTCAGTACCAACCCCAAGCGTCCCTGAGTCTTTCTAATCTTCCTTTTCTACAGACCCATCTGACCTCTCCCTTCCTCCCCAGGCTGCTCCTCGCCAGGCCGAGCCAGGTCCCAATTCTTCCTCAGCCTCTGCTCCTCCACCCTGTAATCCTTTTATCACCTCCCCTCCTCACACCTGGTCCAGCTTTCAGTTTCATTCTGCCACTTGCCCTCCCGCACCTGCCCAGCAATTTACCCTTAAAAAGGTGGCTGGAGCCAAAGGCGTAGTCAAGGTTAAAGCTCCTTTTTCTTTATCCTAAATCAGAAGCATTTAGGCTCTTTTTCATCAAATATAAAAATCCAGCCCCATTCATGGCTCGTTCGGCAGCAACCCTGAGACACTTTACAGCCCTAGACCCTAAAAGGTCAAAAGGCCGTCTTATTCTCAAAATACATTTTATTACCCAATCTGCTCCCGACATTAAATAAAACTCCAAAAATTAAATTCCGGCCCTCAAACCCCACAACAGGATTTAATTAACATTGCCTTCAAGGCGTACAATAATATAAAAAAGTTGCAATTCCTTGCCTCCACTGTGAGACAAACCCCAGCCACATCTCCAGCACACAAGAACTTCCAAACGCCTGAACCGCAGCAGCCAGGCGTTCCTCCAGAACCTCCTTCCCCAGGAGCTTGCTACACGTGCCGGAAATCTGGCCACTGGGCCAAGGAATGTCCGCAGCCCAGGATTCCTCCTAAACCGCGTCCCATCTGTGCGGGACCCCACTGAAAATCGGACTGTTCAACTCACCTGGCAGCCACTCCCAGAGCCCCTGGAACTCTGGCCCAAGGCTCTCTGACTGACTCCTTCCCAGATCTTCTTGGCTTAGCGGCTGAAGACTGACACTGCCCGATCACCTCGGAAGCCCCCTCGACCATCACGGACGCCGAGCTTCAGGTAACTCTCACAGTGGAAGGTAAGCCCGTCCCCTTCTTAATCAATATGGAGGCTACCCACTCCACATTACCTTCTTTTCAAGGGCCTGTTTCCCTTGCCTCCATAACTGTTGTGGGTATTGACGGCCAGGCTTCTAAACCTCTTAAAACTCCCCAACTCTGGCGCCAGCTTAGACAATGCTCTTTTAAGCACTCCTTTTTAGTTATCCCCACCTGCCCAGTTCTCTTATTAGGCCAAGACACTTCAACTAAATTATCTGCTTCCCTGACTATTCCTGGACTACAGCTACATCTCATTGCCGCCCCTCCTCCCAATCCAAAGCCTCCTTTGCGTCCTCCTCTTGTATCCCCCCACCTTAACCCACAAGTATACCTCTACTCCCTCCTTGGTGACCGATCATGCACCCCTTACCATCTCATTAAAACCTAATCACCCTTACCCCACTCAACGCCAATATTCCCATCCCGCAGCATGCTTTAAAAAGATTAAAGCCTGTTATCACTCGCCTGCTACAGCATGACCTTTTAAAGCCTATAAACTATCCTTACAATTCCCCCATTTTACCTGTCCTAAAGCCAGACAAGCCTTACAAGTTAGTTCAGGATCTATGCCTTATCAACCAAATTGTTTCGCCTATCCACCCTGTGGTGCCAAACCCCTACACTCTTGTCCTCAATACCCTCCTCCACAACTCACTGTTCCGTGCTTGATCTTAAAGATGCTTTTTTCACTATTCCCCTGCACCCCTCGTCCCAGCCTCTCTTCGCCTTCACTTAGACTGACCCTGACACCCATTAGGCTCAGCAAATTACCAAGGCTGTACTGCCGCAAGGCTTCATAGACAGCCCCCATTACTTCAGTCAAGCCCAAATTTCATCCTCATCTGTTACCTATCTCGGCATAATTCTCATAAAAACATACGTGCTTTCCCTGCTGATCGTGTCCGATTAATCTCCCAAACCTCAATCCCTTACAAAACAATAACTCCTTTCCTTCCTAGGCATATAGTTAGTGCGATCAGAATTCTTATGCAACAGCCAGGACTGCACCCTGTAGCCTTTCTGTGCAAACAACTTGACCTTACTGTTTTAGCCTAGCCCTGATGTCTGCATGCAGCGGCTGCCGCTGTGTAAGAATTCTGATCGCACTAACTATATGCCTAGGAAGGAAAGGAGTTGTTGTGAACTTTAGAGAGTGAGTTGAGCATAGTTTGTGATTTTGAGGGCCTCTAAACTTTTAGAGGCCCTCAAAATCACAAACTATGCTCAACTCACTCTCTAAAGTTCACAACTTCCAAAATCTATTTGCTTCCTCATACCTGATGCATATACTTTCTGCTCCCCGGCTCCTTCAGCTGTACTCACTCTTTGTTGAGTCTCCCACAATTACCATTTTCCCTGGCCCAGACTTCAATCTGGCCTCCCACATTATTCCTGATACCACACCTGACCCCCATAACTGTATCTCTCTGACCCACCTGACATTCACCCCATTTCCCCAAATTTCCTTCTTTCCTGTTCCTCACCCTGATCACGCTTGATTTATTGATGGCGGTTCCACCAGGCCTAATCGCCACACACCAGCAAAGGCAGGTTATGCTATAGTACAAGCCACTAGCCCGCCTCTCAGAACCTCTCATTTCCTTTCCATTGTGGAAATCTATCCTCAAGGAAATAACTTCTCAGTGTTCCATCTGCTATTCTACTACTCCTCAGGGATTATTCAGGCCCCATCCCTTCCCTACACATCAAGCTCGAGGATTTGCCCCCACCCAGAACTGGCAAATTAGCTTTACTCAACATGCCTGAGTCAGGAAACTAAAATACCTCTTAGTCTAAATAGACACTTTTACTGAATAAGTAAAGGCCTTTCCTACAGGGTCTGAGAAGTCCACCGCAGTCATTTCTTCCCTTCTGTCAGCCATAATTCTTCAGTTTAGCCTTCCCACCTCAATACGGTCTGATAACAGTGAGCCTTTATTAGTCAAATCAGCCAAGCAGTTTTTCAGGCTCTTAGTAATGGACTAAAGGTCTTTTAAAAACACACCTCACCAAGCTCAGCCACTAACTTAAAAAGGACTGGACAATACATTTACCACTTTTGCTTCTCAGAATTCAGGCCTGTCCTCAGAATGCTACAAGGTACAGCCCATTTGAGCTCCTGTATAGATACTCCTTTTTGTTAGGCCCCAGTCTCATTTGACACCAGACCAACTTAGACTGTGCCCCAAAAAAACTTGTCATCCCTACTATCTTTTGTCTAGTCATACTCCTATTCACCGTTCTCAACTACTCATACATGCCCTGCTCTTGTTTACACTGCCAGTTTACACTGTTTCTCCAAGCCATCACAGCTGATATCTACCTTTTATACCTGTTTTTCTCCTTCTCTTATTCCATTTAGTTTTTCAATTCATACAAAACCATATCCAGGCCATCGCCAATCATTCTATACGACAAATGTTTCTTCTAACTACCCCACAATATCACCCCTTACCACAAGACCTCCCTTCAGCTTAATCTCTCCCACTCTAGGTTCCCACACCGCCCCTAATCCCGCTCGAAGCAGCCCTGAGAAACATTGCCCATTCTCTCTTCATACCACCCCCCAAAGATTTTCGCAGCCCCAACACTTCAACACTATTTTATTTTTCTTATTAATATAAGAAAGCAGGAATGTCAGGCCTCTGAGCCCAAGACAAGCCAAGCCATCGCATCCCCTGTGACCTGCACGTATACACCCAGATGGCCTGAAGTAACTGAAGAATCACAAAAGAAGTGAATATGCCCTGCCCCACCTTAACTGATGACATTCCACCACAAAAGAAGTGTAAATGGCTGGTCCTTGCCTTAACTGATGACATTACCTTGTGAAAGTCCTTTTCCTAGCTCACCCTGGCTCAAAAACACCCCCACTGAGCACCTTGCTACCCCAACTCCTGCCCACCAGAGAACAAACCCCCTTTGACTGTAATTTTCCTTTACCTACCCAAATCCTATAAAACGGCCCCACCCTTATCTCCCTTCGCTGACTCTTTTCTGACTCAGCCCCACTGCACCCAGGTGATTAAAAGCTTTATTGCTCACACGAAGCCTGTTTGGTCGTCTCTTCACACGGATGTGCATGAAAATCAGTGTTGTTGAGTTTTTTTCATACGTTTGTTGGCCACATAAATGTCTTCTTTTGAAAAGTGTCTGTTCATATACTTTGCCCACTTTTTGATGGGGTTGTTTGTTTTTTTCTTGTAGATTTGTTTAAGTTCCTTGTAGATTTTGGATATTAGACCTTTGTCAGATGGGTAGATTGCAAAAATTTTCTCCCATTCTGTAGGTTGCCTGTTCACTCTGATGATAGTTTTTTATTGTTGTTGTGCAGAAGCTCTTTAGTTTAATTAGATCCCATTTGTCAATTTGGCTTTTGCTGCCATTGTTTTTGGTGTTTTAGTTATGAAGTCTTTGCCCATGCTTATGTCCTGAATGGTATTCCCTAGGTTTTCTTCTAGGGTTTTTATGGATTGGAGTTTTATGTTTAAGTCTTTAGTCCATCTTGAGTTAATTTTTGTATAAAGTGTAAGGAAGGGGTCTAGTTTCAGTTTTCTGCATATGGGCCAACTGTTCTTAACCTTTCTAGGACTCAGTTTCCTCATTGTAAAATGGAAGGAATGACCTCTCTTTGGCAAGCAGATTGTAAAATTAAAATAATATAATGCAAGTGAAAATGTCACATTCATGGGAGTCTAAAAAGTTGCAATTGTTTTAGCAGCCCTAGAAATGTAATTCACTCCTGCAGTTTAAAATGTGTTATTTGCATATTAATCTTAACTACTACCCACTGGCTCACAGCAGCTTGAATCTAAATAAAATAGCTTGGAGAAAGTCATT
This sequence comes from Homo sapiens, assembly GCF_000001405.40. Taxonomy (NCBI): domain Eukaryota; kingdom Metazoa; phylum Chordata; class Mammalia; order Primates; family Hominidae; genus Homo; species Homo sapiens. The sequence continues at coordinate 189,478,784 of NC_000004.12, read as the reverse complement.
GCTTATTTTAAAGTAGTTATGACTTTTGTCAACATAAAACTGAGATATTTTGTAAAGTTAGTTAAGACAATGTTGCTCTTACTCAAAATTACCCAGTGGTAGCCCCTCTTTTTTCCAGGCAGCCTGAGTTTCTTCAGTGGCCCCTGAGGGCTGACATGGTCTGGTCCCTTGCTGGATCTCTGGTCCCATCCCGTTCGCTCACTCTGCTCCAGCTGCCCAGGCCCCCTCACTGCTCCTCACAGGCTTCCTCTCAGAGGCTCTGTGCTTGCATCTCCTAGGTCAGGAATTCTTCCCTGAGGTGGCCCCATGGCTTTCTCCCTCCACTGCTCACTGTGTTAAAATTCACACAGAGACAAACACACTCACACACATGCACACACTCCAGTCTCCATTCCTACCTCATTTTCTTTTCAGATCCCGTGTCCCCATTATGCACCCTTTACTAACAGGCTTCATTTGTTTGTTGAGTGTCTGTCTCCTTTTCTGAAATGGGTGAGGCAAGAGCAGGATGAGCACATTATTTATGAGATATTCTTGGAACCTTTGAAAGTCACATTAAACAACTGACTCTGCCAAACTGGGATGTGCTCACCCTGTCCATGAGGACTGAGATTTTTTATTATTATTTATTTATGCATAGACGGGGTCTCACCCTGCTACCCAGACTGGAGTGCAGTGGCAAAAACATAGCTCAGTGCAGCCTGGAGCCCCTGGGCTCAGGCAATCCTCCTGCCACAGGCGCAAGCACCACGCCTAGTTTGAGAGCGTGGCTGCATTCTCAGCGCTGTATCTCCAGGGTCTGCTTTACTGTAGAGTGCCTGGTAGGTGCTCAGTTCATATGATATTGGTTGTTGAATGAATGAATACATTCTGAAGCCTGACTCCAAGTCTACATCATGTCTTGCTTCTGGTTTGTTTCCCTGATACCTTTCTCTCTTCAATCCGTTCTTCTCATTGCTACCTAAGCAATAAGTGACTGTACTATCTAAAAAAAAGTGCCCCTATCATCTCAATACTTAAGCAGAAAGTCCAAACAACTTAGTGTGGCTTCCGGATCCTGCCACCATCTTGACTTCTCAAATATCCGTTTCAGGCTCATTTCTCAACCCTTGTTCCTAAGACCCTGAGCTTTCAGTCACTTCTTGAAGTTTCCTGAAGTAGTAAGAACTTTTATGGAGACACCTTTGTGCAGGATTCTGTCTTCCACCAAATATCACTTTTCCTCCCTTAATTTTGCAAATTCATATTCATCCCTCAGACCTGGTTCACAGGTCACCTTGTCAAGTCCTTGAAGTGCCTAAGTATTTTGTTTTGTCAGAGAGATTTTTTCTACATTTTCAAAGAACAACCACTAATTATTTCTTATATTTGTTGCAAGATAATTTATTTAAAAATGCCTTAGCCTTCCACATGTGTAAATTAAGTTTAATTCATATTCCAGAAATTACTTGTTTGCAATTGAAGTATGTTAACAAAGACTTCACACTCTAGATCTATCTATGGCAAGTAGGTCGGTTCTCATCTAAATACACAGCAGCTGGTTTGTTAATCAGCATAAAGAATGCTAGAAATAGTTCTCCTTTTTTCTTGATAAAATAAATAATGCTCTCTATATATAATTGTCTGGAAAAATTCCATGGACTCTGGCATTCCTGTGTGAGTGGAATCTGGAAACCTAGCAGGATCACACCTGTAATGTTGCATCCAAGTTCTTTGTAGCCATTGGGTCTCTTTGCCCTACTCTTAGGCAGGATTGCTCTGTCTAATCTAACTCAGAGGTTAGTGGATCCCACCATTAGAATGTAATTGTGCTTTTCCTACAATAATCTTTGGTGTGAAATGCTTGTCAGGGTGTTTATAGTAGAGCACAGGACATCAAGTTAAAAAATACACAGGTTGTGTGACTGTGTTGAGGCATTTATGCTTCTAAGTGTTTGAGTTTGTGGTAGACTTAGTCTGCAACTTGCCTTAGTCCGCAACTTGCCTTTATTATAACTTTTTACCTAATTTTAAAAGTTCCAACCAGCTTCTAGTTGCTGAAAACAGCAGATGTTTATAAAGGACCCCACAGATGCTGACCACATTGGCTTCCGTCAGTCTGACATGGTGTGATAATGATGTAATTATGTGCCAAGGTCAGCTCTGCCCATGAGGACTGTGAGCTCTCGGATGAGCCTTCTTCTTATCTGTACTCATGGAGCTGGACACATTGGTGGGTTGACTCAGCTGATGTTTGTTATGTGGATGAGCAGATGAAATACTAGACCTTTAACATTAGAGACAGCTAAAGGCAATGTAACCTAAAAGATGTAAGGACAATACAATTGGTGGAGTGATGGTTTAGCCACTCGTGTTGCCTGGGATTTAGGAATTTCCCCAGGATACAAGAAATTCAGTGAAAACACCAGGACAGGACCAGGCAAACATGGACCGCTGGTCACCCTGACAGGCCTTCTTTCCCTTACTTAAATAATTACTCATGTTGAAAAATTTTAAAGTATAAACAAGGTTGATAACATTTTGCACTCTTTCTCAATAAAAACCCCTAATTGTTTACATACAGAAGGAAAGTTTCTCAACATAATAAAGGCCATTTATGGGAAACCTACAGCTAGTATCATAATCAACAGGGAAGAACTGAACTCTTTTGCACGAAGATCTGGTATAAGAGAGGGCTGCCCACTCTCACCACATGCCTTCTACATAGTACTGGAAGCACTAGCAAAGGCAATTTAAAAGGGAAAAAGAAATAAAAGACATCTAAACTAAAAAGGAAGATGTTAATTCATCTCTGACTGCAGATGGCATGATTCTATGAGTAGAAAACCCCAAAGATTCCAGAAAAAACTATTAGAAGAAATACATGAATTCAGTAAAGTTGTAGAATACAAAATTAACACATAAATATCAGTAGTATTTCTTTTTTTTTTTTCTTCTAATTCATCTGTATTTGAAACAACTTTAAGCAGAATGTGACTCGGGCACTACATTTCCATCCACAAGACTGGCTCTGAGTTATTTTTGAACAGCTTTATGTTATGCTTAGGTAGACTTATAACTTTGCGCCTCCAAACAATACTTTTCTTTGGAAAACAAGCCCTATGGAGATTTCCTTCCATCCAGTTGCTTCAGTTTAACCTGTTTCTAGGGGACTAGTACATGTGGAATTGGCAACTACAGGGGATGAAAAGTTCAAAAAGTAGATCCTACAAGATGTAACAAATACTTTTCTTCTAAACATCAAGGTATAGCTCAGGAACACTTTGATAACAAGACTTGGTCTACTAAGGAATCGGGCTTGATAGCTAAACACTTTAGACCACAAAGTTAGCATCATGTTACATACATCTTACATCTGTCAAAATAAGCCAATGTGAAACTAAGAAAGCATTGCTAACTCTGCTTTAGTGCCTAAGGTATCATAGCATCACTTAGAAATAGACAGAAATCTTAACTTCCCCTTAAAGTAGTTGTTGTCATGCCATACAGACTATTTAATGTTACCGAAAATGAAGAAAAACATCCTTGAAAATATATTCTCAGAGGAACTGTAGAGTACCGAACAGGTAAGACATCCCTCAGCTGGAGGTTGGTCTACTTTTCCATGCGTGATGTGTCGTCATCTCCTTCGAGGGGTGGCATTTCTTCAGTTACAGCTGCACTGGTATCATCAGCAGTAGGGTCATCTTCATCAGTACCCAGACCAAGTTTGTTCATCCTGTAGATCCTGTTAGCATGTGTCTGGGGACCTTCCAGCCCGAAGTCAGAAGACAGGAGCGCAGTTTCATAAAGCAAGATGACCAGATCCTTCACAGACTTGTCATTCTTATCAGTCTCTGCCTTTTGCCTTAAGGTGTCAATAAAGGAATGGTCGGGGTTTATCTCCAGGTGTTTCTTTGCTGCCATGTAACCTGTTGTTGAGTTGTCTCTTAGGGCTTGAGCTTTCATGATTCTCTCCATGTTTGCTGTCCAGCCATATGTGCTTGAGACAATACAACATGGAGACGTCACCAATTGGTTTGACACAACCACCTTTTCAACTCTTCTCCAAAATGTCTTTCACGATTTTGCAGAGGTTCTCAAACTTTGGTTTTTTTTTTGTTTCGTTTTTTGTTTTCCCTCTTCCTGTTTCTTTTTCTCTTCTTCATCCTCTGGAAGTTCCAAGTCCTCTTTGGTGACTGACACTAAAGTCTTCCCCTCAAATTCCTTCAGCTGCTGGACACAGTACTCATCAATGGGCTCGATCGTATAGATCACTTCCAAGCCATGTTTCCAAAGACGTTGCACAATGGTTGAGTTAGCTACCTGGTCCTTGGTCTCACCTGTGATATAATAGATATGTTTCTGGTTTTCCTTCATTCTGGTGCAGTAGTCCTGGAGATAAACCATCTCATCACCAGAGGCATATGTGTAGTATCTTAGCAGCTCTGAAAGTTTCTTCTGATTTTGAGAGTCTCCGTGTATTCCAAGCTTTATGTTTTTAGAGAACGGCTCATAGAACTTCTAGTACCTCTCTTTACCTTCTACCAGTTCAGTAAAGAGTTCTAAGCATTTTTTGACCAAATTATTCCTGATAACTTTCAAAATTTTGCTTCATTGCAACATCTCACGGAAAATATTTAGAGGGAGATCCTCCGAGTCTACCACCCCTCTGATGAAGTTCAGATATTCAGGGATTAGCTCCTCACAGTTATCCATGATGAGATCTCTGCGTGCAGACAATTTGATTTTGTTCTTTTTCTTTCTGGTTTCCAACAGCTCAAAAGGAGCAAGTCGTGGGACAAATAGAAAGGCTCTGAATTCCAACTGTCCTTCAACTGAAAAATGCTTCACTGCCAAGTAATCTTCCCAGTTAATGGTCAAGCTTTTGTAGAATTCTCTGTATTCCTAATTAGTAAAGTCATCAGGGTATCTGGTACAGATAGGCTTTGTTTGTTGAGTTCTCCTTGATCGATGTACTTTTCCTTAATCTTCTTCTTCTTCTTCTTCTTCTTCTTCTTGTCACCATCCTTCTTTTATTCTTCTTCTTCGTCAGAACCAACATCTTCAATTTCAGGTTTGTCTTCGGACTCTTTCTCTTCTTTTTCCTTTTCTTCTTCTTTATCTTCCTTTTCTTCGGCCTCATCATTGCTGACTTCTTTATCATGTTTCTTCTCCACAAAAAGAGTGACGGGATATCCAATAAACAGAATGTTTCTTCACAATCTCATTTATTTTTCGTTCCTCCAAGTACTCAGTTTGGTCTTCTTTTAGCGGTAGGATAACCTTTGTTCCATGACCTATAGGTTCACCTGTGTCTGTCCTCACTGTGAATGATCCCCTTAATGAGGACTCCCAGGCATACTGTTCATCATTGTTATGTTTGGTGATCACTGTTACTTTCTCAGCAACTGAATAAGCAGAATAAAAACCAACACTGAACTGGCCAATCATAGAGATATCTGCACCAGCCTGCAAAACTTCCATGAACACTTTGGTCTCAGACTTGGTGATAGTTCCAAGGTTGTTGATCAAGTCAGCCTTGGTCATTCCAATTCCAGTATCCACAATAGTGAGTGTTCGATCTTGTTTGTTTGGTATAAGGCTAATATGCGGCTCTTTCCCAGAGTCTAATTTACTGGGATCCGTCAAGCTTTCCTACAGGATTTTGTCCAATGCATCTGATAAATTTGAAATGAGCTCTCTCAGAAAGATCTCTTTGTTCAAGTAGAAAGTATTGATGAACAATGACATCAACTGGGCAATTTCTGCCTGAAAGGTGAACGTCTCAACCTCCTACTCCTCCGTTGGTTGGTCTTGGGTCTGAGTCTCCTCGGGCATCTTGGCTAAGGGACCACACGGTCTCCGCAGTGCAGCGGCACCAGGACGCTGAAGCAACTCTAAATATCCACAGCACTTCTATACACAAATAACAACTTAGCTGAAAAAGAAATCAAGAAAACAATCCCATTTACGATAACATTAAAAACAAAATAGTTGGAATAAATTTAACCAAGGAGGTAAAGATCTGTAGGCTAAAAAATACAAAATATTAATAACATAGATTGAGGAAGACACAAATAAATGGAAAGCTATCTAATGTTTGTTTCTCAGAATAATTGATATTGTTAAAATGTTTATACTGCCCAAAGCAATGTGGATTAATGCAATCCTTATCAAAATCTCAATGGTATTCTTCACAGAAATAGCAAAAAAACCCTTAAAATTTGTACAGAACCACAAAAATCCCTGAACAGCCAAAGCAATACCGAGAAAGAAAGGCAGTTATCACACAACCCTATTTAAAATCATATTACAAAGTAATATTAACCAAAGCAATATGCTATTAGCATAAACACAGACACATAGGCCAATGAGACAGAATACAGAGCCCAGAAATAAATCCAAACATACATATTCAACTAATTTTTGACAAGAGCGCCAAGAGGACACAATTAGAGAAGAAGAGTCATTTCAAAATATGGTGCTGGAAGGCCGGGCACGGTGGGTGGCTGAAGCCTGTAATCCCAGCACTTTGGGAGGCCAAGGTGGGCGGATCACGAGGTCAGGAGTTCCAGACCAGCCTGGCCAACATAATGAAACCCCGTCTCTACTAAAAAAACACAAAAATTAGCCGGGCATGGTGGTGGGCACCGGTAGTCCCAGCTACTTGGGGGGCTGAGGCAGGAGAACTGCTTGAACCCAGGAGTCAGAAGTTATGGTGAGCTAAGATTGTGCCACCGCAAGCCAGCCTGGGTAACACAGCGAAACTCTGTCTCAAAAAAAAAATATGGTGTTGGAAAAACTGTATTTCCACATGCAAATGAATAAAACTGGATGCTTATCTTACTCCATTCACAAAAATCAACTCAAAATGAAAAAAAGACCTAAATGGAAGACCAGAAATTATAAAACTCCTAGAAGAAAACATAGGGGAAAGTGGCAATAATTTTTTGGACATCACACTTAAAGCCCAGGCTGCAAATCAAAAATAAGCAAATGGGGTTACATCAAACTAAAAATTTTCTGCACAGCAAAGGAAGCAATCAACAAACCAAGAGGCAAATGACAGAAGTGTAGAAGATATTTGCAAACTGCATATTTGATAATGTGTTAATATCCTAAATTTAAAAAATAACTCTTACAACCCAATAGCAGAAAAACAAATAACATTATAAGAAAACCTAGGCATTACCATTCAGGACATAGGCATGGGCAAGGACTTCATCTCTAAAACACGAAAAGCAATGCCAACAAAAGCCAAAATTGACAAATGGGATCTAATTAAACTAAAGAGCTTCTGCACAGCAAAAGAAACTACCATCAGAGTGAACAGGCAACCTACAAAATGGGAGAAAATTTTTGCAACCTATTCATCTGACAAAGGGCTAATATCCATAATCTACAATGAACTCAAACAAATTTACAAGAAAAAAACAACCCCATCAAAAAGTGGGTGAAGGACATGAACAGACACTTCTCAAAAGAAGACATTTATGCAGCCAAAAAACACATGAAAAAATGCTCACCATCACTGGCCATCAGAGAAATGCAAATCAAAACCACCATGAGATATCATCTCACACCAGTTAGAATGGCAATCATTAAAAAGTCAGGAAAAACAGGTGCTGGAGAGGATGTGGAGAAAGAGGAACACTTTTACACTGTTGGTGGGACTGTAAACTAGTTCAACCATTGTGGAAGTCAGTGTGGCAATTCCTCAGGGATCCAGAACTAGAAATACCATTTGACCCAGCCATCCCATTACTGGGTATATACCCAAAGGACTATAAATCATGCTGCTATAAAGACACATGCACATGTATGTTTATTGCGGCACTATTCACAATAGCAAAGACTTGGAACCAACCCAAATGTCCAACAATGATAGACTGGATTAAGAAAATGTGGCACATATACACCATGGAATACTATGCAGCCATAAAAAATGATGAGTTCATGTCCTTTGTAGGGACATGGATGAAATTGGAAATCATCATTCTTGGTAAACTATCGCAAGAACAAAAAACCAAACACCACATATTCTCACTCATAGATGGGAATTGAACAATGGGAATACATAGACACAGGAGGGGGAACATCACACTCTGGGGACTGTTGTGGGGTGGGGGGAGGGGGGAGGGATAGCATTGGGAGATATACCTAATGCTAGATGATGAGTTAGTGGGTGCAGCACACCAGCATGTCACATGTATACATATGTAACTAACCTGCACATTGTGCACATGTACCCTAAAACTTAAAGTATAATAATAAAAAAAAAGAAAATTAAAAATAAATAAATTAATAAATAAAAATTGGGCAAAAAATGAGACAGTTCTCCAAAGACATAAAATTAGTCAACAGGCATATGTAAACATGCTCAATATCATTAATTATCAGTAAAATGCATATTAAAACCACAATGAGATACTACCTCATACCCGTAAGCATGGTTGTTATCAAAAAGCAAGAGCTAACGTGTGCTGGCAAGAGTGCAGAGAAAAGGGAAGCCTGGCACACTTTTGGCGGGAAAGTAGATTGGTGCAGCTGTTATGGAAAACAGTATGGAGGTTACCATATGACCCAGCAATCCCTCTTCTGAGTCTCTAGGCAAAGGAGATGAACTCACCCTCCTGTAAAGACACCTGCACTTCCATCTTCATTGCAGCATCATTTGCAACTGTCAAGATACGGAAACAACCTAAGTGTGTGTTAATGGACCAATGGGTAAAGAAAATGTGGCACGTATGTAAAATGGAATAACATTTGGCCTGAAAAAAAGGAGATCGTGCCATTTCCCACAACATGGATGGAACTGGAGGACATCCTGCTAAGTGAAATAAGCCAGACACAGAAGGAAAATACTGTGTGGTCTCAGTTATATGTGGAATCTATGAAACGATAAATCGGAAAGCTCAAATATGCAGGGAGAGAGAATAAAACCGTGGTTACCAGCGTGAGAAGTTGAAGAGAAAGGAAATGGGGAGATGTAGGTCTAAGGACAGAAAGTGGAAACACAGAGGATGAACAGATGTGTCGGATGAATGAGGGTAGAGTTTTAGTGGACAACGTAAGGATTACAGTTAATACAATTGCATGATATTTGTAGATTTTAGCTGCTTTTGTTACACACAAAAAAGTAACTGTGAGATGGTAGATACGTTCATTTGCTTCACCATAGTAACCATTTTACTATCTATATGTATCATATAATATCATGTCTCAAACCTCAAATATATACAATACAATTTGTTAAAAACAAGACAAAATATAAACAAGGTAAAAGAAACGTGGCTATTGATTGGTATATGCAACTTCTTTCAAAAAATATTGGAAGATAAATAGCAACAAATGTTCTGAATGCTACAAAACATTGCTTTAATTTACAGCACCACAAATGCCCTAAATTAAGAAGATGCCTTTATCTTTTATTCCTCTTGCATTAGAAGATGTTACAGATGGTAGTAATAATAAGACTGTCTTGCTCTTCTAAAGCTCTTTATAGTTTTTAAGGCACTTTCAGAAATTGTGATTTCTTCTTCACAATAAGCCTTTAAGGTAGGTGTTGCAGACAGTACATGGTAATTACGGTGCAGACTTATCTACGAACTCGGACATAACAGGAAGTGCAATTGCTGTGAGAGAGTAAAACCAAATCGCTGAGTTATAAAAAGACACAATGTCTCCTAGGCCCAAAGTATCAGCTTCCTAACTACAGATTAACCATTGATAATGATATATGTGTTAGGAAACAAAGAAACAAAACCCAGAATTTCAACTGACAGTGGCCTAAACGATAAAGCCATTTTTTTTTTTTTTTTTTTTGAGACGGAGTTTCGCTCCGTCGCCCAGGCTGGAGTGCAGTGGTGTGATCTCGACTCACTGCAAGCTCCGCCTCCCGGGTTCACGCCATTCTCCTGCCTCAGCCTCCCGAGTAGCTGGGACTACAGGCGCGCGCCACCACGCCCGGCTAATTTTTGCATTTTTAGTAGAGACGGGGTTTCACCGTGTTAGCCAGGATGGTCTCGATCTCCTGACCTCGTGATCCGCCCGTCTCGGCCTCCCAAAGTGCTGGGATTACAGGCGTGAGCCCCCGCGCCCGGCCGCGATAAAGCCATTTAATGGTCTCTCAGGGCAAGCTGTTCAGACCGTCCAGGGCTAAGGCTCAGCAATGCCACCAAAACCCAGGCTCCTTCTCGATTTCTACTGCGTCATCTTAAGTGTGTTGGCTTGATTTTTTGCACCCTAAAATGATGGCACTGCTCCAAGCCCAGTCTCATGTCTCCAGTAAAGGCACGAAGAAGGGAGAAGGAGTGGCCCCAGCTGTCCCTTCTGTCAGGAATGCAGAAGTTTCCCTTTAACGGCCCAGCAGTCTTCAGTTGGTCTACTATTGACCAGAACTACCAAAAAGCCATCCCAGCTTCAAGAGGCACTAGAGAAGAGGCACTAGAAAGCAGGCATTAGCTTTCTACTGGGAGGAGACAAGGAAGAATGAGATTGGCATTGGGCATTGTCTCAGCCAGCCGAGAGTGTCTGTGGCAGCTTGTAAGGAGAATGCCGACAACCAGAGCACACAGCTCTGAGAAGGCCACACCCCATGATGTGTGCTCCGCTGTGGGCAGTGAGGGGCTGGAGGATGGGGCATTCTGCTCAGAGTGAGAATCTGGCTGGGGGATCTGGTAAACCGTCACCCAGGAATACCCACTTCTCTTCGCTCTCATTCCACACACACCAAAAAGCCTTTTTGGTTGAAGTTCAAGCTTCTCAGGAAACATGAGACAGTGAAGTAGATGTCTATGTGAGAACAAGCTAAAATTTTGAAAATAAATCAATCATCAGCTTAGCTTATCTATCCTGTGAATTTAGTTTTGAGAAGTCCAATTTTTTTACTCTGATTTTTAAAAATCATATTTGTCTGCTGCCATTGTCTGATTTCTGGACTTGCAAAACTGAGGACCAAATCATGAACCATGTTATATTTGCCAAGAAAATGAGCTTCCTCAAATTACATGGGTTAGGGTATACATGAATCCATTCCACATTTGAGTTATATCAAGCATGTCTTTTACTAGCTGGCCTGTCTCTTCCAAATTTTAACAGAAATAATTGTTCCATTTTGCCAATGAGAAAATGGGTTCAAAAAAGCTTAAATCTTGTTTCATACATTCAGTGAGGTACACAGGGCATAAACACAGGTCCTCATGTCTCCAGGAAAATACCCACCTTAAAATTCCAAGAGAACTCTTTGGGGTATCCATTTTCCCTCTGCACCTGCTTTCTCTTTAGCTCTGACAGGAGCTGAAGTATCCTTTAGCCTCCAAGTATAATGAGTGTGGAAGGACTAGAGTGTACAGCAATGGGAGGGGATCCGTGCAAACAGCGACATTGCAATATGGAGTAAGATGACCTGTGCAACTTAAAAACCATCCCAGGGAGGCGATGGCAACCCCACAGCATGGAGGGAACAAGCAGAGAACCCACAGTCATCGTATTTGAACCAAAGATGGGACCTCCCGGCTGCTTAGCTCCAACCCCAGGCTGCATAGCTCCACCCCCAGGCTGCTAAGCTCCACCCCCAGGCTGCTTAGCTTCACCTCCAGGATGCTTAGCTCCACCCCCAGGATGCTTAGCTCCACCTCCAGGATGCTTAGCTCCACCCCCAGGCTGCTTAGCTCCACCTCCAGGATGCTTAGCTTCACCCCCAGGATGCTTAGCTCCACCTCCAGGATGCTTAGCTCCACCCCCAGGATGCTTAGCTCCACCTCCAGGATGCTTAGCTTCACCCCCAGGATGCTTAGCTCCACCTCCAGGATGCTTAGCTCCACCTCCAGGCTGCTTAGCTCCACCCCCAGGATGCTTAGCTCCACCTCCAGGATGCTTAGCTCCACCCCCAGGATGCTTAGCTCCACCTCCAGGATGCTTAGCTCCACCCCCAGGCTGCTTACCTCCACCCCCAGGCTGCTTACCTCCACCCCCAGGCTGCTTACCTCCACCTCCAGGCTGCTTAGCTCCACCCCCAGGATGCTTAGCTCCACCCCCAGGATGCTTAGCTCCACCTCCAGGATGCTTAGCTCCACCCCCAGGCTGCTTAGCTCCACCTCCAGGATGCTTACCTTCACCCCCAGGATGCTTAGCTCCACCCCCAGGATGCTTAGCTCCACCCCCAGGATGCTTAGCTTCACCCCCAGGATGCTTAGCTCCACCTCCAGGCTGCTTAGCTCCACCTCCAGGCTGCTTAGCTCCACCCCCAGGCTGCTTAGCTCCACCCCCAGGCTGCTTACCTCCACCTCCAGGCTGCTTAGCTCCACCCCCAGGCTGCTTAGCTTCACCCCCAGGATGCTTAGCTCCACCTCAAGGATGCTTAGCTCCACCTCCAGGCTGCTTAGCTCCACCTCCAGGATGCTTAGCTTCACCCCCAGGATGCTTAGCTCCACCCCCAGGATGCTTAGCTCCACCTCCAGGCTGCTTAGCTCCACCCCCAGGATACTTAGCTCCATCTCCAGGTTGCTTAGCTTCACCCCCAGGATGCTTAGCTCCACCTCCAGGATGCTTAGCTCCACCCCCAGGCTGCTTAGCTTCACCTCCAGGATGCTTAGCTCCACCCCCAGGATGCTTAGCTCCACCTCCAGGCTGCTTAGGTCCACCCCCAGGCTGCTTAGCTCCACCCCCAGGCTGCTTAGCTCCACGTCCAGGATGCTTAGCTCCACCCCCAGGCTGCTTAGCTCCACCTCCAGGCTGCTTAGCTCCACCTCCAGGATGCTTAGCTTCACCTCCAGGATGCTCAGCTTCACCCCCAGGCTGCTTAGCTCCACCTCCAGGCTGCTTAGCTCCACCTCCAGGATGCTTAGCTCCACCCCCAGGATGCTTAGCTCCACCTCCAGGCTGCTTAGCTCCACCTCCAGGATGCTTAGCTTCACCCCCAGGATGCTTAGCTTCACCCCCAGGATGCTTAGCTCCACCTCCAGGCTGCTTAGCTCCACCCCCAGGCTGCTTAGCTCCACCCCCAGGCTGCTTAGCTCCACCTCCAGGCTGCTTAGCTCCACCCCCAGGATGCTTAGCTTCACCCCCAGGATGCTTAGCTTCACCCCCAGGCTGCTTAGCTCCACCTCCAGGCTGCTTAGCTCCACCTCCAGGCTGCTTAGCTCCACCTCCAGGATGCTTAGCTTCACCCCCAGGATGCTTAGCTCCACCCCCAGGATGCTTAGCTCCACCCCCAGGATGCCTAGCTTCACCCCCAGGCTGCTTAGCTCCACCTCCAGGATGCTTAGCTCCACCCCCAGGATGCTTAGCTCCACCTCCAGGCTGCTTAGCTCCACCTCCAGGCTGCTTAGCTCCACCCCCAGGATGCTTAGCTTCACCCCCAGGATGCTTAGCTCCACCTCCAGGATGCTTAGCTCCACCTCCAGGATGCTTAGCTCCACCTCCAGGCTGCTTAGCTCCACCCCCAGGCTGCTTAGCTCCACCCCCAGGATGCTTAGCTCCACCCCAGGGATGCTTAGATTCTTGGTCCCTTAGGGTTTTATGTATGGAGGTGTCTGTGTCATCAACATAATAGTATTCTAAAATGACCAGTAATACACATAAATATATGCAGTGTTGCATTTCATATTTTGTTATATTGTATTATAGAATTAAAATTCTATACTGTCAGTTTACTACCTCAAGTGTTATCATGGAGGCTATTTAGGTGTCGATACACATTTCAGGATACTGAATTTCTAAGGCTGTTACTAGAGCCCAAAGAGGAGTATTTTCACAAATCAGAAAGGTGCTAAAGTTTTAGTTCTGAATATTTGTCTCAGCAATAATAATGCAATTTTTCATATCCAAAGGCATCTGTTGGAGCAAGTCTTGATCATTAGAGTCAGATTCAGCCCTGCAATACCTGTGCACAGAGAAAATCACATTTCTACAAGTCAGTCATTTAGTTCACAAATAGTTATTAAGCATCTACTATGTGCCAGGCATGATTCTGGTCACTACGGACCCCAGGGTGAAGATGGGAGACCAGACTACTCCTTTTGTGGAGCTTTTGTATGGTGGAGATGATAAACAAATCAGTAGATAAACAGAAATTCAGGCAGTAATACGTGCTAAGGAAGATGACAGCGCAGGCATGAGGGAGAGATTCTTCAGCAGTGGACCCTATGGAGAACTTTCAGAGGAAGCAACACGAAAGCTGAGACTGGCAAGAGTCAGTCACGCAAAAAACCTGTGGGAAGACACTCCTGGAAGCTGTAGTTACAACCTTGCAGCTATGGAAATCTGTCAGTCAGTGTTTGTAACACGGTTTGCATCACAATAATTTTTTTTAAAAAAAACAAGGAAACAAAATACTTGTTTATGTGCTGGGCTCCACTGTGTCACTCTGTGGTACCAGCAGGGCACAGGCCTCTGGGGTAGGGCTTACGATTTTATGCAGGAGGAGTGTTGCCTCTCGGAGAAATAATCCCTCACTCACACATAGCACTGGAGAGTTTATAAAGACCTTTTACATTCATAATTATGTTGTTCGGTGGAGATCAATTTTAGCAATAGCCCTAAGATAATTAAATTACAAATGAAAGAAAGTCCAGCTCAAATAAATAGAAATTTATGTAATTACCCAAGAATCTGGGAGTTTCTAATTTCAGGCAGAAGTGAATTCAGAGGCTAAATAATAGCTACATAGTCTCTCTGTCTGTGTATTTCTTTCCTTGGTTTTCTCTTCACTGCTTTACTCTCGATTATGCTCTCCCTGTGTGGCAACAAGTGTGATCTCCAGTACTCCAGGCCGGCAACCCCCGCCTCTGCACACACCTCTGTTAGGGACAGTCAGAAGCACCATTTTCTGAGAGCTGCAGCGCACCTGCACGGTGAGGCCCTCATGGGTCGGGCCTGGGTCACGTGTCCGTCGCCACTCCTGTGGCCAGGGGACATGTGGAACTCCCGTTGGCCAGGACTGGAGCCCAGACCACAGGGACTAAAAGTGAGATGCTTGATCCTCAGAAGGAAAGGAAGGGATGCCGGGCAGGCAATGGAATGATATCCACCAGGAAACGACACTCACTTTCTCCACATGTGAGGTTGAAAGGCTGGCTCAACCTTACACAGAAAACCTGGATTTCAAATCTTAAAAAACAGAGTTCTTCCTACTCCCGTGGAATTACTGCTTCTATATAAAACCCAGTATGAAGCCCCAAGATAATTCAGTTAAAGAGAGTGGAGGAAGCACCTGATGAGTCGTGTTTTAAATGAGCACATGCTTCACCAAGCTGCGTGGCTTTGGTGGAGTCAGTAGCCCTGTCCTTTCCTACAGGCTTGTAAAGACACACCAGCCACTGGTTTCACACAGCCTTTGTTTTGTCTCATAAGCTTGGGTAGAGTTTTCCCTGACCTGTGGAGGGTGGCATTGTGTTTGTGAGCGTGGGTAAAGTCGAGTGAGGAGGTGAAGGTCAGGACACCCTATGCCGAGTGAAAGGCTGGGGTGTGATGGGGTGAAAAGAGCTGGGTTTTATTTCTCTTGATGAATGCACACATACTGGAGTCTTCAGCTTTCCTTACTTTTAAACAAGGACAAGTTCACCTGCCAGATCTTGATGGGAGTCTCGAGGTAACTTTAGGACAATGGGCAGGAGGAAGCAGCACCAAATGTTTCCTGAAAGTGGCCAGCAGAGCCAGGCGTGGTGGCTGACGCCTGTAATCCCAGCACTTTGGGAGGCTGAAGGGGGCAGATCACCTGAGGTAGAGAGTTCGAAACCAGCCAGACCAACAAGGAGAAACCCCATCTCTACTAAAAATACAAAATTAGCCGGGCGTGGTGGTGCATGCCTGTAATCCCAGCTACTCAGGAGGCTGAGGCAGGAGAATGGCAGGATCCCGAGAGGTGGAGGTTGTGGTGAGCTGAGATAGCACCACTGCACTTCAGCCTGGGTGACAGAGCGAGACTCCATCTCAAAAAAAAAAACAAAAGAAAAAAGACAGTGGCGGGCATGCACATTACCCCCTAGGAAATGATTCCATGTGGTACAGACACAGCCGTCTACAGGCTGAAAGATCAGCGTTGCCTACAGCAGTTAAATACAGTAATTCATGTGTGCAGGAGAATTGGAGCCAATGTATGATCATTTGATAACTTTAACTTTCTTTCTATTTATTAAATATGTTATATTTTTAGGACTATAGAAAACAAAAACAAAAAGTCAACTCCAAAGAATTTTGGAATTTGGAATTTGTTTCTACCATCCACAGGTTAGTGCAGCTATTTGCATCCCTCTTTGTTAAGAGTGTTAATCTTGAGTTGCAAGGGCTCGGCAGCCAACCCCAGAGTCCTCTCCACATTCCTCCGTGGAGGCTCCAAGGGCAGGTGGAATGGACACAAGCAGCCAGCCCTCCTAAACCACGGCTTCTGTGGAGGAGCTGCTTCTAGCGCCTCAGGCGTGCCCTCATTCAGGAGGAAGACTTTCATGGATTTGAGGGTACCTCTTCTAGACTCCGGGGCACTGTGCCACACAACTTGTTGTGCTTTGAGCAAGGTAGATGAAAACACATCTTTTCTCCAGAAAACAAGATTAAGAACATATTTAGGCTTGCACAAAATACAGCTCACTGCCCAAAGCCTTGCTGGATCCTGAAAAATATTTTACTAACTTGTACATCTATTCGAGGAGACTCCTCTGCACCTAAACTTTTTCTTCCTGTCTCACACTTTGTGTGGCAAATGCTCCTCTCTCGTTTGCTGACCTTCAGAATCATTCTAAGGCAGCACGTGTTGATGTGAAAACTGGCAGCGAACCCAGGCCTGTGCCCTGCCAGCCCTCTGGCCCCTGAACCGCTGGCTTCACTCCAAGGACCCGCATATTTCTTTTTGGCCTTGCAGGGTCACCAGGCAAAGACCTTGCATTCTGAATGGACAGAAATGCCCAGATCTAGCATTTTCCACCTCATCTACAGAATACTGTTCCTTGTCTGTTTGCTCATGGCTGCCTTCTATTTTTCTGATCACTTACTGGACTGTGCCCTTTCCGCTCCAGGTAGCTGGATTCCGACTCCAGCACTCAGCTATCCCCTTCCCTGAATTCATCTGTTAACCTAGATGCTGAACACAAGCGACTTTTCCAACTTCATTCAAAGAACTTCTTGTGAGAAAACCGGGCTGTCAAGAGAGTCTCCCTTCACCCTTACCACTCATTGTTCCCCACAATCACCACAGAGAAGTATAAATTAACAGGAATCTGGAGAATCCAGGGCCCATTTTTACCATCTCAGTGTTTGTAATCCTCCTACAACCCAGGCACCCATGGGCAAGCCTTCTGTGTGTTCATCCATCTACGCACGTACACGGGTGAACTGGAAAGCTCCAATACCTTGGAGAAGGTTGTTCCTGCGGTCAGATCTTCAGAACCGAAGCTGCTGGAGATGCTCCCTGGTATTCAGCTTCTTGACAATAAATCTTATTATCTCTTTCTTCTTTCTTGCCTTGTTTCTTCCACCTTTCTATCCTTCCTTGCTTCCTTCCTGTCTTCCTTCCCTTCTTCTCCTTCCTTCCTCTCTTTCTTCCTTGCTTCCTTCCTGTCTTCCTTCCCTTCTTCTCCTTCCTTCCTCTCTTCCTTCCTTGCTTCCTTCCTGTCTTCCTTCCCTTCTTCTCCTTCCTTCCTCTCTTCCTTCCTTGCTTCCTTCCTGTCTTCCTTCCCTTCTTCTCCTTCCTTCCTCTCTTCCTTCCTTGCTTCCTTCCTGTCTTCCTTCCCTTCTTCTCCTTCCTTCCTCTCTTCCTTCCTTGCTTCCTTCCTGTCTTCCTTCCCTTCTTCTCCTTCCTTCCTCTCTTTCTTCCTTGCTTCCTTCCTGTCTTCCTTCCCTTCTTCTCCTTCCTTCCTCTCTTCCTTCCTTGCTTCCTTCCTGTCTTCCTTCCCTTCTTCTCCTTCCTTCCTCTCTTTCTTCCTTGCTTCCTTCCTGTCTTCCTTCCCTTCTTCTCCTTCCTTCCTCTCTTCCTTCCTTGCTTCCTTCCTGTCTTCCTTCCCTTCTTCTCCTTCCTTCCTCTCTTCCTTCCTTGCTTCCTTCCTGTCTTCCTTCCCTTCTTCTCCTTCCTTCCTCTCTTCCTTCCTTGCTTCCTTCCTGTCTTCCTTCCCTTCTTCCCATTCCTTCCTTCCTTTTTTTCTTCTTTCCTTCCTTCCTTCCTTTTTTCTTCTTTCCCTCCTTCTTTCCTTCTATTTTCTTCTTTCCTTCTCCTTCCTCCCTACTTCTTTCATTCATTTCTTTTTCCTTTATTTTTCCTCCTTTACTTCTTTCTTTCTTCTATGTATCTATCTCTATTTCATCTATCTTATCTATCTATCTATGTATCCATCTATGCCTCATCTATCTATCTATCAATATCTAAACTATCTATCACTAGTGTCATATCTGAATTTGGGGGAGTTATGCTTTTAATATCTAATTGATAGTTCAGAGTTCCTGCTGGTGATGTGAGACAAAATAATGACATTTGGCCTTCTTTTTAGGGCAGCCTATAGGACATCATTATGGTTTCTTAGCTTCTTAGGCTGAAATCTTTTTTTATTATGGATTTTTCATCATTGGTCATGGTTTTCTTTAAATTGTTACAGAATTCTACATAAAAATCAAAGCCCCCAAATGCCTACTTAGTTTAATATGCTTGAAGAGAGCTTTTCAGATCATAATAGGTTCATGAGATTTATCAAGTGATAAAAAATCAGGCTGGTCAATTAGATTTGAAAGGAATAAAATGCATTGAGATGTGTAGTCATTGAAATGTGTTCTTGTCAATGATGATTACATGTTAGATCGGCTTTAATATTTATGTCATTATAATAATTTATATTGTCAAGGTGAAACATAAAAAGGCTCAATAGGCATGGGCATTAAATATTACGTATTTTACAGTTGCTCAAGTAAAGAAATTACATGATTGGCCCTGACTCACTTGCATCGATAAGAATGTACATTTTAAAATGGGCACAGGTATAATTTCCACTCCAGGTAGTAACGATGCTCCAGGTTGCTGGGTGGCTCTATTCTTAGATTCTCATTACCAGACATTCTGAAACTGCTGAGATTTCCCAAAATCACAGTTCAGACAAGAAGTTAACACGCCAAACAAGGAAAAGCTCATGGACATTTGATTCACAGAGAGCAGGTGGAGAACCTGTCCGTGCTTACATGTGAATGTTTAAAATCCTCGGGTTGAATTCAAGCCGGCGTCTGGGCTCAGCGGTGGCCTCCAGCATCCTGACTCGCTGGAAGGAGCATGCACCTGACTTCTTGGTGTTCGATTTTCACCTCCTTATTCTCCACTCTCTAGCCTTGCTGCCAGAGCTATGTCTTACACACTGGAGCCGGGTTTCCACTGACATTAGGAAAGGTCCTCTGGATTCTCACAGGACTGATGAAATCTGACCAGCATTTCTCATGCTGATGGCTCTTTCCTTTAGGTGTGTGGCATTTCTCACCCCCAGGGAAGAAGTCTTTGAGGAAAAGGGTTTGTGGTGAGCCTGGGCTATCAGGTAATCCGGCTTTCTAATCCCCACACTGAGCTGGATTCCACACAACCTGCAGAGGTGGGTTAAGCTGACAGCACTCCAATCATTTGAAACTTAACTTGGGTTATGCCTACAGAAATCCTTTGTCCTGTGCGCCTAATTGATACCTGTCAAGAGGCTGAGGCAAGATTTGCCCCTCAACATAAGGAATTATTTAGACATAAATCTGTATTTTAACTTCTAGTACAATGTCCCATTGAGGAAAATATGGAAGCTGAGCCCTGCCCCAAGCAAATTATCTGCTTTATCGTTATAATTATCATGAATAAAGCATTTTTTTCTTTTAATTTGTGGGAGGGGTTTAATTTATATATATAGCAATTTTAATCATATTTATATTAATACAATTTTTGTTTCTTTATATTTCCATAAAAATAGCTAGCATTTATTGAATACTTTCTATTTCTAGGATTTGTCTTAGGATACCTATATCTTTATCTATATCTATTTCTCTTCACACACATGTACATACAAGTATATGTAGATACACATATCTTAACAGCATAGATGGAGCATATATGTATATACACATATATAAAAATATAATCCCAAATCCCCTGGTAGTTTATTATGTTCATTTTACACATCAGGAAACTGAGCCACAGAGATGGTAGAAAATATTCCCCAATCATAATAGGTTGATTCCCCAGATCATAACAGGTTCATGAGATTTATCAAGTAATTAAAAAAGGTCACTCAGTAAGTGAAGGAGCTGGGACTTAAGCCCAGCTCGCCTATTGACAATCTGCAGGATCATAAAGAAAGTAGCCATAGCTACTGAATAATAACAGAAAACATTTATATGGAAATCGGCCTGTAATTGACACTACCTAAAGCACGTGCCTTATATAAATTCATTTAATTCTCAAAGCAAACTTAGAAGATAGGTATTATTATTATTGTTATTCTCATTTTACTGATGAGGGAACAGAAAGGGTGAGTAGGTTTCCCAAGGTCACACAGTGGGTGAGGAGAGGATCCTGGGTTTGAACACTGCAGTCCAGCTTCAGAATCTGACACTGTACTGTCTTATTATAAATACTAAAACTGAGGTAGTATTAATATCTCATTTATTCAAATGATAACAGTTAAGTGTATTGATCAACTACAATGGTCCAGGCTCTGAGTTAGGTTTTTAGCAAACTTTATCTGCCTTAATTATTTTAAAAACTCCCCAAAGTAGATATCTGGAGTCTTTTTTTTTTTTTTAATATACGAGAAGGAAGAGATTAGGGACAGTAAATAACATTCCCAATGTCACAAAGCTAATAGATGAAGAAATGGAATTCAATTCTGTGCTATCTGTTTCTAAGACTTACACTATTTTCTCCACATAACATTGCCTTTTGAGCTTCTCCTCACAGTCTTTTTCAGTAATAGTGATCATGGATTTTTTTACAAAGAATAATGCATTGGGAATATTAAAAACTCACAAAATATTGATAGTTTGTTAATCTAAAAACCAGCAAAACTAAACTAACATTTCCTCAAGAAGGAAATGTATAAAGCAGTAAAATTTAACTCCAGTGAAAGATATCAGTGAAAATAAAGTCAACTGAAAAACTAATTTATCAATGAATCAACAAGAAACTAAATAATTAAAAATTATAATTGGCACCACCATGTTTATTTATTAAGCAATTTTGAAAATAAGCACATATATATTATTCTGTGTTTCATAAATATTATATAAGTATACATACATTATTTATACTCATTCAAAATTCATCTTTGATAAATGGCTTCTCTGATTTTCACTCTAAATGATATTAACCAAAATCACATTTTTCCAGTTTGAAAGCTTACTTATAAATAACGGAACTATTTTCTTCTTTGTGATGTAACGAACTTTTTTAACCTAATAACATCCCCAGGACACTCTTTTTACATCTGTTCTTGGTTGCTCACATGTGCACATACGTCTGTGAGTACACAGGAGAAAGTAGTAATGCCACTGATCTCGGGATAACACGTTATTTACCAGTGGCTTAAATGGACAAGGAGAAAGGTGGTAATGCCACTGATCTCAGGGGATAACATGATACTTACTAGTGGCTTCAATGGGCATGGAGAAAGGTGGTAATGCCACCAATCTCAGGGGATAACATGATATTTGCCAGTGGCTTAAATGAGCGTCACTGCTTCATCAGTCATCTTTTATTTTTCCAGCTGCCCCATTAAGAAAGCTGCTGAATGAAACATGCAGTCATTTAAAAACAACTGAGGACGGCTGTAACACATAATGAATAGAAGGCATGATTCTCGAGCACTTGAGGAAAATGAGATATGAATAGGACCCCATTTTGAAACATATGCATAATATCAAGATTAAACTAAAAACAATGGGACCATAGTAACTTTCACTATATTATTTATTAACTCCTGGAAAGTCTGTATCTAAAATGTTGCTTTCTTATCAGCACTTGCTGGTTATTGTACTCCTGTAGTCAGAAGTGGGTAAATTCTCAGCCTTGGAATAATGTTCTTAGGAATAAATGCAATTGACATATGTAAATTCGTAAGTCCAATCTCTCTCTCTCTCTCTCTCTCTCTCTCTCTCTCTCTCTCTCTGTCTCTTTTGAGATAGAATCTCGCTCTGTCTCCCATTCTGGAGTGCAGTGGCATGATCTCAGCTCGCTGCAACCTCCGCCTCCCGGGTTCAAATGATTCTCCTGCCTCAGCCTCCCAAGTAGCTGGGATTACAGGCATGTGACACCACGCCCAGCTAATTTTTGTATTTTTAGTAGAGACGGGGCTTTGCCATGTTAGCCAAGCTGGTCTCAACCTCCTGACCTCAGGTGATCCACCCACCTCGGCCTCCCAAAGTGTGGGATTACAGGCATGAGCCACTATGCCTGGCCCCAATCTCTTTCAATGGATAGCCTTAAATTATGTAATCATTCCCTTTATTTGAAGATAGTCAATATTTATTTGAATTATTTTAAGATCAATATGTTGACTTGTAAACTATTTCTTTTCATGTCTGTAAGACATTTTATTTTTATTTTACAACTTTTACTGCGGCCATTTCTCCTTCTTCCCTTTAAATGAAGTCCAGTGTCTTGAAGTACATAATGGATCACCTTGAGTATCATTTTTGCAATTGGAAAGTTTGTTAGGATGACACTTTCTAAAAGAAAGAAATCTCTCCTTTGAAGTTATTTAGTCATTTATAATAATTACTGTTTTTTAAATGGTGCTCAAATGTACCTAAATGGCAGAATGATTTCACGTAACGGTGAAAACAAAACTGTAATTAAAAATTGAAAAATACAGTGATCCTGTGTTGGAAAATATTTACACTATTCCCAGATTGTTCATTTTATGCAGAGAAGTTTCAAGGCAAGGAGGAGAGCATTTCTTCCTGAAAGAAAATATTGTGTGAATTGATACAATCTTCTAAGAAAATGACATGACAAAGATCATGTGAACACATGTGCTCCAATATCTGGCACTGATATTGATTTAGTATATTTCATATAAATCAAAACTTTAGATCTGAGACCTAGTAAAAGTTAAGATGTCAGCCCAATAGCTCGAGTTGCAATGCCCCATATTCACTATCCTGCTTCTAAGAAGTAGTTTCTCCCAGAAGATTTATGCTCTCCTGAGATATGGGCAATGCCGTAATGTCTCATTTTAATTCTTCACACATTGACTTTTAGGATAATTGTACTTTCTATCTCAATGACACAACATTGATTATCTAGTTTGTGGATTACTCAAGCATTGCATCAGCCTTGGTCTCCTTAAATTTTGGCCCTTTTGCTTTGTAGATCCTTTATTGGAAAGTATTGAGGAATAGAGAAACACCTGAAGCTAAAATAAGTTACTGCTGCCATAATTCACACTATTTCAAGATTATATATCAAAGTTTCAATTAGGTAGGATAAGACATTATAGTCTGTCTCCATTACTTACTGAAAACCACCCCAAAACTTAGTGGTCAAAAGCCACAGCAATCATATATATTACTCATGAATTTGCTAGATGGGCAGGGCTTGGTAGGGACAGTTTGTTTTTTGTTCCAAGTGGCATATGCTGAGACAGATTGACTGGGGACTGGAGGATCTACTTCCGAGATGGCTCACTCATGAGCCGGGAAGTGGCCGATGGCTGGTGTCTGGACACTCTTGAGTTGGGAAATGGGTGTTGGCTGGTGCCTGGACACTCATAAGTTGGGAAGCGGACGATGGCTGGCGCCTGGACAATCATAAGTTGGGAAGTGGGCGCTGGCTGGCGACTGGACAATCATAAGTTGGGAAATGGGTGATGGCTGGCGTCTGGACAATCATAAGTTGGGAAATGGGCAATGGCTGTTGCCTGGACACTCATAAGTTGGGAAGTGGGTGCTGGCTGGTGTCTGGAAACTCATAAGTTGGGAAGTGGGTGCTGGCTGGTGTCTGGACAATCATAAGTTGGGAAGTGGGTGCTGGTTGGTGTCTGGACCCTCATAAGTCAGGAAGTGGGCACTGGCTGGTGTCTGGCCAATCATAAGTCGGGAAGTGGGCGATGGCTGGTGCCTAGACACTCATGAGATGGGAAGTGGGCGCTGGCTGGTGTCTGGACACTCATAAGTCGGGAACTGGGCGATGGCTGGTGCCTGGACACTCATAAGTTGGGAAGTGGGTGCTGGATGTCACCTGGAGGCCCAGCTGGCCTAGGGACTAGGACTTCTATTCCTCTTCACATGGGCTTTTCCACAGGCCACCGGGGATTTCTCTGACTGCACAGTGGCTATGTTTAAAAAGTGAGATTTTTCAGAGGCGGAAACTGGACACTACCAATTTGTTAAGACCTAGGTCATCACCCATTCTACTGTATTCTATTAACCAAGCAACCAAATTGTTCAGATTTAAGAGAGGGGACCTAGATCCATTTCCTGATGGAAGGCAAGTCAGAGAATTTGGAATTGTGTTTTAATATCACTACAAAAGGTACACTAATTTTTTAATTATATTTTTCAGATATTCAGTTTATTGATACATTTGCTATCCCTAATTACTGTAAATAATTTCAGGCTAGCCATACCTAGTATTTCAGTGTAATAAATAATTAGAAACAAAACTAGAAACAACACAGATATTGCATTCTCCTGTTGAATACCTGGGATATAGTATATATTTTAGTTACCATATTTCAACAAAGGTCTATGGAAACTATGGTGGGCTAGGGAAGGCCAACAAAATGAGTAAAAGAGACAGAGTATACTGTATAAATACAAACTTTAAGAAGAAATCTTTGAAATTAGGTTTAGGTATGACATAATATTGATAATACTAGACATTCACTGGTTGGTTTAACATACTTCTAAGTTAACATGTGAAAAACTGTTTAATCCTCTTGGCCATCATGTGGAGCTGGCACTAGTATAATTCCCATTTTACAGAGGCAGACAGAAAGGCCCCGTGGTTAAATAACTGTCTAATCTGGTAAGCAACAGAGCTGGCATATGATCTTTTCACCCAGTTCCAGAGCCTAGCCTCTTAACCAGAGAGAACCTTATTCTCCTGTGGTGAGATCTCCAATTCCCTTCTCCTTCTTCAGTGTTCTATTGGCATGACAAGTGAGTTAGAGAAGAGGAAAAGCAATGAAAAACGTCCACATTACTGAATCCTAGAAAAGGCTGTCATACAAATGGTAGAAACTTAAGAATATCTGCTAAGTATTTGGCATGTTTATACAGAGAGCAAAAAGACTTTGGGGCAATTCAAAATATGAAAAATGAGTGGAGAAAACCTGGGCAAGATTCTGGAATACCTCTGTATTAATCTATTCTCCCACTGCTTTAAAGAAGTACTAAAGACTGGGTAATTCATAAGAAAAGAAGTTTTTTTGGCTCATGGTTCTCTAGGGTATACAGGAAACATAGCTGCTTCTGTTTCTGGGGACACCTCAGGAAACTTCCAATCACAGCAGAAGGCAAATGGGAGGTGAAGCACTTCACATGGCTGGAGGAGAAGGAAGGGAGAGAGCAGGGAGGTGCCATACACTTTTAAGCAAACAGATCTCACAAGAACTCACTCCCTATCATAAGAACAGAACCACCAGGGATGGTGTTAAACAATTCATAAGAAACCACCCCCATGATCTAATCACCTCCCACCAGGCTCCACCTTCAACATTGGAGATTACAATTTGACATGGGATTTGGTATGGGAACACAGATCCAAAGCACATCATTTCTCCCCTAGCCCTTCCCAAATCTTATATCCGTCTTCCATTGCAAAATATAATCATGCCTTCCCAGAAATCCCTGAAAATCTTAACCCATTTCAGCATTAACTCCAAAGTTCAAACTCTCATCTAAGATAAGGCTACTTCCTTCCACCTATGAGCCTGTAAAATCAAAATAAGTTAGTTACTTCCAAGATATAATGGGGATACAGGCATTGGGTAAATACTCCTGTTCCAAAATGGAGAAATCAGCCAAAAGAAAGGGTCTACAGGCCCCACGCAAGTCCAGAACCCAGCACAGCAGCCATTAAACCATAATGTTCCAAAATAATCTCCTTTGACTCCATGTCTTACAACCAGGGTTCACTAATGCAAGTGGAGGGCTCCCAAGGCCTTGGGCAGCTCTGCCTCTGTGACTTTGCAAGGTTCAGCCCCCATGGCTGCTCTCATGGGTTGGCATTGAGTGCCTATGGCTTTTCCAGGCACAGGGTGCAAGCTGACAGTGGATCTACCATTCTGGGGTCTGGAGAATGGTGGCCCTCTTCTCACAGCTCCACTAGGCAGTGCTCCAGGGGGGACTCTGTGAGGGGGAGCCAACTCTATATTTCCCCTCCACAGTCCTCTAGTAGAGGTTCTTCATGAGGGCTCTGCCCCTGCAGCAGGCTTCTGCCTGAAAATACAGGCTTTTCCAGACATTCTCTGAAATCTAGGTGGATGCTCCCAAGGGTCAACTCCTGCAGTCTGTGTGCCTGCATGCTTAACACCACATGGAAGCTGCCAAGACTTACAACTTGCACCCTGTAAAGTAGTGACCAAGCTGTACCTGTCTTTTTGAGCCACAGCTGCAGCTGGAGTGCCTGGTATTCAGCAAGTAGTGTCCTGAGGCTGCACAGGGCAGCAGGGGCCTGGGCCTTCCCCAGGAAACCATTTTTTCCTCCTAGGCCTCTAAGACTGTGATGAGAATGTCTGCCATGAAAGTCTGTGATATTTCTTAGAGGCCTTTTCTCCTTTGTCTTGACTATCAGCACTTGCTTTGCTTTTGGTTATGCAAATTTCTGCAGCGTGCTTGAATTTCTTTCCTAAAAATAGGCTTTCCTTTCCTACCACATGGCCAGACTGCAAATTTTCCAAACTTTCATGCTCTGCTTCCCTTTTAAATATAAATTCCTGTTTCAGATCATTTCTTTGCTCACACATATGAGCATAGGCTGTTACAAGCAGCCAGGTCAGATCTTGAACTCTTTGTTGCTTAGAAATTTCTTCTGCTGGATACCCTAAATTATCACTCTCAATTCAAAATTCCACAGATCTCTAAAGTAGGTGCACAGTGCAGCCAGGATCTTTGCTAAAGCTTAACAAAAGTGACCTTTGTTCCAGTTCCCAATAAGTTCCTACATCCATCAGAGTCCTCTTCATTGTTCAAATCACTCCATTCAACAAGTTTCTAGAAAATTCCAAATTCTCCCTCATCTTCCTGTCTTCTTTTGAGCCCTTCACACTTTTGCAAACTCTGTCCATCACCTGTTCTAAAGCCACTTCCACATTTTCAGGTATCTTTACAGCAATGCCTCATTCCTCGGTACCAATTTTCTGTATTAGTCCTTTCTCACACTGCTATAAAGAAATACTGGAGACTGGGTACTTTGCAAGAAAAGAGGTTTATTTGGCTTACAGTTCTAGAGGCTGTACAGGACGAATTGCAGCTTCTGCTTCTGCAGAGGTCTCGGGAATCTTCCAATCCTGGTGGAGGCAAAGGGGGCACAAGCTGTCTCACATGGCCAGAGTAGAAGGTAGTAGAGACTGGAGGGAGTTGCCACACACTTTTAAACAACTAGATCTCATGAGAAATTGCTCATTATCTCAAGAACAGCATCACCAGGAATGGTGCTAAACCATTCATGAGAAACTGTCTCCATAATCCAATCACTTCCCCCCAGGCCCTACTACCTTCAACACTGGGAATTACAATTCAACCTGAGATTTAGGTGGGGACACAGATCCAAACCCTATCAACCTCCTGCATCTGAGAGGTGAGGATCTTGATGAGAGTGGGTCAGAGGGAGGGGACATGTTCTTGCTCTCACCAACAGATCAGGTGCCACCACTGGGCAGGGCATAGCCTCAGTAGACACCAGGAATAACAGTACCAGAAAAATGGGGCCCTCATGGAACTTAACGTCTCACTGCTGCACCAAACCATGACGGGAGACACAGTATAAAAAACCAAAATTCTCACCATGATTTCTTCCTTTTCTGCTTTCTTCACCACCCTCTGCAGACTACCAGATACTCAAGCTATAGGGAAAATGTAGAGCAAATGTAAACTCCCCTTTGTTCATGGAAGCTGCATCTGAAAGAAATAAACAGGTATCCAGGCTGATCTCCACCTAATGAAATCTCAGCTTGTCTGACCTAAGCTAATCCTGGCAAGTCACGGAGCATCTTTTCTTATCCAATCACACACCTCAAGTGTCTCCCTGGAAGGCCACTCCATCCTCACCTCCAAGCACGAATTCTCCTTAGATTAAGCTAGCCACAGTGACCCCATGCCTCTAACAGCCGATTGGTTGGGGAAACTAGGCTTTGTCCATCCAGGCCAGCATTCCCTAGGTGACAGTTGTGGGTCCATAAGAAGGCACATGTCCTATTTGGTTCAACCAGACAGAAGTAAAAGGCTTTCATGCTGTGGAAGATGCTTTCTCTCTTCACCAAAGTTGAACAAGGAAGCATGTATTTCTACTTCGGGCAGGCAACCATAGTGTAACAAAACAAAACAGGAAAGAAACAAAAAATCAGTAAGCAAAACCAGACTATTTACAGAGTATCACAGATGATGTTGGAGCCCCAACTTCTGCAAAGGTCACATATACATCTATGAATCACAGCAGCTGATTGCAAGAGAATGCAAATAAAGAACCCATGGACAGGGGTGCCTCTGGATAGAAGACCTGGTGATAAACAGCAGAACTAGGTCCATCTGAACAAGTGTTGCAGATACAACCAGTGTGATTCTCCCCATAGTTTCTGCATTTGACTTTCAGAGGCTGAATAATGAATTATTTAGAACAGGATTTTGAATGGGTTGGATTTGAATTGGAATGCCAGCCCTCTAGCTCTTGTGCTACTGGGATACTTGAGCTACTCATTTAATTTCTCTGAGAATTACTTTTCTAATTTCTAAAACAGGGTTATATCACCTAACTCAAAGGCATATAATGAAAATTGAATCAAATATTAAATAAATATATTTAGCATAAAAATTGATATATGAAATGCTTACTAAATGTGATCTGCAATTATCAGATATCGTTATAATATTTATAATATGAATTATAATTATAATAATCTAATTACATTTTTAAAAATTAAAATACATATTTAAGATATTCAAATTTAATTTATCCCAGATAAAAATCAACTGTGTATTCTCCAAATTGCTACTGATACGAGGAGTAGACATATACCCAACTTGGCCCTAATTTTATAAAAGAGGAATTACATCTACATTAAATATTCATTTATTTCATAAAGAAGTATTAACCACCAATTTTTGGCCCGGTGTAGTTTCATCACAAAGGCTAGGGAAATGAATTAAAGCGCAAAACTGAAGAATAGGGAACTTTTGTCCTTTATGATACTTTCTAGCAGGAGACAAGAGATAGCAAGAGAAGCAACATAAGCACGTAAATACACGGCATGTTATGAAGTAGTGAGTGCTAAGGTGTAAAGTGTAATAAAGAAGTGCAGCAGGGAACACTGGAGGGACTGGTGCTGTGGGTTTAAATATGACGGGCGGGGAAGGCTTGACTGAGGTGGGGATTCTGTGGAAAGACCTGAGGAGGGCGAGGAGGTGACACATGTGACTATGTAAAAGACCAGCATCCAAAGCCGCGGGAACAGTGGAAAGTGCCTGAGACACCTGTGTGCCCCAAGGCCAACATGGCTGGAAGAACTGACCAAAGGGAAAATTCACACAGAGGTAAGGCGAGCAGAAAGTGTGGGCATTTTTCAGTGATTTTAATGACTTTGAGTTTAACCAGTGTAAAATAGAACCCACTGGAAGGTTTTAAGCAAAGAATTTTAACTCACAAAGAAAATACACAATTGAGGCTCTCAATTAGAACTTCCAATTCAGATATGATTTAATTCATTTTTCCATAACCAATTTTAGAGATCTTAAAATGTGAAAAAGGACACGCGTTAGAGATTGTAGAACCTGGAATTTAGGATGTAAATGTGTTGATGTATTAGATGACCGTGAAAGAGAAAGAGTAAAGTGAAGGATGCCTCTATAAGGATGATGTTAACTTTTGTCTGAGCAACCGAAAGAATGGGACCAATTTAAATTTAGACAGAAGAAATCAGGACGGCTCTCTGGGAGGTAATTAGGACTCTGAGACCCAATTAGACCTGGATCAAAGGACTAAGGGCCAAAGTCCTCCAACATTTAGAAGTCAGAGACAAAGCAGAGCAGCAAAGGTGGCTGAGAAGTGGTTGGTGAGTTAGAAGTAAAACCAGGGGCATGTGCAAGCCAGTGGTCAGACGGATAGGGGAACTCTGCCAGGAATGAGGGTGACTCTGTTCGGGGCTTTTCCTTAGTTCAGGTAAAGACAGGGTCCTTTGTCCCATGACCATGAAAATTCAGGCTCTCAGACAATTTCAATGGTGAGTGAGACATGGTTTTATTACGTGAAAAGGAAGAAAATGGAGAGACAGAGACTCTTGCTAGGCCAGAGTCCCTGCTAGAGCACTTCCCACCAGCAGCTTGAATCCCAGATTCCACCCAGGGAAAGAGAGGCCAGGCTCCTCCCTGCTGCAAAGGTCGTGAACTTCCCGAGGCTCCACCTCAGTGGGCAGGCTGGTTGGAGTTTATCCAGGGACTCCCTCCCATCTGGCTGTCTCAACTCCACCTTTGAAGGTGACTAGCCTCCAACAACATGAGATTCAAAGCATGTTGTAGGAGAATGGTCCAGATGCAGCAGCAAGGTGCCAAAAAGACATATCTCTCACTTTCAAGAAAGGCTTCAGGGGACACAGTATTCTCAGAGCAGAAAGCCACCAAAAACAGTTAAGAAAATGTATTAAGGATACAGAGGATTGAATGAAAGTCTGATTACATGAGAGCTTCTGGGGGCACAGAGTAAGGGTTTGAGGTGATGGGAAACTATAAGTTAAGAATAATATTAAAGTATAAGTTCTGAGAAGGTGATTCAGAAGCAGATGAGAGGCCAGGACACTAGAGAAAAGTGGGAAGACTCAGCTTCTTTTGTGCCTGACATTAATAGGGATAAACAGTGCAGTGAGATTAGTCACGATGGAGTGAGGCAGGCAGTGGTTAGGAGACCTGGTCAGGTGTATTCAGAGCTGGGAATGTCCCACCTGACTTCTACAAATAGAGGCCTGGAGGCCAGTGAAGGGGCGGTCAATCTGCTTCTGACTAGAGGGCTCCTCCCTGTGACGGATAGACTTGCAAGCATGATCGTGTGGAAGGGAACATTGAAAGACAGCACACAAATCAATTGCAGAGATTCTTTCTGAGTAGTAGAATCACAGGTTGCTTTTTCTTTGTTAGGGTTCTCCAGAGATATGAAACCAATTTTTGTGTGTGTGTGTGTGTGTGTGTGTGTGTGTGTGTGTAGAGAGAGGGAGAGAGAGAGAGAGAGAATTGGCTGATGCAATTAGGGAGGAGGCTGAAAAGTTCCCCCAATCTGCCATCTGCAAGCTGGAGAACAAGGAAAGCTGTTGGTAGAATTCAAGTCGAAAGAATGGAGAAGCAGCAGTACCTATGCCCAAGGGCAGGAAAAGAAGGATGCACAAGCTCAAGCAGGTGCACATTTGCCCTTGCTGCTCTGTTCTTTGTTGGTTGTTTATTTGTTTTTATTCTATCAGGGCTCTCAATGGATTGGATGACATCCACCCACATTGGTGAGGGCAAGCTTTCTTTACTTAGTCTGCTGATTCAAATGCTGCCCTTTCTGGAAACATGCTCACAGAAATGCCCAGAGATAATATTTTACCAGCTATCTAGGCATCCCTTAACCCAGTCAACTTGAAACATAAAATTAACCATCACATCTTAAATTCATCTTTTTGAGAAGAAATCATGTTTATAAGTCAGCATAAAATAAAAATGATGGAAGTAAATCAAATAAAAATATCATGAAAGGCATATGGATGGAAGTTGAACAAATCTTCTTAAAAATAAAAAGCAAAAAAATCCCTAAACCTAATTCCAGGTTTCTTAATTTTTAGCTTCTGAAAGGCAAAATATTTTTTCAGCTTTATATGTCAACACCTAACATGAAATAGGCACCAATACACATTTGTTGAATGAATGAAGTGGGATGCTTACCTTGAAGAGAGAAAACCATTAACCAGAAACGACAGTTTGTACTAAGTAAAAAAAAAAAAAAAAAAAAAAAGCTATTTTTGCATAGTCCAATTTAATTACAGAGCATATTTCTCAGGATAAAATATAAATTTACATATGAAGGGTTTCATAATACATATCATACCCGTAAGGAAGGGTGGATATGACTGGTGTACATTTCCAAGCTTTTAAGAAAGATGTCATGTAAAAGACAATTGTGCGCATTACATCAGATCCCTTGTTGACATTTCTCAGGCAGGATATAGAATTTGAATCACCATGGTCTTCAGTGCGTATCTACTAAGAGTAACCACATTATTGAGTCTGGGGACATTTTGTTATTCATGTATTATCATATATTATTGATTGTCATCATGGTTTTTAACTCATGCACCTTTTCTCTAAGAACTCAGGCTTTGAAATTCATAATCAGGTCCTCAGTGGTCAAATATGTTTAATCTAATGAATTGCTTACACTACACATTTGCATGCTGGATATACAATTTAGTTTCTAAATTAAAACATTCTGGGAAAGCTCAAACAAGGGCACTAAATTTTAAAGTTTTCTGACCTTCTGAAATCTTTTATGAGCTGTATTTCGGTGAAAAGGACCATTTAAGCCTTGGGCCTAGCACATTTGTATTCTTTGAAAATGTTCCCAAAGTCTATATCGATATATTATGTGTACATTTGAAATGAGGTTCCACACTTCATAAACCTATGTTCTGTATTAAACTTCAACTGGGGAAGTCTGTATCAGTTTTCTAGGGTGTAAAGTGATGGAAAAAATGAATCTTGTTTGAATTGATGTTAGCTTGCTTATGAAATGGCCTCTTGGGGCATGAAGGAGAGTGGCTGGAAATTTGTGTCTGGAAAAGAGGCTGGAGTCTGTTAAAAATTACCTCCAGATAAGAGGAATGAGCTGGGTAATGAAATGATTTCAATCATATGAAACATTTGTTTTTAATGTAGGAGTCATTGGACATGAGAATTGTCTGCCTATAGTGCTTTCTGCCTGACAAGGGATTTCCTGCTCTTAAAGTATCCTTTATAAATTTCTATTGAATAGTTTGCCAATGCAATCCAGAAACCTTGTTAGTCTAAGGTGAGAAAATCGGTATTAACTTTCCTTGTGCTAACATTTCCACTGTTGACCTAAGATTAAAAAGCCAAAAAAGGTTTCAACCTAGAAACCTACTTGAAAATAAATGACACCTGTTTCAAGAGAAGAGGTATTTCACTAAAGGCTAGTAACAAAAATCCTGCTAAATTTTGACTATGTGATTTGATTTTCATTGTGGACATCATAGTTTTCTTTTTAGTTTTGAATTAAAAACATGCAATATTGTAATTCTCTACAAAATATAGGTAATACTTGTAGCTCATTGTAAATACACTGTTCTTTTCATGATGTACACTAAGAAAATCATTAATCTCTGAAAGAAATAGATTTTTTTTTTTTTTGAGATGGAGTCTTGCTCTGTCACCTAGGCTGGAGTGCAGTGGTGCGATCTTGGCTCACTGCAACCTCTGCCTCCCAGGTTCAAGTGATTCTTCCTGCCTCAGTCTCCCGAGTAGCTGGGATTACAGGCACCTGCCACCGCACCCAGCTAATTTTTGTATTTTTAGTAGAGATGGGATTTCACCATGTTGGTCAGGCTGGTCTCGTACTCCTGACCTCAAGTGATCCACCTGCCTCGGCCTCCCAAAGTGCTGGGATTACAGGCATGAGCCACCGCGTCTGGCATGAAAGAAACACGTTGATTTTAACTTTCATCACTCTACCTCTTGTTTTTCTTGCCTGATGCTCCTCTGTAGCATGGCTTCTGTTTTGTTCAGAGTATAAGTAAATTAAAATGGAAAAAAGCTTTTGCCTCTGTCATCACAGGAATATTTGAAAAATTTATAAGTTTAATTGGCAGCTTTATTTGCAATCAATTTACATTTTTATTTCCCCTGAATAATAAATTCAGAAGTTGGATGATAAGTGTTTCTCCTCGAGTGCTATTTGCATACAATATTTCCTAATGTTCATGGTAATTTTACATTGAAAAAAATGTCACTAGCAAAGAAAAAATAAGCAATTTTTAGAATTGGAAAATGTCCAGTACTAGGATTTGTAAATCTTCCTGTTTATTAATTCTGTACCTTTTTAGAAGAATCCAGATGGCATGATCTGGCCTTGTGATCAACTGCTTTCACCTCTAGGCTGGCCCAGGAAAAAGAATTATATATAAAAATATAAAAATATAAATATAAATATATATATATCTATTTCTTCTTTTGTGAGTCAGCATGCTATAGTCACAAACCCAATTTCAAGTCCACTCTATAGGCTCTCACCAGAATTGACAACTGTCAGTCAAAATCTCACCACTAACATGACCTTTTGACACCAACATAAACACTTCTGCTACAATTTTGGATTTAGGTAGAGGGAGAGGAAGAGAGGGGAAAAAGAGAGAGAGAAGCAGAGGAGAAAGAGGAAGAGGAGGAGGAAGAAGGCAAGGCAAACAGGATGAAGAAGGAGAAAGAGAAGGAGAAAGGAAGAGGCAGAAGACAAGAAAGAAGAGAAAAAGAAAAGAAATGAAAAGAAGGGAGAAGGAAGAAAATGATGTCTGAGTTGAAAAGGAAATAAAGCGAACCAGGCTTTTGATATATATATTTTAAAGATCCAGTAGTAAAAGAAATCATAGAAAGTGTAAACAAAATCACACATATAGCAATTGTTTCTGAAATACTAAATTCTCCAAATTCAGCCTTAAATTTTTTTTTTTGTCCCCCATGTGGTTTTCTGGGGCAGGGTAGACTTTCAGGCTGTTTATCTTGCAAACACGTTTGGCCCTCTGAGTACACAAAGCAAAATACCAACAAGATGTTGCCGTGAGCATGCAGTTGATAATGCTCCTTGTTGCTTATTTAAGCATAAGACCTTTAATGTTCAAGACATTTTCTTTTTAAAGAAACATATGTTTTTAAGAGTATTTGATATTTTCATGACTTTTCTTCTTCTTTAACTTCCAGCATTCAGTAAAATGGCGTTGGTGCTGGAGCTTCTGCAGATGCCTAAGTCTCTGGTTATTGTACCTTCTGTTTTGGAGCCTGAGGACGCTCTTTCCTGCAACTCTGTTTTCTTCTGTTAGTTCTGGCCTCTCTCCATGCCTGGAGTGTGCGCCAGTGTCAGAGATGGAGACTTGGAAGACGTGTTGACCAAAAGAAACTAGCGTGGCAGTTTCTGGCTAAACCTTCCGTAAAGCTTCTATTCATTAAACCTGATTTTTCTCCTTTGTTTGCTAGCACAGTGCTATCATCTGCCAATTTTGTATTTATATATCTTTTCAAATGAATTCACTGATTTGAATTTGAGTCCTGTTGATTCCCTCTCATGTAACAAAAAATAAAATCCTCTCAACTATCATAAATAATTTTTTTTCTTTTTTTTTGCTTCTCAAGAGTCTAATTTGGTTTAAAGCACTGATGGATGGCTGGTGAAATGATTTGCATGTACTCTTTTTGCATTATGTTTTAAACTTAGAAGTGAGTTTTTGCCAATTATAAATGTTTGGACAGCATAGCATCATAAATCCCTTTAATTTAAAGCCCTAGTGTTTAGCCTGAGTGCGCTTTGAGTATCAGACTCACCAAAGGTATTGTTTTTTGCAAGTAGTTTTTGAGAGCGGCCTTTTCTATCTATCATCTCAGTGTGTGATTATTGTGTTAGGTGGCTCACTGGAAAGTGTATAAAGGAAATCAGCAAGATTCAGTAATAAACAACGGAAGGAATTAGAGAAGAAATGGTGATCACACATTTTGAGAAGGAAATATTGTCTGATTGTATCTGAGCTTGAAAATATATAAGCACTTCATCAAACTCACAACCCCTGAGATGTGATAAAATGACAATCAATTTTTATAGAGGACCAGCTTTTCCACAAGTCTTTTTTGCAAAAGAATTGCTTTCAAAAATATTTTCATGGATTAAATAGCTCAGTTGTTGGCTTCCAAAGACGTACATTTAGAAAAAAGTAGCAACAGAATTCATGTAAACAAAATTGGAAATAAGTAAAGGTTCAACAGAAACAGTGTCTAAGGAAGTGGTGGTATAACCAAAAAATGGAAAAAGGCAGCCATAAAAAAATCCTGTTTTCAAAAAGTTATAATGACAATTGAAGTGATGACATTTTAAATGAGTGTATATATATATATATATATATATACACACACACACACATAAACATAAACATACATATACATACACATACATAAAAATAGAAGAAGAATAGGCACCAAATGTGAACAATGACTGTGTCTGCCTAGAGGCATAACTAGTGATATTTCTGCTTTTTGAATTGCTCTATTCTTTTGTATTTCTCCAACATTTTTATAACCAAAAAATATGCATTATTCAAAATGTGGAAAATAACAACAGAATAAGTTTAATGTATTTTTAGTTTTTATACAAATTCTAAAACTAAAACAATATCAGGCAAAACAAACTCAAATCTCTCCACCACTGGATGAGGGATTGGAGACTTGACTGATTTGACTGAATAACTATAGCTCTCGTCGATACACAAACCTCAGTTTCCAGCCTGGTTCTTCCAATCCTGAGTGGTATGGAGTGCCTGGCATAACAGTTACTTACGAAATTGGGTTCTTGATTGTTGTGAATATTAATGAGACTTCATATAAACAGCCTGAATGGTAGTTTTTGTTTCTCAAATTCTATTGGTTTTATTTTAGGGGGAGTGTTAATCAAGTTACTAGTGTATCTTCACATTTCATTTTGGAAATTAATCAGGTTACCACCATCACCTCCAAATGGGGGCTCCAGTCACTTTTGCTTCTGTCGGCCTCTATCTAAAGTCAATTGAATAAGTCACTGAAGACTAAATTTGTTTAGAAAAGTTTTGTGTTCAATTATTGCTTTCCTTACTGGTAAGATATTTTGCAGTCTATTTAGCTATCTGAAGCTTGCGCAGTGCAAAGCATTTTTTACACATGCCTTGGGGTTCTGAAGGTACTCCTTGTTGAGGAACACTTGCCACCATTTGAATTCATCAGTTTTATAAAAAAGTAATAATGAGGTATGTATAGAAATAATGAGGTGCCATTCTTAATTACTACTGAAAGATTCTGAGTAAACAGATACTCTCATGAATCAATACATTCATTGATTCCACAGATATATATTCAGTACATACTGTGTAGTAGGCACTATACTAGATCTTTATATGTTGGTTAGACCAAACTAGAAATGTGTAGTTTTTTCATCAATATTTCATCAATAGCTGCTAAGCTCTCCCCATCTCCAGTCTTAGGACTTCATCCTGACATTCTTCAGCAGTTGACAGTTAAGAATATATAGCAACATACACATTTGACTCTCACCACAAGCCCTAAAGAGACAGAGGGTTACCAGCTAACATAAGGCGTGTGGAATGCTGTACACATAGCAGAGATTTCAGAAGTTTTTTCAGTGAGCGATCGACCAAGGCTCAAATAAATTAAGCAACTATTTTACACAGTATGTTTGCTTAACTTTGATGAACAATCTATAGTCTGATGTGAATGGCATCAGCAGCCATAGCCAAGGTCAAATAGACCCAGCTTTGATACTATTCTTTTTTGATATTTGCAAGATATAGCAGTCCTATATTTATTCTTAGACACTTTTCTTTTTTCTCATTTTCTCACACACTGGAAGGGTTTGATGTGTCACGTGAGTAAAGTCACTCTTTACAGACATTGTAACCAATGGTCAGTATCTTGGACTCTGTTATGTGTCACTGACACAGAGGAAATCCCCTGTGGAAACCCAGATTCCGGTAATGGACAGCATTTGGGCTGGCGGGAGTCGAACATGACTTCATACTTAATGGTAAGTTAATGAAGAGTTGAGTGAAGTAGCACCAAGAAATGCAACTGTTAGAAAAAGAAAGAAATGCAGGAAGGAAGGCAAAAGGAAGGAGAACAAAATAAGAAAAGGGGGGAGGGAAGGACAGAGGAAAGCAGGGAAGAGGGAAGGAGGAAGAAAGGAAGATGGATGATAGAATTTTTTGGTTTGAAAGGAGAAGGCATTGAGCCTTAAACTGTTGATTATAATAACGCAGGTGATTTAGCTTCTTTTTATTCCTGAGTTTATACTGTGGATATATAGAATATGTGAAACCACATTCCCAGGCATGGATTGGGTCACAGAACCTAATTTATTCAATCATCCCTCTAGCACATTTCCGCTCTGTTCATCCCCTCTGAACACAGCTTAAACACTGACAAGAAATCAGTGTAAAAGTCACGATGAGATTAAGGCAATTTTATTTTCTTAATGAACAACTATCTCTTTTCCAAGTGCTTATGTTCCTGGAATGCAGCTAACCACAATTATAGTACAACAGGATTTAAATTAGGTTCATAAATAGAAATATATCTTCTGTAAAAGTTATAGGAATTAAATTATTTGTTGTAATGAACTATATGCCATATAGCATATTACTTAAAATAAATACATAACTAGTAGTAGCACCTACATAGTTAGGCTATCTAGGTCTTCTAAATCACTAGCACCACTTTTATATTAACTTGGGGCAATAATGATAATAACATAAAGACCATTCTTTACCTTTTTACATTATTTCAGAACTTATAAATAGATTCATGTAGAATTTTAAGTTAATTTAAAATAATTATTATTTAATATTTAAAATAATTATTATTTAATATTTTATATAGTACTTAAAAACTTTATGTCATATATGGCATTAACTCTTATTTTGGGACTGATTTAAGAGATTTAGGAGAAAGATCCCCAGGACCACAAAGCTGGGACAGAGCCAAGACTTGCATGAGGCTGGTCAGCCCCTCCAGCCTGCACTAATCCTGTTATTCGATGCATTCTTTTTTTGTTTGTTTGTTTGTTTGTTTGCTTTTTGAGTTGGAGTCTCACTCTGTTGCCCAGGCTGGAATACAGTGGCACAATCTTGGCTCACTGCCACCTCCACCTCCTGGGTTCAAGTGATTCTCTGGCCTCAGCCTCCTGAGTAGCTGTGATTACAGGAGTCTGCCATCACACCCAGATAATTTTTGTATTTTTAGTAGAGATGGGGTTTCACCATGTTGGCCAGGTTGGTCTTGAACTCCTGACCTCAAGTGATCTGCCCACCTTGGCCTCCCAAAGTGTTGGGATTACTGGCATGAGCCCAGCCTCAATGCATTCTCAAACTAATGCTGACCATGTTGGCAGGGCGACCAAAAGAAAGACATCCCTCCCTGAATGACTATGGGTGGTTATTAAGCTTAGTACAGTCATGCACTGCATAAGGACACTTCAGTCAACAACAGCCTGCGTATATGACTGTGGTTCCATGTGATTATAATGGAGCTGAAAATGTTTGTGGCCTATGACACTGTAATCACCTGAAGGTCTTAGCACAACACATTACTCACGCGTTTGTGGTGATGCTGGTGTGAACAAACCTACTGCGTTGCCATTCACATAACAGTGTAGCAGCTATAATGACACACAATACATAAAAATTGATCATGATAAACAGCTGTGTTACTGCTGTGTGTATTTGCTATACTATACTTTTATAATTATTTTAGAGTGTTTTCCTTTTACTCTTAGAAAAAAGTTAAGTGTAAACAGTTAACTGTAAAATGTCACATCCTTCAGGAGGTATGCAAAAGAAGCGTTGCTATCACAGGAGATGGCAGCTCCATGCGTGTTGTGGCTCCTGAAGACCCTCCAGTGGGACAAGATGTGGAGGTGGAAGACAGTGACGTTGATGATCCTGGCCCTGTGCAGGCCTAGGCTAATGTGTGTATTTGTGTCTTAAGTTTTAATAAAACAGTGTAGAAAGTAAAAAAAAAGTTAAAAAAGTCTGAAAAAATAAGAACAGAAAGAGAAAATGTTTTTCTTTCTATTAAAAATATTTTTCTTTCTATTCTTGTACAACTGTACAATGTATTTGCA
Organism: Homo sapiens; assembly: GCF_000001405.40. Lineage (NCBI taxonomy): Eukaryota > Metazoa > Chordata > Mammalia > Primates > Hominidae > Homo > Homo sapiens. The sequence goes on along the minus strand of NC_000004.12, from coordinate 189,438,745 downwards.
TTTTTAGCTAGATGTTGTTACAAAACAGTCAAAAAGTTAATAAAGTAAAAATGTTACAGTAAGCTGAGGTTAAGTGTGCAGCATTTATAACATCTACAGTAGTGGACAGTAACGTCCTAAGCCTTCACATACCCTCACCAGTCACTCACTGACACCCAGAGAAACTTCCAGTCCTGCAAGTTCCATTCATGGTAAGTGTACCATTTATAATCTTTTGTACTGTATTTGATTGTATCTGTTCTATGTTTAGATAAACAAATACTTAGCAATGTGTTATAATTGCCTACAGTATTCAGAACAGTCTCATTCTATGCAAGTTTGTAGCCTCACAACAGTAAGCTATACTATACAACCCGGGTGTGCTATACTATATAGCCCAGGTGTGCAGCAGGCTGTACCACCTTGGTTTGTGTAAGTACCATCTGTGTTCACACAATGATAAAATCGCCTAATGACACATTTCTCAGAAGGTATCCCAGTCGTTAAGCAATGCATGACTGTACTTTGCTTGCTTAACCAGCAGGGAAGACATGCCATTCTTTAATTTGGTGCTCTGCACACAACTTGGGGTGATGACAGATTGGTTAATAAATATACAGAGAGGTTAAGTGTGGCTATTCATTTTAAGGTTGCCTTCATGACTTATCTGCTAGAATCCTCTAGCAGGTGTAATTTAGTGAGAAAGACTTCCAAAAAAGCCATAGAGGGTTATCAATCAGCCTTGGTTGAACATATTAATAAGGAATTAATCCTTACAAGCTCTATGATTGAACCCTATTAGATGGAGAGAGGAATAGTGAAGGGGAGTCAGAACTCATTACCGTCACTAATATCTAATCAAACTATTGGCCGTCTACATGTCTGAAAAGTAATTGGAGAGGTTCTTCCGTTTAGAAAATTATTTAACATGTGATCCATTTAAATACAATGCTCATTTGTAGAGTTTGAAATGTGTTTTGATTTTTACAAAACTATTCAGTAACACCTATTTGGCAAACATAATGTATGTATGTAAACATAGGTAAGAATAGACTAATTGTATAGAAAATATAATTTGACATTCTCAAGAGATAATAATATAAATACAGATGTGCTGTTCTTATTTCTGTGTTCAATATTAGAAATTCTTATGTCTAGTGATTATTTCACTCTAGTTCTGGAAGAAATTTGTTAGGACTTCAAGCCCTCTGTTTGGTGTGAGCATGAACTAGGCAGATTGCCTATTTCTAAATGAATCATGAAAGAGTTCTGCACATTTTTCTTGATGTGAGGACCATTAACTACCAAATATCCCTAGTTTTGCTAGTAACAAAGAATACAGCAAAGTTACTCTGATAACAAAAAATATCATCTGAAATTACAATATTTAATTTTAATCAGAAGAGGTTTTGCGATCAGGTAAATCACAATTTGCTTTGGTGAAATTGAGTGTATATCATAGAGGATGATGGCACATAACTGGGGCTTTTCTGGGATGGACAGAGTAGCAGAAACTTTGCTCCTGTTTCTGACCCCACCGAGATCCACATTTTAAAAAAGCAAACATAAATAGACATTTTCTCAAACAAGATAGTGTGCATACAATTTTTCCTTATGCAATGATAATATGGTATCTTTTTACTTTCTCTTTTCAAACTTAGTGGATGGTGGAAGAAAATTGTTCATTTGCTCATGTTATCTACCAAGGAAAGACCATTTTCATTAAGAAAGCAAAATTTAAATATGACAGAGACTTTCCTTTTAGTTCTGCCAATGGTCCTTGTGAGAACAACTTGAAAAGCCCAATAAATTATAAAAATGTGTCTCTTTGACAGCACCAGAGTGCCTCTGAGACAGCTAGATTTTGAGGAATGAAGATCCAGATAGAGGGAGAGATCTCTGAGCATGGGCTCCACATTCTGTGTGCTTCTTTTTTCTTGGGTCATTTGCTGAGGCAGGAGTAGGGGCCAGAGATGGGGAACAGGGTGGGAGACTGAGAAGCCATGAAGAGGAGGGCTGCTAGGAGGCGGAGGAGGCAGGACAGCCTTGGGTTATCTTATGGAAGTGATTTGAAATCAGTAAATAAAAACTGATGCTTGAGACTGCCACAGCAGCCAGAGAGATGCCAAGGACCCGGAGAGAAGGGAGCATAGAGAGGGAAAGTTGACATTTGTTGTTCATCCATTGAGTCATTTCTGAATTCTTCACATGTGTAGGGTCAGAAAATGAAAAGCTGATAAAAAAGCAGCAGAGTTTTTGCAATCTCAAGGTATTTAGGAAACTAAAATTGGAATTTAGGAATGACCAAGGAAGAAAAGCCGCAGGAAACACCCAGACTCTTAGTGGGGCCCTCTGGTGGCGTCCTTTATAAAGAGCTCAGATCTTTATAACCATCTCGGAACAGCATGGTTATCTGTGATGGGACTGATGTGAGATGTTTTATGTATTCCATGTCAGCTTTTTGAGGACAATAGGGTCACTCTCCTCTGGTGGAAAACATCCAAACACTCTATTCTTTTCTCATGCAAAATTCCTACATTCAATAAAAAAATTAGCACATTTCAATGACTAGGACAAGATAAAAAACAGACATGAGAAGCAGATCTAAAGATGATTCAGATACTGGCATTATCACACATGAATCTAAAAATAACTGCAACTAGTGTGTTCAGTAAAATAAGATTGAGAATTTTGCATGAGAACTTAAATCTATAAAAAATGATCAAATAGAAATTCTGCAACTGAAAAGTACAATTACTGAAACTAAGAATAACAGAAATGGATTTAATAGCAGATTGGACACAACAGAAGGAAAATAGTGAGGTGGAAATAGGTTAGTAAAAATATGTCCAGATTGAAGAATGGAGAGCAAAAAGGATGGAAAGCAAAGATGATTATAAAGAATATATGGGACATGGTGAAAAAGTTTAAGATAAATGTAATTGGAGTCCCAGAAGGCAAGGTGAGAGAGCATGTGGTAGAAAGCAATACCTGAAGAGGTAATGCCCGAGAATTTTCAGAATTTATGAAAGAAAAAATTAGTCACGGATTCAAGCAATTCTATGAATCGCAAAGATAATTATTAAGAACACTACTACTTAAAACACGAATGAACTACTGAAAAGCAAAGGCAAGAAAGTTTTAACAAACAGCCAGAGAAAAAAAGTAATATAATCAAAAGAACAGCAATAACACTGACAGTTGATCTCTCAATAGAAATGAAATAGATGTTATTTTAAAGAGATGAAAAAGAACAGCTGTCTAGAGCTCTATACCTGGCAAAATCGTCTTCAAAATGACAGTCAAATATATACATTTCCAGAGAAGGAAAAAATAGAGAAACTTTGTCACTAATAGATCTACATTTAAAAAAATGCTAAAGGGAGTTCTTCAGACAAAGTGAAATTTCCCCGAATACAGTTTGGATATGTATCCCCTCCAAACTCGTGTTGAAATTCAATCCCAGTGTTGGAGGTGGAGTCTAGCGGGAACTGTTTTGGTCATAAAGGGTGAATCCCTCATGGATGGCTTTGGACCCTCCCCATAGTAATGAGTGCTCTGTTAGTTCGTATGAGAGCTGGTTGTTGGAAAGAGCCTGGCAGCTCTCTCTTGCTCTCTCCCTCACCACATAAAATGCCAATTCCCCTTCCTCTTTCACCATGATTGGAAGCTCCCTGAAGCCCTCGCCAGCAGCAGATGCTAGCACCATGCTTCTTGTGTATCCTGCAGAAATGTGTACAAAAATACTCAGCTTCAGGTATTCCTTTACAGCTGCCCAAAATGGACTAACATACACCTCAACAGCAACCAAATAAAGAAAAAGGAAAGGATTGAATCAAAAGCATCAAAAACTGTAAGTAGGTGAGCAAACAAGATGGTGGAATCGAAGCCTACACGGTGTGTCCCCGACTGGATTTCCAAATTTAACCACCCTCTGCACTCAGAAAAGCACTGTCACAAAGCCAAAAGCCAGGTGAGCCACCACAGCACCTGCTTTTAACTTGACATTGCTGAAAAAGGTATGGAGGACATTAGGGGAGACAGTCTTGACTCGCTGGTTCCCCTTCTCCCCATCTCCTGGCAGCAGCTGTGTGGCATGGAGAGTCTGTGCATGTTGGGGAGGGAGAGCACAGTAACTGGGGTGGGAGGGACTTTTTATTGAACTCCGTGCTGTCCTGTCGCAGTGGAGAATAAAGCTATGCTGGGTTCAGCACCTACATATGCAGAGAGCATTTGGACCAGCCTGAGCCAGGCGGGAATCATTCATTCCAGGAGTAGGAACTTGAGTTTCTCGACAAGTCTCACCACCGTAGGCCGAAGTTCTCTGAGGTCCTAGGTTAGCTAGACTGGGCTTACAGACAGGGGACTGGGGCGGGGGGGAATGTGTCCTAGAAAGACAGCAACTGGTGTGGCTCAGGGAGTGTTTGTGCCATCCCTCCCCAAACCCCAGGCAGTGCAGTCCATAGCCACAAAAGCGATTCCTCCTATCTGCTTAAGAAAAGGAGAGCAAAGAATAAAGAGGACTTCATTTCGCATCTTGGCTACCAGCTCAACCACGGTAAGAGTGCAGTGGGCAGAGGCATGAGGCCCCCATTGCAGGCCCTTCCTCCTGGATGAAATTCCTAGGCACACCCTGGGCCAAAAGGGAACCCACTACTTTGAAGGGAAGGGCCAGTCCTGGCAGGATCCAACACCTGCTGACTAAAGAGTCCTTGGGTCCTGAAGAACCAGCAGTGACACCCAGGAGTACAGCATGGGCCGTGTCTTCCCAACATTTTCTAACTGAATGCGGCTCATTGTGCATGAGTAACTGGAACGGCTCACCAGGGTGCCACCTTCCTCCAGAGACGATTGCTCTTTCCTCTGCTAGATAAACCCCAGGAAGGGAACAGCAGTACAAGTGAAGAAAAACACATTGACCCAAGAGGCTTTTTGGACAAAAAATCAACAGGACTAGATGATAGGTGGGGCATCTAGAAGAAAGATCATGTGAAGGATGAAAGTTGCTCGAACAGCTCAGGAGTTTGTGGTGCTATTTGCTGAGCAGGAGGTCACTGCGGAAAGAATTTTTTGAGAGATAATATAAACAAGGGTTCCTGTTTGTGCTTGTAAATTTAAAGTGTCTCTGTGCTATACAAGCAGAGGCAAAGGTATACAGGAGTTTCTCTCTGAGGGAGGCTGTGTCAGCACACAGCAAGTTGTTGTGTCTCTCTGCTATCCAAGCTTAGGCAAAGGTATACAGGAGTTTCTCTATGGGGGAGCCTGTGTCAGCACGCAGCGAGTTGTGTCTCTGTGCTATCCAAGATTAGCAAAGTTATATAGGAGTTTCTCTACGAGGGAGGCTGTGTCAGCACGCAGCGAGTTGTGTTTGGCTTTCTGAAGTCTCTTAGCCCTTTGAATTTTGCTTCTGCGAAAGGGTAGACGGTGCAACAATGAAAAGTTGCCACCCTTCAGTAAGACTGTTTTTCTTTCGTTAATGCAATCTGCCTCCGTGCCCTCATTTTAGTGATTATGGGGAAACCTGTTGACTGTCACCATCTGTTCACTCACGGGAGGGCGTCGTAACTGTTGTGTGCTTTGAATTAGGGGTCTTACTGTCCACATCTGTTTTCTCAGCTTGCAGTTCTTAAATTTGCTAACCCAGGGTTGAAAGCAGTATCTCTGAGCAGCAGGCTTGGTGTAGCTTTCCATGGATACAGCATGCTAGACCATCTTCATGGACAAGCCCCGGCTCCAATCATGCATTACAGCCCCACACAGACTCTAAGTAACCTTAAGGTTTTCTCTTTGACATTTTTCTCTTCAAGAATAACAATTAAAACACTCCCCAGATTTCAGCAAGTTTAATGCATGTAATGTGTAAATAACAATTCACTTCATGCTGACTTCTGCCTGTATGAATAGATTATTGCTTATTATGCTAAAAACTTGGATTGAAAGTAGCTCTCAACTCATTACAATTATTATTCTGAATACCAAACTTGTTTCAAATACTAAATTTCCTGGTGTTCAGTCTGTTCCTGAAATGAATTATCTTTATGGATAGTGTTTTGACTGAGGCTACTTTTTTTTTTATTCTGAATGTGCTTTTGTTCTTGAAAATCTACTATTTATTTCTCTCTCTCTCTCTTTTTGCATTGTCTTTTTTCTTAGTGTTTTTTAAAGAAAAGTTCATGAGAGAAAAAATTATACCTTCTTGTTTCCAAGCTAACTTGTTTCTTTTTTCTTCCTTTAATAAGCCGTAACCTTGTTAGAATTTTTTGAAAACTTAAATATTGGGACCCAATATTCAGTTTTTTGAATGAACGGGTAAACAGATGAGTGGAAACAGATGAGATGATCTGGCGACCTCTGATTCCTTGTTAACATCAGACAACTGGATGCTGGGATGGTCTTCCAAGCCCCTAATCCAACCCTCTCCACAGCTTAAGTGCAGGCTGTTTTTCTTGAGGTGAGTTTGTCTTCAAGTTCAAAGTCAAGAGGTTGTATGTTCTGTTTATTTTTTCTTGCATGTATGGCCTACTCAAGGAAAATAAACACATTTGAACCAACGTCTTTATTGAAAATACGTTTCTGAATTTTAATGCAGGTTACAGACGTCTCTGAAATCAGCCGGAATTTCTGATGTAGGGACTCTTTCTGGGGGGCAACCAGGATAAACATCTCTCTATGATCTTTGTTAAATATGTATTAAATTCTCAGTGAACTGTCAACTGAAAAGTATTGCTTGGAATCAAAGGCCTGTGATATCTAACATGTGGTCCAGTCTCCTCGACTAGGTTAACAGCCTGGGCTCTCTGTTCCTTGTGAGGGAAAGTGCTCACGGGGATTAGTGAAAATTGCAGTTGCAAACCTGACGAGGGATGAAGGCCACAGTCAAAGTGTACACGGAAATGCTCAAAAGAGAAATTACATTAAGGCCAAGCAGCGAAACCTGTGCTCTGGGACAGGCACAAGGAGAATAAATGTACTTCGAAAAACAGGCTGTTTTAGGCAATGGCTCACACCGGTAATCCAAGCACTTTGGGAGGCGAAAGTGGGCAGATCACTTAAGGTCAGGAGTTCGAGACTAGCCTGGGCCAACATGGGGAAAGCCCATCTGTACTAAAATACCAAAATTAGTCTGTCATGGTGGTGCAGGCCTGTAATCCCAGCTTCTCAGGAGGGTGATGTAGGAGAATCCCTTGAACTCGGAAGGTGGAATTTGCAATGAGCCAAGATCACTCCACTTTACTCCATCCTGAGCCAGAGAGCGAGACCCTGTCTCAAAAAAAAAAAAACAAAACAAAACATAAACAGGCTCTTTTGATTCAAACTTTTTGTAGTTTAAAAATGATGCCTAGTTGACTGCATTATTAGAGAAAATAATGGCTAAAAACAAGAACATTTAAATACTTTCAAGATCCTGCTTGACCTGTTTGACTGCAGGGTCTTAAACCCTTAAGAGTTAATAAATTTGTTTATTTAATATTTATAATGAGCTGCAATTCTAAATGATGGGTTCCATTGCATCTTAAGCAAAGTTGAATGTAGACAAAACTGTATTTTTCTCTTCTGTTGCTTCTGTAGTTAAGCAAGAGGTACAGTGAATTTACTGTTAACACTGTAACCACCTGCAGGTTCTTCTTGCCCGCTGCTGATTTACCAAGACAGCAGGATTGCAGTAGAGAAAGGGTTCAGTATGTGTGGAGCTGGCGAAAGGTCAAGCCAAGGCTTTCTTATTACTCAAATTAGCCACCCTGAAATTTCAGAGGGTAGGGTTCTTCGGAGATACTTTGGTGGGCAGGGGCTAGGGAATGGAGACGCTGATGGTTCAGGCCAGGGATGGAATTGCAGGGAGTCACAGTGTCCTCTTGTGCTGACTCGGTTCCTGGGTGAGGGCCGCAAGACAGGATGAGCCAGTGTACCAGTCTGGGTGGCCCCAGCTCATCCATAAGAATGCAGGGTTTGAAAAATGCCTGGAACACCGATCTTAGGTTTTACAATAGAAATGTTACCCATTGGAGCAACTGGGGAAGTGAAGTGATCTTCTAGCCTCTGGCTGCGTGGCTCCTGAGCCATCATTTCTAATCTTGCCGCTAACTTGTTAGTTTTACAAGGATGTTCTTGTCCCCAGTCAAGGAGGGGACTTGTTTCAGGAAAGAAATGTTATAATCTTTGTTTCGAAGTTAAACTATAAGCTAAATTCCTCCTGTAGTTCGCTTGGACAGAAATGAACAAGGGCAGTTTGGAGGCTGGAGGCAAAGATGGAGTTGGTTTCATCAGATCTCTTTCACCCTCATAATTTTCTCTCTGTTATAGTGTTTGCAAAGGCGGTTTCAAACCAAAAATATTACGAATGTTTCATTTATTGAGGACATAATATGCACCAGGTACTGTTCTCAGATCAGTATCTGCATCAGCTGATCTTCACTGTAACCTGTGAAGTAAAAACTATTATTTTGACTATTATTTCTATTAATAGACAACTATTAATAGAAATAATAATAGAAACTATTATTTCTCATCTTTAACGTTAAAGATGAGAAAATGGAGGCAGAGTGATTAAGTGATTTGCCCAAAGACTCAGAGCTGAGCATGTGCCAGAGCATGGACTCCAATCTCATCAATCTGATTTTGGAACCAAAATGCTCAATGAGCAGATTATACAGCTGTGAACTCCTGGTTGCATTTTGCTTTATTGTCGGCCTAAAATAACTATTTTGGATTACCCATTAATACAAAAAAATTTGAAAAACTCCAAGTCATTAATCAAAAGAAATGCGTTATCTTTGTTAGAAGAATGGCCCCGTAGTTGGCGTAATATCTGTGATTGGGCTAAAGAGCTTACAGTGCATTTTCTGGAGCACCCATCTGGCTGATCTAAAGTCTATTGGTAACTAGGTCCTACAGAAGATTCGTTAATTTTGCCAATGTTGGTATTTCAGGGCTCAGCCTAAAGGATTATTTAATCAATTGCAGATTATTTATTATGGGGTCATTAACTGGTAACAAATATTATGCTGTTTACTTGTTTTTCCCTGAAACTAGTTATAATTGTTAGCTATCTTACATCTTTTGTTCTGAGGGACACAATTTATATTTTAAATAAATAGCTCCTTTAAGAAAATCTATGTATGCTTAGGTGGAAGCTAGAGCCTCCTAGACTGTTAAACTGTCTTCGCAAGATGAATTTGTAAGCTTCCCTCTGTAGAGACTTTTTTTCTTCCCATGTGGCACTCACAGGAAGGCTTTGCAATCACCATCGTGTGGGGCTCGAATTTGAAAAATCCTGAGCTGGATATGACATTCCCCATGGCCACATCACCTGGATTTTTCTAATTTCAGAGTCTGGTGGGACCTGACTCCACGTTTTCTCTCTAGTCCGAGGCCCGTCTGTGCTTGTGCCTCATTCCTTGCCTGGTGCACTCAGACTCCACCTCTGCAGTGAGAACCCTGTGTCCGCTTGGCCGAGTCCCTGGACCTGATTGGGCTAACAGCCTGAGATGGCACCGGTGAAGACTCTGAGGAAAGTGGAGAATCATCACATAACCTTGCAGCACAGCGTTATGTTAGCTGAGGAGTCCGTACAGCTGTAGTGGGGCTGGGATACAGACTGACACCCAGGAGGAAGACTTGACATTTTAGTCCTGGATGATGCTGCCAGGAGAAAGACAACGGTGGGAACCTTGTGGCTTCATTCAGTAAGGGAGGTGCTACTCCACTCATAACGCTGTACTGAAGTTCAGGTATCATCTTCCCTTAGACAAATGTTGATTACCAATTAGATACTTAATTGTGGTGGAAAAAATAAACATATCTGTTAAATATTTTCCAAATACTGTGTTTTCCATACTCTCCTTTCCCTACATCGGCCATTTTAAACTTGGAATGTATCTTACAATGTGGTACTTTAGTTTTCCTTGTAAATTTGTGATTGAATTTGCTGTCTTCTAATCTGTGTATCTCCCAATTCTAAACCATTTGAAATTTGAGATAAAAGGAGAAGGAAGAAAGATAAATCACACAGATGAACAAAAAAAAAAATCTCTACATACTGATCAATTAGCAGTGGTGCAGAAGTTCTCAGCTGTGTTTTCAACAAGATGATCTTAAAAAAAAAAAAAAGTAAACCCAGAGGGTTTCTTTTCTAAGGCCCTAATTAATAGTCACTCCTGTCTCCCTGGGGCCAGTGGAAGGGTTTAAAGGGGGACTAACGACGTTGCTTTTATACTTTTCCCAACTGGGAGTAGAATGGAAGTTTCCACCTTTCTTTGGAAACTTTGAGGGATGGGAAATCATTGTCTTTTTCTATCATCGGAATTAAGGAAAATGGTAGAATATACAAAACATTGTCTGTGAAGTAGCTAAATTGGAATTTTTTAAAAAAGAAAAATATCATGATATTTTTATTCTAAAACACTTGTAAGCCTAAATATAGACTTTGGAACCAGTGAAGGAATCAGAGGGTTATTACCCCATAGGCTAGGGGAAAGCACATCCTTGCCCTGAAGCATCTGAAAACCTCATCTCCTTTTTGCCAACTCACTTGGGCAGCTATAGCTAAAAGCACTCAGACCTCCAATAATTGATATTTTTTAAAGCATTTACTTAAACCTGCTTAGAGGTCACTTTGGAGATGGAATAAAACCAAGGAAGTATTTAAAACATACTGTATATTTAATTAATGAACATTTCTATTTAAGCTTCAATGAAAAGTGTGTGAGGTGGTTTACAGAGATTGTTCTTGAAGAGATGTTGTTATTCAACAGAAGGCACAATCTAATGATCAGAGGAGGGCTACATTCTTAGCTATCTTTTAGATACGCAAAGCCCGCAAAACATCTGAAAAGTTGGCCAATGAGTTCTTTGCCATATTTTTATTCTAAGAATTCACCTCTTTAAATCAAGCACCAATAATATAAAATCCCCAGAAAGAAAGAATGGCTGAACTCATACTGAGAACAGAACCTTCCTCACTAATAAAATGTGACACATATTTAATATCCTAGCTTCATGGCTACTGTTCTTTCTTTCTTTCTCTTTCTTTCCTTCTTTCTTTCTTCCTTTCTTTCTTTCTGTCTTCTTTCTTTCTTCTTTCTTTCTTTTTCTTTTTTTTTATTATTATTATACTTTAAGTTCTAGGGTACATGTGCACAACGTGCAGGCTTGTTACAAATGTATACATGTGCCATGTTGGTGTGCTGCACCCATTAACTCATCATTTACATTAGGTATTTTTCCTAATGCTCTCCCTCCCCCCTCCCCCCACCCCACAACAAACCCTGGTGTGTGATGTTCCCCACCCTGTGTCCATGTGTTCTCATTGTTCAATTGCCACCTATGAGTGAGAACATGTGGTGTTTGGTTTTCTGTCCTTGGCAATAGTTTGCTCAGAATGATGGTTTCCAGCTTCATCCATGTTTCTACAAAGGAAATGAAGTCATCCTTTTTTATGGCTATTGTTCTTAAGATTTAATATCTTAGCTCTATGGCTATTGTTCATGGCTTTATTATTTATAGACAATCATTTTTATATTTATGGGAAATATTTTTATGTCAAAAATCTTGTGATTGGATGAATTCAGGGTGACATTTTTGTTATTACATAATGAGGATGTTTAAAATGATAACCTAGTTACCCCATTCAGGAAGTATCTGAACACAGAAATTTAGTATTTTCTTTGAAGGTCAGTTGTGAGATTAAGTTGTAATCTGGTTACACTACATCTGTTGTGAGAGGATTTTCTGTTTTGTTTTGTTTAACCAGACGTTATTTTCAAAAGTTCAATTTTCATGGGCAAAAGGCATTCCATTAAAAGCTGATCACTTTCAAAGTGCTGGATTAAAAGATGTTTTCAAAATTAAATAACATTCTATTAGAAATGTAAGACATAGTACTTGTTTTCCAAAACTTATAAAGTCATTAGCTGTCTCTGTGACCTTGGTAAGGATACCTTCAACTTTCCTTATCTTCAGATTCCTACAGTGAAAAATCGAGAGGGTTGGATCAAATGACTACTAAGGCTTGCTCCAGTTCTAATTCAGAGTTCAGAATGATCTCAGTGCAATTTGGATAAAATAATTGTAAAGAACATGATGTACTTATACGCTAAGATGTGTTGCATACAAACATTCAACGTGTATGCATAAAAATTGTGTTGATCTAAGTTTGAAGAAGGAAGAATATCTGTGATATTCTTGCTGGGACAACCAAAGCAGCCTTCTAAATTGTGTCTGTTGTTAGTCGAATCCTTTTAATCTGCTGCTTCTCTGACTGTCTACTTTCTCCAGTCCACATAGGCAGTGCTTCTCCACTGTGTACAGGCTGAGATCCAGCGTTGCAGAATGGTCACCACCTTCTCCACTGTGTACAGGCTGAGATCCAGCATTGCAGAATGGTCACCACCCATGGATTCTGACCCAGGGACCTTGAAGGCAGCTCCCGTGCTTCTCCAGCTCTGGCACCTACTTGTACATTACGCCCATTTGCCCTTTCTTGCCTGTACCCTCTGTTTTTCTGTCCCTATTCCTTTTCCATACTACCCCCTCTCTGCTTCTTGCATATCTCGACATCTATAAAAAAATTCTTGCTGCTAGGACCTTGATTTTTTTCCTTGGGAGACTTCATGATTGCAGTTAGAAGTGATCTTTTGTGTATGTGTGTGTGTGTGTGTGTGTGTGTGTGTGGGTTGGAGTGGAGAATGCTTTTCTTTTTCCCCCTACTTTTGCACCTAGGGTCATAGAGAAGGGACTTCCCGCCATTACCCTAATTCTGCGGGAAAAATTTGGAGAGGGTGTTCCTGTTGTTCTTTCTACCATTTCTTATCGGGGGCATCCGTGACGCATTGAGCAGGACAGTTCTTCATTTTACAAGACTGTGCTGCTCATTTCAGGACAATTTGGTATCCCTGTCACCGTGTGAACCTCTTTCAATTTTAACCTCTTCTTTCCCACAGTGGTGTCATCTGACTCTCTTGAGGACAACTGAGTCCCCTTACTTGCTCCTCCTTCCAGGAGACGGATCGATTAATCTGGTGAGTTTGGTGAGAACCTGGCATTCATTAGCTATGGTGCTCCAGTGAGCAGGGTGAGGTGCCGAAACTCAGTTTTCAGGCAGGATATATTTGTTCTTTTTTTGCTTTTTCACTCTGGTATGCTGCACTTGGGACCTCTCCAGGCGTTACACATGCTAGGGTCTGGTTCAAGCAGCTGGGTGGGCAGCTCCTCTGCCTGGCTTCATGCCAATCCTGTAGTTAGGCTGTGGAGGAAGGGTGGTGGTCCTCCTTGATTCATTGTAGTGTATCAGAGAGTCTGCTGCCTGGAGCAACTGGGCATTTGCCACCCATTGCTAATGACTTGGACACTGGCAACCACACATTGCAGTTTGCATCCATTCCCTTCCCTTTCAGCAAGGTCCCAGTGGACTGGAGAATGTTTTGGGTATCGGCATCCTCAAAAAACTTAGAAATTTTTTAAAGCACTTATCTAGTTCCTATCTAAGTATGTTGCAAACTTCTTGTGGTCTAGGATTAGGTATTACTGACTCTCTTTATCCCCTAAAACCCTCAGTGCATTGTTCATTGTAGGCACTCGGTTTACGAATTGAATAATAGTAGCTGAAGCTTATTAAGTGCTTAGTATATGCCAGGCAGTATTTTAAAGGCTGCATGTGGATTAAATCATTTAATACACAAAACAATCCTCTGAGGTAGTTACGGTTATTATATCCCCTTACAGATTAGAACACACGGGGTCAAAGAGGTTAAGAAACTGGAGATCTAAGGGACACGGTTTGAAAATGAACCTACTACATGATCTCTTCCAGCCACTTATTAAATGTGTTCTTTTTCCCTAAAGTGCTGCTAGCCGTTTTGTTATCACCAGTTTTAGTTTGTTCCTTGAAGACACTATTCTATGGCCTCACTCCAGAGCCAGTCTGAGTGATTTCAAGGTTTAGCTGTGTCATTTGCTAACTGAGTGACCTTGAGAAGGTTTCCATGCGGGGGAGGTGTGTGCATCTGTGCAGTATGTGTGTGTACATGCATACAGGGGTTCTGTGCAGTGTGTGTGTGTGTACATGCAGGTACGGGGTCCATGCAGAGTGAGTGCGCGTGTGTGTGTGTGTATGCATACAGGGGTTCCGTGCAGTGTGAGTGCGTGTGTGTGTGTGTATATGCATACAGGGGTTCTGTGCAGTGTGTGTGAGTGCGTGTGTGTGTGTATATGCGTACAGGAGTTCCGTGCAGTGTGAGTGCGTGTGTGCCTGTGTGTATATGCATACAGGAGTTCCGTGCAGTGTGTGTGTGTGCGCGTATGCGTACAGGGGTTCCGTGCAGTGTGTGTGTGTGTGTGTGTGCCTGTGTGTATATATGCGTACAGGGGTTCCATGCAGTGTGAGTGCGTGTGTGCCTGTGTGTATATGCATACGGGAGTTCCGTGCAGTGTGAGTGCGTGTGTGCCTGTGTGTATATGCGTACAGGGGTTCCGTGCAGTGTGAGTGCGTGTGCGTATGCATACAGGAGTTCCGTGCAGTGTGTGTGTGTGTGTGTGTATGCGTACAGGGGTTCCATGCAGTGTGTGTATGTGTATATGCATCTATGGGGGATCCATGCAATGTGTGTGCACAAACCCACATGGGGTCCATGTCAAGCCCTCGGGGAGAATGAGGTACCCCATGTGCTGTCCTTACTGTAATCAATTCTATACACTCGTCTCTTGTGAGTGATGCCCTTTTTAAAATGGCCCAGCTGCTAAAAGAATTGTTTAAAAACCAGACAGAACAACACAAATTGCCTGGAGTAATTGGAATTGTATTGTTTTACAGACTTCCTAAGGTGAGTATGTCAGTCATTCACTCTGTTAAGGAAACCACTATGTGATGAACAGTTATCTCACTAACAATAAAAATTAGGTTGGATCCTTTTCCTAGGAGGTTAATAAACAGTCTACTCAATTGTCAAAAGCATAGAAATACAACACATCCATAGTGCAGAAAGCGTTTTCAAAAGAAGGCTGTTAAAAGGCCTGGTATTAGCAAGGAAGGTATGTTTGGTGGTGGCTACAAATCACATTTCTGCTTTATCTTCCGTCCTTAAATGCTCCAACTATCAAATCAGGAGGTGTCCTTGCTACTTCCTTCAGCTCCCATAGATCAGAACTTACATTCACATATTTTTTTGCATCTACGACACTTCAAGGTTCTTTCACCTCTCACACTTCGTTGGGTATTGTACGGCCCCTCCGCAGAAAACCCATGAGTTTTGTGTGTTATATTTACTACATCTGATCCTGTAATATGGTCAAATGTAATGTGGGAGTAATGGCATCTTCCAGATACTGAATTCATGGGCTCATAACAAATAAAAGTTGGCAAAACTTCAAGGACAAATGAATAATTACATAGATGCCTTGAGAGAATTATAAGGCAAAGTGTACAGAGAAGAGAGAAGAGCACTGTTTAATCACTGGATAGATTTAGTTTCAGAGTCGATATGATTTCAGAACAGGATTTTTTTTTTTTAGTTACTGCAACAGGCTGAGAAAGAACATATAAAAGAGAGCAAATTATTTAAAGATTAGAAACAAGATGAAAATTCATAAACTCATCTGAATACACACTTCTCACTGCCAGCTGAATCTAAAAGTTCTGTGGCGTTTGGTTAACTTATGCTAACTGCAAGATATCCTAAAATAAGTTTGTCAGCTCCAGTTCACCTTTCAATTTTCAGTACAAATCCACTTGTAATTGGGAAAACAAATTAGACATAGATTGTTGCCTCTGCCCTAGAATTTAAAGAAATGGCTTAAATAAATGCCTAACCAATTAATTAAAGAAAATTATTCTTGGCAGAATGAACTCTGAGAGATACTTAAAGAAGTATCTTTCAAATTTCATTTGTCAATTGTACAATAATTTCATAGCTGTTTAATATGATGCTTGTATCTATGTGTTTATACTAAATTCTAGCAAAGTGTAATAAGCAATACATTCATGGTTTCGTGTGCTAGGGACCATTATTTTTTCATCCCAATAGTTGATTGCTAAATAAATATACCACAGAACCTCAATGGGGGTAGGGGTTAGGTCAGCCCATTAAAACCAGAAAGAAAAAAACAGTATTTATGAACAAAATGTTCCAATCTTCTGAAAGATCAAGTCCAAATTAAACTTTTGGTTGGAAGCAAATGGTAAACACAGGTAGAATTGGTTATAAAATTACTTTAAAAATTAGTCATTTCTTCTTAGAAAAAAATTTACCTCACATACAAGAGTATGAGTGTAGGTTTTACCTTTATAGCAATATATAATTTGTTTGGAAACTGAGTTATAACTAGAGGTAGACACATCATTTTGCTACTTTCAAATTAGCCAGCATCCAATGACAGTAATGGAGCAAGAAAGGTCATCTCTATTTCCGTCTTACTTTGTGTTGTGATAACTTCCCAGCCATCCTGAGATTTATGTAAAAATCTTAAAATCCATCTAGAGCTCACCAAAAAGCCTTCAGCGCACCAGACGGGCCTCAGATACCCTGGGTCAAAGATGGATCAGAAACACACCAGAGGGAAAAGCTCCAGGTGATACAGCCCCCGCGAAGAATCTTTGGCTATCTTCTTCAACAGGGAATTCTTAACCATCACAAGCAAATTAGCAGACTCACACTATTAATGATAATTCAACTATTTTCCTAATCCTAAATGAAAGGTAAACCAATTTAGAGAATATCACAAACTCCCCTGAAATACTAAAACACGAAGGAGGATGAAGTAATGAATTCCTGGGTTTCCAGGGGCCATAAAACCTGGAAAGGACAAGTGCAGACAACTGAAACTTCTCTTCCAGAGCTAATTTTTGCTCATTATCTTATGTTTTATGGTCAGCAATTCCGACTGGGCCTTGACAAACACTTGCTCATAGCCAGTTGGCTGTGTCAGCTGAAGGAGAGGTTGCCTGAGAGATTTCTCATCGGTTGTGCTTTGAATCAACGTGGCCAATGTTGGAATGCCAGGAGGGTGTGCAGCTGTGAGCAGGGCCAGCTTCACAGGTGCATCCAGAAGACTCCAAAGCTTGTTTTCCTGACAAGGCCTGGGTATAATTTTCCTAGTTTGACAAAAGCTGACTGTCAGAGCAATCTGTTCATTTGACACATTTGTTCTCAGCAGAATATGAAGAGCAGGTAACAGAGCAAGGGAATGGACAGTTTCAGCATGTTCAGCAAGAAGAGATCCTGTGTTAAAACGTGCAGCATTCTGGGGAAAGGATTTGTGTTTTATGCGTGGCCAGAGAACCTGGTGTTAAATGTGAATTCTCAGTTCCCACTGATTCACGTGTCTGTGGAAAAGGGACCTATGGGGCATACAGGATCAGGGTCCTTCATAAACACTGTAACAAAAACCTAGAAATTCTCTATTAATAGTCCTCATTTCTTCTCTCCACAAATCTGAGAAGTCAAATGGCTCCAAGAAAATGTATTGCTAGTTTTTGCTCAAGGATCGTGACTTGTGAATTTATTTTAAATAATGTTTTACCAGAAAGTATACAGATGTATAAAATACCAATGGTAGGTAGCTGGTTTTTAATTTTGGAAATGAATTTGGAGATCCAGTGTTTCCATTTATTCGATTCATTTTCTCACAATGCCTACACTCTTTTGAGTTATGCAGAGGGCTTATTGGCATTCTCACACTTAGTCCCAGAATGAATGCATCATTCAAACAAGTAACGTTAGACCTCGATGTTTATGAGCTTTGAACTAGCATGACTGTGCTTGCATAGAGACAATTAAAGGGAATTGAGTTCACAAGCTCCCTGAGATTTAGAATCTGTGGGAGAAATGAAACCGAGGCTAAAACAGGAACAGCTGTTTTTTCACTACCGCTCACCCTGGTTCAATTTTCTAATTAATTTTGTGTTCATAACTTTAAGATGTAAATTATTCCTGTCTAGCGTCCCTTTCCATGTGAGATACGGCTTGGACCCTTTCAAAATTTCACATTTCACATGGGAGGAGGGTTTTCTGAAAGCCATGAAAGGAAACATTAAAAGCAGCCAGCTGACTTTATTGCAGAAGAACCAAAGGTCAGAGGAGTTTGCACTTTGCTTAACTGTAAAGGCTGCTGTTCTTGTAATGAGGGTGCTAGGAAGAAAGCGGGGCGAGTAGCGGGTGTCACTGTCTTGGGCTGGCCTCGGGTCCAAGCGCAGAGGCTGCCCCGATTCCCCAGTCTTGTTAGAGTCATTGCAGCTCACACCTTCTCTGGCATTCAACCAGAAGGAGTTGAATGCTCAACACCAGGTGAAGCTCATTCCTGTGGTTAAGGATTTCCCAGAACAGGCTCATCATTAGATGATTTCCAACACAATTTATCATTTTCCTCATTCTTTCTTCTCCCTCCAGTTTTTTGTTTGTTTTTAAATCCCTCCCTGGGTATACTACAAGGCACAGCTGTGAACAAAGATGTCGCAGAAAAAAAAATTTACTCTTCAACTGCCCTTCATAACGACAATTTCCAAATGCTCAGTGACATATCAATTGGATAGCTTCAGGGAACCCATCCACAGGTAAGGGCAAATTAAAAACTGTTTTCAGAGGGGAAAAAAAGTGCTGCCAAGCCCAAAGGCTTCATAAGAGTCATGGGGACTAAAAGCTGAAGAGGCCTTGGGAGTCATCTCTGTGTGCAGAAGAGAAACTGGCGGCCCTGGGAGGTGAAATGGACTGCCCCTGATCAAACAGATCAACAGTGGGTGGAGTATCGTCCCAACCCAGTGCTCTTAGGAAGAGTCAGAGTGATGGTGGGGGCAGTAGGGAAGACACTAGTTGAGGCAGCAGAAAAAATATTAGAACGGCTGTCAGAGGCAGCCTCTTTTGACCTGTGCCTGGATACTGTGTCATGTGCAAATTCGGTAAGCTGATGCGTGTCTGCTCATATTAAAAATTGTTTCTTATGCTGATTACCTACGAACTTCTTTTCAGGATGGTATCAATCAATTATGTTTTTTCTTAAAAAAAAAAACCTCTCACATTTTTGAATCCTGTGAAAATTATAGTATGGGAGACCCTCAGATGTCATTCTGAGATCAACCAGGTATAATAATCTGAGAAACCTAGTTCATGATAAAATTGTGTTGCCTTTTGTTATTATTACTTTTTTCACTATAATATTCAAAATCTATCTCTTTAATAGCCTGCTTTGAAATTTGGCAAAAGAATATCAGGCTCACAGGTCTGCTCTGTGATTCTTCAGTTCTCTTTCGGCTAGAGAATATTTTCAGTCTTTTCCCGTCTTCCCTGAAGTGCTCCTCACAGTCCCCGAATGCAGCCCAGCAATCTTCCCACCAAGGGACCTCAATGCTCTGGAGGTGTGGACTCTGAGGGTGGGACCACCCAGGCTCTGCCGGGCACACACCCCAGTGGGAGACTGGGGCAAATGAAGGGAGGCAGCTGAGACAGTGACCATGGGAGAAATGATGGTTCCTCTTGTGGATATGAGCCCGAGACACTTGGTTTTCCTGGGGGCTCCAGCAGAGGTTTAAGCAGCAGATCTTTGAGAAGCAATGAAAACTGACTTCCCTGTGGTCCCAGAGATTCTGCAAGCTCTCTAGCACCCTGTAATAAAGAACTTCAGCTTGAATTAGGCTGCTTGGGCTGTCACAACAAAATACTATAGACTGTGCGGCTTAAATAATAGAAGTCTATTTTCTCACAGTTCTGGAGGCTGTAGCTCGTCGGTGAAGGTCTGGTAGATTGGTTTCTGGTGAGGGCTCTCTTCCTGTCTTGCAAGTGGCTGCCTTCTCGCTATGTCCTCACATGGAGGAAAGAGAGCGAGCTCGCTGGTTGCCTTTCTGTAAAGATACCAACTTTATCAACTCAGGGCCCCATCCTTGCAACCTCATTAACCCTTAGTTACATCCAAGAAGGTCCTATCTCTGTATATAGGAACAGTGAGGGCGAGGCCTTCAACACAAGAATTTTGAGGGAGAAACGATTCAGTCCATAGCAGTTTAAATCCACCAGAGTGAATTCTATTTATGGCAATGAAGAACACTGACCAACATACACAGGGTATAACTTCTGTGTTTTAAAATTTGAACTTATTTGGAAGAGCTAGACGCTACCATACAATCTTCTGCATTAACTTGATTTTGGTGATTTTTTTATCAATGTCAATTCTGCTACCTTCTTCTCAGCAGTAAGAGTAGAAATAAAACAAGAGTTGAAGATGTCTGTTTTCTCTCTTTTTACAGTTAACATATAATTTTAAATTTAAAAGTTTTATAAAATTTATTGGGACATGATTTGCATATAATAAAAATAATGCACCTATTTTAAACACAGAGTATAATACATTTGACCAATGTATACACCCACATACAATAGACACACCCATTGTAAACACACCAATGTATAGGCCCATGACAATGTATACAACAAGGTAACCACCATCACATTTTAGATATAAGAATATTTTCACCATTCTGAGACATCCTTTTTGGTCCCTTCCAAATGACCTTCCCGACCACTCATCCCACACAAACCCTGATCGAATTTCTATCACCACATATCACTTTAATCTGTTCTAGAACTTCGTACAAATAGGATCATATAGTCTGTAGTGTTTTAATCTGAATTATCTCACTGAAGTAGTTTTGAGGGTATGTATGCATTCTGTTTTGTTGTCGAGACACATCCCTTGGTATGCCATCATTTGCTTCTCCATTGGCCTATTCATGGATATTTGAGTTGGTTTCAGTTTGGGGCTATTATGAATAAAGCTGCCGTGAACATTTAAGTACAAGCTTTTTTTTACGGACATAAGCTTTCATTTCTCAGTAATAAAGTTGGGTCATAATATAAGTTTATATTTAACTTTATAAAAACATGCTAAATATTTTCAAAGTAGTTACAGTAGTTTACATTCCCATAAATAGTATGCGAGAGGTCCAGTTGGTCCATATTTTCACCAGGGCTTGCTATTATCAGTATTTTGTTCAGCCATGCTAGTGAGCACGTAGTCACACTTGTTACGTGTGTTTTTAATTTTGCATTTTTTGAGTATTAAAGATGTTGATGACCTTAGGTGCCATTTTTTTATGTTTCATATAGCTCCATGGATAAACTAAAATGTGTAACTTTTTTTTTACTTTTAATTTTTCCCCTTATTCTGGCTTCAGTATATTTTAAAAGAAACTCATAATTTTACTGCATATGTGTACTTGGTAATGTTTAAGTCTTGCGTGTCTTATTCAAAGCCTTTCAAATTTGAGCTCATTAGAAAAATCCTTCTGATGATTTTTAAGTGCATTTTTATTTTCTTCCTCGTAGTAAAGTTTACAAGAAGACCCAGAATTCCCTTTGAAATGCTCTTCTTGCCTTGCAGAGCATTTTCTGACTTTTTTTGAAATTTGCCTTATAAGTTTATAAACTTAAGGCATAAATTAGACCATAACTAATTATAATTTTATATTAATTTAATCACTCATTTATTAATTCAACAAAAATTGTTATGCATTAACTCTGTGCCAGGCATTATTCCTGGCAAAGATGACAGAGTGATGACCAAAGAAGGCAAATCATATAGTATTGGAGGAAGATTCTAGATGTTCTGTGACCAACTCAATAGTCCTATCTTAATTAACTACTGTTTGGTTGTTTAAACATATTTATCAAGCATGTTTGCATATGCAAGGCACTGCAGAGAAGCTAAATGAATGAATAAATGCAAGGAGGTTTCAGTATTTTATAGGAAATAGTTCTCAGTTGAATGAAACACATGTGCCAGGAACGTCTCTGGTACTGTGGATACCATTGTCAGGAAAACAAGACATGATCCCAGTCTTCGCCTAGTGGTGGGACGGGGAGGTAGACCCCATTCAGATCAGCAGGTAGACCTGGAATGAGAGTCTGTGACAGTGTGCTGTCCGAATGTGTAACAGGGAGTCCTGATATGGCAGGTGGTGTTTAGGGAAGATGCTGTGGAAGAGAAACATCTGAGCCAGTTACCTTTAAGAAGGCCAGTTACCTTTAAGAAGGAGTTAACGGAATAAGAAGGGAGAGAATGTTTAGACCCTGATTCAGAGGAAACACAGCATGTTAGAGGAGGTGGAAATGGCCAGCGTGTTTGGAGTTAGAGGTCAAGGCATGCACATGGCCTTCAATGTGGTCTTCAGTGCCCTGCAATCTAGCTCCTGCCTCCAATTCTCCACTGAGACCATGCCTGCCAAGGTCAATAATGACCTTCTAGCTGTGAACCTCAGTGAATGGATGCTTCTCATTCTTCACGCTACTTGGACTCTTTCCAATGCTTACCACTCTCTCCATTAAAATGTCCACCTTGATTTTAAAATGCCACAACAGATGATCTTTCTACTCCCTGCATGACTCCTTCTCAATCTCCCCCTCTTCTGCATGACATACGAGCCTCTCTGGATTTCGGCCGCTGTCAATCTCTTCAGTGCTCTGCCTGTCCCCATTTAGTCATGCGTGATGTCATCTCACGTCATGTCTTCCGACGAGGAAAGTGCCCGGCTCTGCTTCAGTAATTACCATAGCTGAAATGGATCTCTAGGACTTTAGAAATAATTGTATATCCAAGCTTCACTTACATATACTTTTTTCCTATTTCATATTTGTAACCTAAGTAGATGTTGCTAATTAAAGCTTTATCTTTGTTTACTTATAATGTATCTAGACACCACACTAGATGCTGCTATGAAACAAAATACGAAAGGTTTCTTTTGTACTTGTCCTTGAGGATTCCACTCACTGGCAACTCTTTCCAGGAAACGTTTCCTGAACGTCGATGCTCCACCAGGTAACCTCATGATGAGGCCTCAGTGACACGTGCTTTCCTCTTGAGTATTTTATACCACATTGTATGTATCAGTTTATTTGATTATCTTCATTTCCAAATTGTGATATCCTCCTTTGTAAACCACAATGCTTAACACAGCATCTGGCAAGGAGCAGGAACATAATAGGTGCACGCGCGCACACACACACACACACACACACACAGAGTTTATCCTCATTCTACACATATTCCACATTTGCAAATTTGCCTACTGACTAAAATTTCTTCGTGATACCCAAGTCGACAATGTGGTTCTTTCACAGCCATTCCCCGTGAAAAGGCACATGAAAAATGGTGGAAGATTTGCCACCCAACGTGCATGTTCCCAGCTGAGGTAGAAGAAGGGGATGCTCTGCCTTCCCGCATCAGCTCGCATACTGCAAGTGAATGTCCTTTTGGCAGCCTTTACCGTGCTGTGCTTTTTGCATTTTTGTGCTTTTTGTTTGCAACTTTTTTGTTTGAGGTGGTCCCCGAGCATAGTGTGGAAGTGCTGTCTAGTGTGGCTAAGCACAAGAAGGCTGTGTGTGCCTCACGGAGAAAACAGATGTGAAAGATAAGCTTCACTCAGGCATGAATGCTGTTGGCCATGAGCTCAAAGTTAATGAATCACAACATGTATTAAATAAGGTGACTTTAAACAGAAACACACAAAACAAGATGATGTATTGATACATTGACAAAAATGTGACCAGGATAGGAGCGGGCAAAAAAATACTAACCAAAGGCCCGCAGGGGTTTAACCCTGTATTTTCCATGAGAGCAACGGTTCAGTATTCATGGTTCAGTATTCACAAACTCAGCATTAGCAGCAGCTTCAGAGAATGAACCTACAGCAAATAATGAAAATTTACTCTATATATGTGTGTGTGCATATTACATATGTGTGTATACATAATGTGAAGACAATAAAGCAGAAATAAATAATATACAATGGTTGTGCAAAACAGGGAAAGACTATAAATATCTGATTGAAAACATCAGAATATGTTTCATAGGGAAGTTGCTATCCATGATAACCCTTGAATAAAGTACAGAATTTCAACAGATATAACTGAAGCTAAGAAAATCCTAATGGAAAGTGAGAAAACAAAGTCATGAATTTGGGCAAGTTCAGGGATATGTACACAGCCTAGCTCAAGGGATATATACACAGCCTAGCTCAAGGGATATATACACAGCCTAGCTCAAGGGATATATACACAGCCTAGCTCAAGGGATATATACACAGCCTAGCTCAAGTATAAAGTACAGAAAGAGGTAAGTTCCATATTGTGTTCAACATCTCCTAGGAGGGAAAATGTATGTGGTTTATTTAATAGTCATTGTTAATTCAATAGTCTGTCTTGGGTTTAAAATGGCCTCTGATATTCTTTCCTAACTTTTCAGTCAAACATATGTTAAGATGTTTTCAAAAGACAACATTCACAACCACCTAAAGCAAATGTGACAATCAACACTACCAGAATTTGTTAGAAATTTCCAGCAACTACAAAGACAATAGAACTTATTATTTCCTGAAAACAAGAGCTACTGGTTTGGGCTCAGAAATGCAACGACTTCCCTAGATTATCCGGCAATGGCCGCTTTGTGTCTATGCTGCCTGCAGGGCAGCCAGAACCCAGCCTTCTTCCTTCCTCTTTTAGACACATTAATGTAGTCTAGTCTTCAGAAACAGGTGGGGGTAAAGAAAAGCAGCTTTGGGAATGATGCTATCACCCTATCTCCTGGGTTGTGTATATTTGGCCTTAGACCCTGGGGATTGGTCTAGAGGGTCAAGCACATAAACAATTGGGCTTTTATAACTCACGTGTGACTGAGCAGGAAGCAGGGGCAGTTGAAATCCCTAAAGGGAAGACTCCTGTGAAAAGGACAGCAGGAGGGAGGAGCTATGCACTTTGTTGGAGGGTGTACCCAATCCCAGGGGAACACACAAGAAATAAGCTCAGGGAATTAAGCCTACAACCTCACACTTTTCTCTCCATTTGTGTTGGAGGGTGTACCTAATCCCAGGGGAACACACAGGAAATAAACTCGGGGAATTAAGGCTGCAATCTCAGACTTTTCTCTCCATTTGTGTTGGAGGGTGTACCTAATCCCTGGGGAACACACAGGAAATAAACTCAGGGAATTAAGGCTACAACCTCAGACTTTTCTCTCCATTTGTGTTGGAGGGTGTACCTAATCCCAGGGGAGCACACAGGAAATAAGCTCAGGGAATTAAGGCTACAACCTCAGACTTTTCTCTCCATTTGTGTTGGAGGGTGTACCTAATCCCAGGGGAGCACACAGGAAATAAGCTCAGGGAATTAAGGCTACAACCTCAGACTTTTCTCTCTATCTGTGTTCTTGTCCTTTGGTGAATCTAACCAAAAGCCAGAAGGCAAGGGAGCATTTCAATTTACTCTCTATTGATCAGTTTCCTGAGGGATGGAGGAGGGTGGAGAATGGATATGGAATTGCTAAAGCAGGGAACACACACACATGCAAACATACACATACACACACACACACATTCTTTCTGTCTCTCTGTCTCTCCCTCAAAAGAATGATTAGATAGATGATAGATGATAGATAGATAGATAGACATAGATAAATATATGGTAGAGGTGATATCTATGCCCTCGAGTTTCTTAAATTGTGTTATATATTGTAGTATAATATGAAGTATAATTCAATTTAAAATGTAATAAGCCAGTAGTCCAGTTTCCTACTCACTGAAATTAGTTATTAAGATTGATTAATTAATCTAATTCCTTAGATTTAAGAGAATGGTCAAATATGTGTCTTCAATCATTTCAGGGTAGAGCTGCCTAAAGCTAGAACACCTGGCTCTTCAAATATACTATTGGCCCTGTATGCCTTTTGTCCTGAGTTAGAAAATGATACCTTTCCAGAACTGTCCTGAATGAGATTACCAAGTAAAAATATTCTAATGCCACGTTTACAGACTTCCTGTTAGAATCTCCGTCTGACATATAAAGAGCTTAGAGGCAAACACTTTGTTCTTACAATAAGAAAAAAACTGAACAAACTATAAATCAATTACTTTTCTTAGACTCCTTGAAGACCTGAGGTCACAGGGCTGCCTGGTGCCCAAAGCTGAAGATGCAGCTGAATGCAGATCATCATGACCAAGATCAGCCTCCCTAGAGCAGGAGCAGTTGGAGTCATAAACCTGCATGGACATGTAGGTGGTAATTTTGATGAATTGCTGGAGGCTGAATGCAGACTGTTCTGAGAGTGAAAACTTTCTGGAGACCCTAGTGTTAGGGCCCCCTTTTCACTGCCCCAACCCAGTTGGAACTCGGAATGCCACCAGGGTCTCAAGGTGGAAAGCAAGAGAGATCCCCTGGTGCTGTGGCAGAAGGAAGGGAAAGGTAATCTTTATAAAACATGCCCAGGGTCTTCTCTATAACAAAAGCCTACTCTCCGGGAAAAAAAGACTGCCAGGGCCCCATTCCTCCTGGGGCAAGAATATATCTATAAGCCAGCCACTTCTTGCTTTCTTTTATCACCATTGAGGGAGGAAGGAAATCTAAGAAACACTTATAAAGGTCACAGCCCTGGGACAAAGTGCCACTAAAACACTCATACTTACACACGAGACTACAGTGTGCTTCTCTCCCCAACATTTAACTGCAACACCAACAGACTCCAGTGTATTAACAATTGATTCCAGGTGAAAGAGCTGAAAGACAGGCTTTATCTTACAGAAACACTAAAACAACCAAAGACACAAAAACAAGGCCACCAGAGGTATTTGAAACCTCTGGCATCCATAGCTACAACAAACACTAAACAAAGTCCAAGACCTGCCAAATTGACATAAATCCTCGCACTGAAGACCAATTTACCAAAGTTCCCATGTTGTGTGTGTGTATGTGTATACTTATATGTAATGTATGTGTTGGTATTTATATATGTATAGATATAGATGTACACCTATTGATGTATATCTGTATGTTTATATATACCTCTATCTCTATTTTCTATGTATCTCTATCTTTCTACCTATTTACTGGCTTTCATCAAATATTACAGACAATGCCAAGAAAAATTATAGATTGAAGATACAAGGCAAGCATTAGAATCAGTATCAGAAAGACGAATTTTGGAATTAGCAAACAGGAAATGTAAAGCAACTATAATTAATATCTTAAGGAATCTAATAAAAAATCAAATAACGTGTCAAAACAGATACATGTTAGCTGAGTGAAGGAGACTTTAAAAATCAAAAGAAAATGTTGGAAATCAAAGCCACAGTAACAGAAATTAAGAGTGCCTTGATGATCTCCACAGTAGATTGAAATAGCTGAGGAAAAAAACTAATGAGCTTGAAGATATGTCAATAGAAACATTCCAAACTGAAATGCAAGTAGAAAATAAGCGAGAAAAATAACCCCAGAACATCCAACAGCTGTGGGACAATTTCAAAAGGCAAAACATACGTTTAACTTGATTACCAAAAGACAAAAAAGAGAGAATAGAGCAGAAGAAATATTTGAAGTAATGATGGCAAAGCACTTTCCAAAATGTACGGAAGACATGAAACCACCTATCAGGTTAGCTCAGAGAACATCAAGAAGATAAATACTGGAAAACAAAGCCCTACTTCTAGGGGTATCATATTTAAACAGTAGAAAAGCAATTTCAAAAAGAAATCTTGAAAGAACCGGGGGCAAGGGCCATTTTATCTATAGAAAGGCAAGGATAAGAATTACAGATGACTTCTCATCAGGAATCATGCAAGCAAGAGGATTGTGGAGGGGAGAGGATAATGAAAGAAGAAGAAACACCAACATAAAATTCTATAACAAGAGAAATGATTCTTACAGAGTGAAGAAGAAATAAAGACTTTCTCAGAGAAACAAAAACTGGGAGTGCTCATGACCAGAAGACCTGCCCTGAAACTAATGTGAAAAGAAGTTCTTCAGGAAGAAGGAAAATAATATTGGTCAGATACTTGGATCTGCATGAAGAAAGGAAGAGTGCTGGAAAGGAGAACACGAAGGTAAAATTCAATCTTTTACTTTTCTCATTCCTAACTGATCTAAAAGGTAACTTGATTTAAATCAGTAATAGTAACAACGTGTTGAGTGATTATAGCATGTGGATAAGTGAAATGCATGGCCACCTATCACAGAGATATGAAGGAGCCATTGGAAATACTCTGTTACTTGTGTAGGACAGTTCTCCAGGCAGTCTTGGACTGACCCAGTTAACTTCCCTTTCTCACTTATAGTTCTTGAGAACAACTGTAGAACGTCGTTCTATAACTACAGAAATGCAACATCCTGGTATAAGGAGAGGATGGCTGGAACAGTCCCTCCTCCCCACAAATAGAATGTTCTTCAACACTTCAGCCCAGCACTTCATGTGACTCTTGGGGTGTAAATCCCAGGGCAGCCTTATTTCCAGGATTCCTCAGCTGCATGGTAAGTGGGTCACACACAGACAAGGCTCCATCTGCTCTATGCAGCTTTCCTGAGCTTTGAGGGACTAGCTCATGATGAATCCTACATTTCTGTTGTATGTGATAATTCTCAGTCTTGACTTGTTGCCCCTGAGCGTGCTCTGTCTCACTGCACTCAGACAAGTTGCTAACCAGTGCACGGTGAACCTGCTCCACAAATTCACAGTACATGTGAAGTAGGATAGTGCTATTGCAGATAGACTTAAATTATTTAAAACTGTGTGTTACATACTTTCAAGAAGCCACTAAGATTTGTCTTAAAAAATATAATAATATGGTCAAATAGCAGATAAAATAAAATCATATAAACAAGAGAAGAAAGAAAAAGAGGGGAAACTCAAAGAAACAAGGAATAAATTCAAAAAATGAAAAACAGCTTCAAACATGGTAAATATTAATCCAATTTTATCAATAATCTCATTAAACATGAATGGTCTAAATATGCCAATTAAAAGAAAGGATATCAGAGTGAGTACGAAACAAGACCGGATTCTATGTCCTCTACTTGCCTTCCACTTTAATATAAAGACGTAAGTAGGTGGGAAAGAGCAGGAGGCGGAAGGATGTGCCATACTAACATTTAGTCCATGTCAGTGGCAGAAGTGAAAGAAAGAAGGTCACTTTATATGCTATTGCTTTCACAACCTGAAAACCTAAAGAAAAGTGAGCATTCACCAAGACTGATGCTGCAAATAAACAGAATAATTGCCAGCTTTAGCATTAATTAACAGTTTAGGGGATGTAATTTCTTAACTGCATTTTAAAAACCAAACATCCAAATACATTAGATTAATTCTTCAGAGAGAGTTACTCATATTTTATATTTGATGATTTTAGATCATATTTGTCTCAACGGGAAGAATAAAAGAAGACTAATGAGACAAGCAGAGAAAAAAAACCTTAAATAAGTTGGCTGCTTAATGTTCTCCTTCCTTTACTCTTAAAATGGTGGCTGCAGAGCTTGGGATGCTGTACCCTTTAGAATTAGTGACTCATCTGGATTTCAAAAGTAAAATCGTTCTATATCATAAGTAGTCATGAAGACGTTCATTCTGATTCCCAGAGAAGTGTAGTCGGTGAAGTTCTAGCAGCTGACACGATGTTCTTTCCTATAATACTCCTCTGGTTATTATTTCAGGGTGCCGCCCACAGATTACTCTTCTCTTTGTCTTGTCAAAATGTAATGTTGAAAATCTGAAAGGTTGCTAAATGCTTTTGTGAAAATAACAAGGCAAAATACAGTATTTTTAAAAATGTTGATGCTGAAAGACAAAAGAGCACATCCGGTCATTCCTCTCCATTTATATTTTACAGTGCACATCCTGCTGAAACATTTTATGGAAATGACTCCTTGCTCTAGAGTAAGTAACCCACACATTTTTCCAGCTTGACTTTAATATGCACATAATTTCCTTGAAATTACATTTCAAGGATTTAGAAAATTTTTTGTTGCCAGACTAAATTTTGGAAAACTGCCTCATTAATCAGACTGTAAACATGTTGGGTCATATAGGTTCAGTTTGAGTTTTGAGACAGATTGACTATTCAATAGCTGATTTTTGGATTTCTAATTGGGATTAAACTCATTGTGTTTTATAAAAACATTAAAGAACATTTTAGATATACTGCATATTTTGATATTCTGCACATAGTTTGTCAGTACAAAGGGATTTTAGAAAACATTCCTGAATCCTCCTGAATTTGTGTGCTCTGTAATTAAGTAACAGTGATTACTGTGCCAGGAAATTTCATCTGTCTTACCCAGTCATAGAGTAAGAGATGGCCTCCTCATCCATATCCATATCATGGCTTCCTCATCCATGTCTATAGCATGGCTTCCTCATCCATATCCATATCATGGCCTCCTCATCCATATCCATATCATGGCCTCCTCATCCATATCCATATCATGGCTTCCTCATCCATGTCCGTAGCATGGCTTCCTCATCCATATCCATATCATGGCTTCCTCATCCATATCCATATCGTGGCTTCCTCATCCATGTCCATAGCATGGCTTCCTCATGCATGTGCATATCATGGCTTCCTCATCCATGTGCATATCATGGCTTCCTCATCCATGTGCATATCATGGCTTCCTCATCCATATCCATAGCATGGCTTCTTCATCCATATCCATATCATGGCTTCCTCATCCATATCCATAGCATGGCTTCCTCATCCATATCCATAGCATGGCTTCTTCATCCATATCCATATCATGGCTTCCTCATCCATATCCATATCATGACTTCCTCATCCATATCCATATCATGGCTTCCTCATCCATGTCCATAGCATGGCTTCCTCATCCATGTCCATAGCATGGCTTCCTCATTCCTATCTATATCATGGCTTCCTCATCCACAGAATGAAAATATATTGATAATACTTTCCTTGCCCATTGGGAAGGACTCTTTTCCTGTGTGTATGTGTGTGTGTGTGTGTGTGCACGTGCATGTATGTTGAAAATAGTGAAATGTCGTATGTTACAGAAGTTATCCTTATTGCTATATAATACCTTAATGCTAATGTGTTTTTGTGTGCTGGTGACCAAGCAGTATTAGAAAGATACAGCCTTCCTCCTGAGAAGTCCAACTACAATCAAGGAAATTTCTCTTAGCCTCTCTCTGTTAGAGAAAATATAAACAAATACACAAGTTAGAATCTTGGGTAGTGCTGATTATTCCAAGTGTGTATGTGCAGCTTCCATGGGCAATTTGGTTCCAGTTCATTTCTGGGGTAAGTGACCCACATCTACACTGTAAAATTTTTTTGTGTTTCAAGAGCCAAAATTGTTCTATGAAAACACTTATCATTGAATTGGTGATTTTATGAGAGAGCATTGTCTGTACATTTACAACCACTGACAGAGGTTAAATGTAGGTGAATGAGGAGTTCTGAGTCGACAGCCAGGAGAGGCTTGTACCAACAGGGAATTGATCATCTCAGGTGAGCCTGTGCTAGAGCTAAAGGTTGTTAACTCTGTTATTAGAATTCAGTGTTACAGCCCTGCCTTCTGCCCAAAGCACAGACATTTTAGTTGTAAGAAAAGCAGTTATGTCTCTCACATAACTCCTTCACCTGGCTGTTTGCTTAATCATTACTTTATGAAACTGTGCCCTTGTTTTTACTCACAAAGTCACAGAAGGTGTCAGTAAGTGCCATTCCTCATTTCAGACAAGCACAATCAGAGTTGAGCATTTAATATTTCATTTGGCTTTAAAACATAAACCACGCATACGAGATAAGCCTGGGGCATTTTGTAGAACCAGGAAGTTAAAAAGTGCATGAAAAACTCCCCGAGAGAATGGGAGTGTGACAAAGGGAAACAGAGGCCCACCTGAAGGAGCTCCCCACTTAATGCTGGAATCATCTGAGCAGTAAAATAAACAACAGAGTATTGGGATATAACCGAAAGTATAGAATAAATATACACAAGTTCCTGTTGATATATAGTAAATGATTAAAAAATGAATGGGGAAGAAGTTACATTATTTTACAGAAACATTCCAAACTATTTCTGTAGACATTTTACTCTACAGAAGTTGGAGCTTAATCCTCCTCTCCAACCATACGCTAAACTTAGTGACTTGTTTCCATGGGACAGAATAGAGAAAGAAAAGCAAAATAGTAGAGTTAGAGAGGAAAAACTTGGCAAAACCACATGAAATGAGTGATGAAGGTGAACAACCTCAGTGGTGTCGTGTGCCCCTAATTTGATGTGACAAGGAAAGCACTTTATCTCTGTGAAATTCCTTCCCCAAATCCCATGAGAAAGACATCAAAGAAACCCAGGTGGGGGTCTTCCTGTGGGATAACTTGCCTGTACACCTCAAGATTCTCAAGGTCATAAAAAACAGGTAAAGTGTGGGGGAAGCATCACATACAAGAGGTGACAGGGCAGCATTGTGGTGCCCTAATTAGATGTTGAAATAGAAAGAGGAGATTCATGGAAAAGCTGTCTGAAGTTTAGTTAATAGTAATGCAGGGTTGTAGGTTGAATGGTGACTTCCCAGAAGAGAAGAGGAGGAGGCAATGTGGTCACGAAGGTAGAGACTGGAGATTGGAGCCACAAACCAAGAAACTCCAGCAGCCACCAGAAGCCGGAAGAGACAAGGAACAAAATGTCCCCTAAAGCCGCCATAGGGAGGGAGGGCAGCCCTGCCACATATGGGTCTTGGACTTCTGGACCCCAGAACTGTGAGAGAATACATTTCTGTTGTTAGAAGCTCTCGAGTTTACGGCAATTTGTTATAGCAGCCCTAGGAAAGTAAAAGAGATACCAGTATCATTTTCTGTCTTGATCAATGTGCCATAGTGATGTGAAATGTTAGTAATAAGGGAAACTAGGAAGGGCTGTTAAAAGATAGAATTTATTTGAGCAAACAGGGATTCATTAACCAGGCAGCACCAAACTACAAGCTCTGAAGGGCTTCCCCAAAGGGGCTGTGGGGATTTATAGGGTGAATGTGGAAACAGAGCAAAGGAACTGCTTATTGGTTGAAGTTGGAAAATGCACAGCTGGTGGCCTATGATTGCCAGCTCAAGTTCCACTTTGTTTATGTGGGAACACAGGGCACTAGAGCCACTCTAACCTAATGGTGTACCACTTAATTATTTTAACAGGGGTGGACAGGGATTCTCTGTACTATCTTTGCAACTTTTCTATAAATATAAAATTATTCCAAAATAACAAAGTTTTTAAGAAGTACAATTTAGTTCAAAGAAATGTACATATTTTACCACTACTTTGTAATGAGTGAAACAATATTTCTTTGAATAAGTTGACTACTATTTCATTAAATATTTTACAAATGAAAATAAATTTTCCTAGAAAAAACCATATTAGTCCATTTTCACACTGCTATAAACATGCTGCCTGAGACTGGCTAATTTATTTTAAAAAGAAGGTTTAAATAACTCATAGACCCTTACAATCATGGTGGAAGGAGAAGCAGGCACCTTTTTCACAAGGCAGCAGGAGAAAAAGAGAGTGTGTGTGAAGGACGAACTGCTAAACACTTATGAAACCATCGGATCTCATAAGAACTCACTCACTATCACAAGATCAGCATGTGGGAAACTGCCCCCATGATCCAGTCACCTCCCACCAGGTCTCTCCTTCAAACCTTCAAAAGGTTTATGGAGATTGCAATTTGAGATGAGATTTGAGTGGGGACACAGAGCCAAACCATATCATTCCACCCCTGGCTTCTCCCAAATCTCATATCCATCTCACATTTCAAAACCAATCATGACTTCCCAAGAGTCCCTCAAAGTCTTAACTTATTCTAGCATTAACCCCAAAAGTCCAAGTCCAAAGTCTCATCTGAGACAAGGCACATCTTTTCTGCTCAAAAGCCTGTAAAATCAAAAGCAAGTTAGTTACTTTGAAGATACATGGTGGGTACATGCATTAGATAAATGCTCCCACTCCAAATGAAAGAAATTGGCCAAAACAAAGGGGCGACTGTATGTCTTACATCCAGGGCATGTTGATGCAAGGGGTAGGCTCCCACAGCCTTGGGCAGCTCCTTCTTGGGCTGGCGTTGAGTGCCTGCAGCTTTTCCTGGTGCATGGTGCAAGCTGTCAGTAGATCTACCATTCTGGGGTCTGGAGGATGGTGGCCCTTTTCTCACAGCCTCACTATGCAGTGCCCCAGTGGGGACTCTGTGTGAGACTCTAACCCCACATTTCTCTTCTGCACTGCCCTAGCAGAGGTTCTCTGTGAGGCCTCCACCCTTGCAGTTGACTCCTGCCTGGACATCCAGGCATTTCCATATATCCTCTGAAATCTAAGCAGAGGTTCCCAAATGTTTATTCTTAACTTCTGTGCACCTGCAGGCTGAACACCTCATGGAAGCCACCAAGGCTTGGGGTTTGCACCCTCTGAAGCAATGACCTGAGCTATACCTTGGCCCCTTTTAGCCACAGCTGCAGCTGGAGAGGCTGAGACACAGGGGACCAAGTCCTGAGGCTGCACCCAGTTGCGGGGCCCTGGGCCTGGCCCACAAAACCATTTTTTCCTCCTGCTCCTCCAGGTCTGTGATGGGAGCAGCTGCCACTGGTATCTCTGACATACCCTGGAGACATTTTCCCCATTGTTTTGGTGATTAACATTGGGCTCCTTTTTACTTATGCAAATTTCTGCAGCCAGCTTGAATTTCTCCCCAGAAAAATGGGTTTTTCTTTTCTTTTTTTTTTTATTATACTTTAAGTTTTAGGGTACATGTGCACATTGTGCAGGTTAGTTACATATGTATACATATGCCATGCTGGTGTGCTGCACCCACTAAATCGTCATCTAGCATTAGGCATATCTCCCAATGCTATCCCTCCCCCCTCCCCCCACCCCACCACAGTCCCCAGAGTGTGATATTCCCCTTCCTGTGTCCATGTGATCTCATTGTTCAATTCCCACCTATGAGTGAGAATATGCGGTGTTTGGTTTTTTGTCCTTGCGATAGTTTACTAAGAATGATGATTTCCAATTTCATCCATGTCCCTACAAAGGACATGAACTCATCATTTTTTATGGCTGCATAGTATTCCATGGTGTATATGTGCCACATTTTCTTAATCCAGTCTATCATTGTTGGACATTTGGGTTGGTTCCAAGTCTTTGCTATTGTGAATAATGCCGCAATAAACATACGTGTGCATGTGTCTTTATAGCAGCATGATTTATAGTCCTTTGGGTATATACCCAGTAATGGGATGGCTGGGTCAAATGGTATTTCTAGTTCTAGATCCCTGAGGTAATTTACAGATTCAATGCCATCCCCATAAAGCTACCAATTACTTTCTTCACAGAATTGGAAAAAACTACTTTAAAGTTCATATGGAACCAAAAAAGAGCCCACATTGCCAAGGCAATCCTAAGCCAAAAGAACAAAGCTGGAGGCATCATGCTACCTGACTTCAAACTATAGTACAAGGCTACAGTAACCAAAACAGTATGGTACTGGTACCAAAACAGAGATATAGATCAATGGAACAGAACAGAGCCCTCAGAAATAATGCCGCATATCTACAACTATCTGATCTTTGACAAACCTGACAAAAACAAGCAATGGGGAAAGGATTCCCTATTTAATAAATGGTGCTGGGAAAACTGGCTAGCCAT
Organism: Homo sapiens; assembly: GCF_000001405.40. Lineage (NCBI taxonomy): Eukaryota > Metazoa > Chordata > Mammalia > Primates > Hominidae > Homo > Homo sapiens. Next base: position 189,403,334 of record NC_000004.12, on the reverse strand, counting down.
ATGTAGAAAGCTGAAACTGGATCCCTTCCTTACACCTTATACAAAAATTAATTCAAGATGGATTAAAGACTTAAACGTTAGGCCTAAAACCATAAAAACCCTAGAAGAAAACCTAGGCATTACCATTCAGGACATAGGCATGGGTAAGGACTTCATGTCCAAAACACCAAAAGCAATGGCAACAAAAGACAAAATTGACAAATGGGATCTAATTAAACTAAAGAGCTTCTGCACAGCAAAAGAAACTACCATCAGAGTGAACAGGCAACCTACAAAATGGGAGAAAATTTTCGCAACCTACTCATCTGACAAAGGGTTTTTATTTTCTACCACATCGTCATGCTGCAAATTTTTCGAACTTTGATGCTCTCCTTCCCTCTTAAACATAAGTTCCAATTTCAGATTGTCTCTCTAAGTTCAAAGTTCCACAGATCTCTAGCACAGGGGCAAAATGCCACCAGTCTCTTTGCTAAAGCATAGCAAGAGTGACCTTTTCTCTGATTCCCAAGAAGTTCCTCATCTCCATCTGAGACCACTTCAGCCTGGACTTCATTGTTCACATCATTATTAGAATTTTGGTCAAAACCATTCAACAAGTCTCTAGGAAGTTCCAAACTTTTCCACATTTTCATGTCTTCTTCTGAGCCCTCCAAACTGTTCCAATCTCTGGGTGTTATCCAGTTCCAAAGCTGCACCCACATTTTCAAGTATCTTTATAGCAGTGCCCTACTACCTTGGTACCAATTTATTGTATTAGTTGATTTTAACACTGCTATACAGATACTACCCCAGACTGGGTAATTTATAAACAAAGGAGGTTTAATTGACTCACAGTTCTGCATGGCTGGGAAGGCCTCAGGAAACATAGTTATGGCAGAAGTGGAAGCAGGCACCTCCTTCACAAGGCAACAGGAGACAGAGAGAGAGAAAGAGTGTGTGTGAAGGAGAAACTGTCAAACACTTATAACACCATCAAATCTCATGAGTACTCACTCACTATCATGAGAACAGCATGCGGGAACTGCCCCTATGCTCCCCCTGGTCCCTCCCTCAATATGTGGGCATTACAGGGATTACAATTTGAGATGAGATTTGGGTGGGGACACAAAGCCAAATCATCTCAGAAACCTTTCTAATGAAAAACATCTGCATGGCAAATCCAAGTTTGAAACAATGAATCTATACATTTGATTGCATTATGTTCCATAGCTAGGGTATGCTTTCTCTGATTTATAGTTGATTAAGGTGAGTAGTCTTAACCAGTTCTATCAGTTACATTTATATAAAATATCACTTAACTTTAGTCCAATATAAAGTTACACTATTATTGCTTCCCTAATTCTAAATTTACCTCATTTCTAAGCTTAATTACAAGTTCATCTAAGGGTTTAATCACTGATGTAAATCGTTAGCTTTTCTTATGTCTTCTTTATTTGAACCAAAATTATTTGACTCAAAGAAAGCAAAACACCTTATATACGTTTATTTTTATTTTTATTTTAACCACAGCAACAAAAGAGTGGAAATGGTAATCATGAACATCTAACACTGCTCAGCCTAAAGAAGGACCACTTGGGCATTACCAACCAGCGGGAAGAATGTCCTGCAAATTAAGATTTGTCCTTAAGCATATGCATCTGAGGATTGTTATAGTATTTAGTAAGGAGGTGATTAGCAAAGAGATGATATTTAGGAAGGTATAGCCAGCAGTCAGTCCCCCATCAATGGTTCAATTCCTCTGTGAGTGAACTTTATAGAACTCCAGAACTAAAGGAGTTGGTTAAATGACTAGAAACAAAAGTGCTTACTAAACTCAGGAAAAGGAAAGAAAATCTAATTTTGACAGCATATTTGTAACTATAAAGCACTACAGATAACCTTGCAGCTATTTTTGAGATATCATTGGTACTTCATTGATTATGTTGTGAAACATTTGTGAGCTGTTTATGGTCTCAGTTCAGCTCACTGCTTTGATCGGGATGAATTATGAAAGACTCTATAGAAAATGTAATGTACCACTTTTTTCATGGTGGAAGCACTTTAGTTACATAATCAGTTTGAACCTACTAACAATGGCCAGAAATAGCTATTGCAAATTTTTCTAGAAAAAATTAAGACACTCAGGACTATAAGTTTTTAGAATAATAGACACACTTTAAAAAACTAAATAATTATAAAGCAATCCTATTATGAACGAGAGCAAACAAATAACACCAAGACTTAGGCTTGTACTAATTTTAAAAAATGCTTTCTTAGGCGAGAAAATGCAAACTGTATCTTATTTAAGAGTTAGTCTCCTTGATTTATTATTTGTGATAGTATTCATTCTTAAATCCATAGAACAACTGTTTTTTGCCTAGGTATATTTGAGCAGTACCCTTATTACCAAATTAAAAGTTCCTCATTTATCTTTAAAGTAAAAATACAAGCTCAGGTTGATAAATTTCAAAAAACAACCACTATAATGTGTCTTTGGCTAATAGAGAAAAAATAAGCCAACTCTGTCATTTTAACAGACACCTTTGAAATGTACATGCTAAACCCATGGCCAAAGGGGAAAAAATTCTCTCACAGAATATTGTAAAAGCAAATAAAACTCTTACTAGTGATGTTTCTCCTCTCATTGCTTCACTCCTAGAGCCCATGTATTGTCAGTCAGCACCCACTGCTTTGTGACCATTTCTATTGAGATTTATGTGCAAGTGACCTGAAAAATGATTATACCAATAATCGTGCCTTCAAAACATCTAGATTCTATTTTGTTCCACCCTAGGCTCTCTTGTTTATATAATGCCATTCTGATACCCTCTTTAGCCTTCAAAACATCTAGATTCTACTTTGTTCCACCCTAGCCTCTCTTGTTTATATAATGCCATTCTGATACCCTCTTTAGCCTTCAAAACATCTAGATTCTATTTTGTTCCACCCTAGGCTCTCTTGTTTATATAATGCCATTCTGATACCCTCTTTAGCCTTCAAAACATCTAGATTCTACTTTGTTCCACCCTAGGCTCTCTTGTTTATATAATGCCATTCTGATACCCTCTTTAGCCTTCAAAACATCTAGATTCTACTTTGTTCCACCCTAGGCTCTCTTGTTTATATAATGCCATTCTGATACCCTCTTTAGCCTTCAAAACATCTAGATTCTACTTTGTTCCACCCTAGGCTCTCTTGTTTATATAATGCCCATTCTCATACCCTCTTTAGCCTTCAAAACATCTAGATTCTACTTTGTTCCACCCTAGGCTCTCTTGTTTATATAATGCCCATTCTCATACCCTCTTTATCATTCTAGGCTAGGCTTTCTCAACTTTAGCAGTATTGACTTTTTGAACCAGATAATTCTTTATTTTGGGGGACTGTCTTGAGCATTATAGGATAAGTCAGTGTAAAGATTAATTTTATGTGTCAACTTGGGTGAGCCTCAGTGCCAAACTGTTTTGTCAAACATTATTTTGAATGTTTCTTTCAGAGAGAGAGAGAGAGAGAGAGAGTGTGTGTGTGTGTGTGTGTATGTGTGTGTTGATGAGATTATTATCTAAATCAGTGGACTTTGAGTAAAGTGGGTACCCTCGATAATGTGGGTGAACATCATCCAATCAGTTGAAGGCCTTCACAAGACAAAGACTGGCCATCCCCAAGCAGGAATAAATTATTCCGGAAGGTTTCCATTGGACTTGGACTGCAACTGTTTCCTGAGTTTCCAGCCTCCCTGCCCACTCCATCAGACTTTGGACTTGCCAAGAGTCTTGGTCCACTTTGTGTTGCTATAACAGAACACCTGAGACTGGGTAATTTAAAAAGGAAAGGGGTTCATTTATCTCAGGGTTCTGCAGGTTGGGAAGTTCAAGATTTGACAACTGCATTTGGTGGCTTCTGGTGAGGGCCTCCTCTGCATCAACACATGACAGAGAAGAGAAAGGGGAAGCAGGCATCTGTAAAAGGCTAACCAGGAGAGGTAACCTCACATTATAGCAACCCACTGTCACGGGAACCAGCCCACTCCCATGAGAACTCACCCAGTCTTGGTCAAAGGACAATAATATGATTTGTCCCCATCAAAGTTCATGTTGAGGCTTTGTCCCCAGTGTGGCACTTTTGAGAGGTGGCGCCTTTAAGGGGTGATTAGGTCATGAAGCTGGATTAATTTCTTTTCACTGGAGAACCCTGAAAAATAATAGAATTTGGCACTGAGATGTGGGTGCCAAGACTGCCTCCTTTTTGGCTTTAGCAGAGCAGGCTGCCCCCAGGGCCTCAGGGGCCAAGCTACTGCCCAGGTCTGTGGGAGTGATGCTGGTCTCAGAGTCTGGGGATGTGTCTTCTGCCCTAGTGATTGTGGAGAACAGATCATCAAGCCAAAGAGGATAATTCTTAGGCTTTCAATCTAATGGATTTTGCTCCCCTAGGTTTTGAACTTTGTAGGGATCCCTGACCTCTTTCTTGTCTCTGAGTTCTTCTTTTGGAATGGAATGCCCAACTTATGCCTGTCTCACAAGGAGAGTATATAACTCACTTGTCTGGTTTCACAGCTGTTGCAACTTTTTCCCTAGGATCAATCATACCTCGAGTCTCACCTGCATTTGATTTAGAGGCGATTTAAATGAGATTTAGGACTTAGAGTTGGTGCTGGAATGAGTTAAGACTTTGAGGCTGTTGAGATGGGGTGCTGAATATATTTTGCTAGTGAGAGGGACACAGATTGATTTTGGAGGTCCAGAGAGTAAAGACTGAACCGGTTCCCTTCAAATTCATATTTTAAAACCTAATCCCCAGTACTTCAGATAGAGATTTTGCAGACAAAGCCTTTTAGGATGGAGCCTTTAAAGAAGTAATTCAGATAAAATGAGGGTGGGCTCTAATCCATTCTGACTGGTGTCCATGTAAAAAGAGGAGATTGGGATACACAAGAAAGACACCGGGGCATGCATGCACAGAGAAAAGGCCATGTGAAGACATAGAGGGAAGGCTGCCATCTGTAAGCTAACAAAAGAGGCCTCAGGAGAAAGCATACCCCATCTTTGCATGGCCTTTGGACTTACAGCCTCCAGAACTGTGAGAAGATAAATTTCTTTTGTATAAGCCCCCTGTCTGTGGTATGGTGTTACTGTAGCCCAGAAGACAAATACAGGCAGTATCCCTGGCTTCTGCCCACTGGATCCCAGAGGAGTTTTCTCCCAACCACCATCCTCACTCCCCAAATCATGACAAACAAAAAATATCTTCAGACATCGCCAAATGTTTTACTGGGGATGACACTGCTTCAGGTTGATAACCCATGCTCAGACATAGACAACAGCTACAAAAGCTCTTACATGGATCACCCCTGTTTGAAATGTCCTGTGATTTGGTGTTGGTGACATTGCACTTTCTGTGTCTGAAGCTTCTTTATTCTCCCTTCTTTTTCCATTTTCTGTGTTCTTTCCCTTGATATTGTCATTTAGATTTTAAAGTGTTACTTCTAAATAAATAGAATTCACATATAATCTCTCTTGTCCTGGCCTCTCTCCTGATCCCAAAGTGTGAATTCCCACTTGCCAATTTTCCAAACAGTTCTTCTGGAAGACTCTACCTGGATATTCTACCACCACAAATTCAGTTGACCTCTGCCACACTGTCTCTTTTATAATCCCTGTTCAGTTAAACAGTTCAGTTCAATTAAAAACAATTTTCCAAACAGTTCTTTTGAAAGACTCTACCAGGATATTCTACCACCACAAATTCAGTTGACCTCTGCCACACTGTCTCTTTTATAATCCCTGTTCAGTTAAACAGTTCAGTTCAATTAAAAACAATTTTCCAAACAGTTCTTTTGAAAGACTCTACCTGGATGTTCTACCACCACAAACTCAGTTGGCCTCTGCCGCACTGTCTCTTCTATAATCCCTGTTCAGTTAAACAGCTCAGCTCAATTAAAAACAATTTTTGAGTGCGTTGGGACCTTGAGGTTAGCTGGTTTGATATAGAAGAGAGTCACCCAAACAGATTTAATGCAATGTGATAAGCTCCATGATAAAAAAAAAAAAAGTACGTGGGGATCTGTGGGAGTACAGAGGAGGAACATCTTATCTAGCCTGGGATATCAGAAAAGGCTTCCTTGAAGAGGTAAGTCACAAGCTGAGTCTAAAAGAAACCCAAGTGAGATAAGGAAGAGAAGATACAGAGGCATTTCAGAAGGGTAAAATAGTACACGTAGTACAAACAGGTGGAGAGGAAAACAGATAATATTTCATTGATTTTTTACTCATTTAAGTCAGACTAAAGTGAACATGTCTCTTGAATGTAAATACTTATGAACTGATATTTTTCTTTCCTTTGAGAAATTTCTAAATTTCAATTTACCAGTTCAGAGACTATGGATGGTATTTAGGTCAAATGAATTTCCACGAAAGTTCTTCTCCTATGGATGAGCAAGAGTTCCAACGTTCCATGCCCTGACCAACACAAGCTATGATTCAATTTTTCCAGATTATCTCAAAATTATTTTGTTACATTTAAAAGAATATTGGTGTTATTTTTAATAAAAGCATTCTTACGAAAGTCTTCAAAAACCCCCATGCTAATGAATCCAAAGGTGGATTCTCTAAGGCAGGCACAATGTGTGGCTGCGCCAGTGCTGTCTTGTCCGTGTCACAGAGAAACCTCATACTCTACCTCCCCACTGTGGCATGGCTGGAACGGTCCGACTCCATGGGCTCCATCTGCCTAAGATTGGTGTGCACTGTGCTTCCCACCTGCACCAGCGCAGCAGCACGTCCAGCCCCTCCCAGCCCTTCATGCTGGGCTACTGGGTATGCTTTTGGGATGTCAAGGAGGGTCAGTGTGTGGTGCCCCAAAGGGTTTGCTTTCTCATGAGGGCAGGAGGAGGACCCTTTCTAACAATTTTGTTTTCAATGTTTACATGACATCCAGCAAATTTGGGGGCGAAGGGCGGGGTAATTCCTAGTATGTTGCTGGCATTGTTTCTTGTTTCCCAGCACAGATGCTCATTTTGCCCAGTGTTTCTATCCACCTGGTCATTTCCTTGGGAAATTACTCTGCTAGGAGAAGAGTTAGATGCTTTTCCTTGAGATTTTTTTCTAGGTAGGAAATTGCCATGTGTTGTTAAAGTCTGACATTCTTTAGTGTTTGGATATCCAAACCTGCCTCTATGCCCCTTAATTCTGGTTCCAGCTCCAGCTCTTCCGTTCTTCTCTGATTCCAGAAAGGTCCAATACCCAACGTTGATCTATGTAGCCTAAGCTGTGCACTGACTCTTCTCTCTACAGATTCTCAAAACATGTTCTTGGAAAGAACACCAGCTTTCCCTTCAGTGTCTAACACCTTTCTCATGTGTCATATTCATTCTCTCTAATTCTCGTAGAGAGTTGATGCCTTGTCAATGAAGAAATGGAGGCACGAGATGCTTAAAGAACATACTCAAATTGCAGCAAACGTGTGCTCAATCTGATGTTTAGATCTGGCAAGCCAGTGTTTTCTCTTCCTGATAGGTTAGTTTCCTAAAAGTAACTTAACTTTAACTCACTTAAAGTTTGAAAAGTAAATTTTACAATGCATATAGATATTAAGATCTCTGTAGCACTGTCCATGTAACTATTGCTCTGTTGCACCACATGTTCATACAAAACAAGAGAAATGAATTTGTTTAAGTATTTCAGCACCTGAAGGCAATGTTTGACAGTCACTGGAATTTCTACTTCAGAAAAACCTCAGAACTCATATGCCAGAGAAAGTAACCTGATAAAGGAAATAGAGTCAGAAAGAGAAGGGAATTATCACAGCTAAAGCAGTGACTCTGACTGTAGCTTTCCTTGTCCCCAAGGGCCATGATAGACAGAGGAGCACAGCTAGTGTCACGATTTGCACACAGTAGGGGCTTGCAGGACCCAGAAACCTCTGCTCTTGCTCTGGATGTGCCCTGATGGTCACAGGTTCTTACATTATCAGCTTGGAACAATATTCACTAGCAGTACTTGTACTAAGGAAATTTTTATAAGCATTGAGCTCTGCCAGTTACCTTGACCAAACTCAACTCCAAGGAGATACCATCCTTATCTAAGAGGAGAGGGCTGAGTCTCTCCAGCTCACCAGCAGTTCAGAAGGTCTATTTCCTTGCAGCTCCTGTGGAAGGTTTGATTTAAATTTCTTTCTCTCTTTTGAAACTTGGGCATCACTTTACAAACTGAGAGGCAGAGATCCCCTGATTTTTTATTTCATCTTTCTGCAAGAAAAAAGGGAGTTAAAAATAGAATTTTCTACTGGGGTATGTGTGAGATGAGAAGAGCTAGGCATGGACACCTGATGATTTCTTTGTTTTATTATTTAAGCACTGGTGGCTATTTGGTATTCGTTTATAGGGTATATCTGAAGAACAGCACTTTATATTAGTAAGAAAATAATCCAAAGCAAGCATTTTCATAAAAGCCATCTTCAATAATATTTTATTAATGTTCAATTTCAATTGTTTTTGAGAATAGAGGTTGGCTTGTGAAGGAAGGTGCAGAAAGGAGAGGGTCAATTCTCAAGTCATGAATAGTGACAAGTGAAATTATATGGAGAAAGGAAATCAATCCCGACAAATGAAAAAGGGCAAAGGTGGAGTTAAAGCAAATGAATCGTTATCCACAACAATGCAACTACTTCACATCTGTGAGCCAGAATCTGAAAACGTCCATGGCGCACTATAGGTGATGAAATATTATCAATAGATTTCTAATCAACTTCAGGGACAATGATCCGTTCTTCTCAGGGTATGAGCTTTGATTTGCTGGGAGAGAGAATTTGAGAGGTTCCAAGAACAAAATCTCTCAGCATAATTTTACTTTCTTTTTTTCCGTCCATAAGAGGTAGATCTGAGGCTGGCAGAGTTCTTATCCCAGGTAGAGGTTGTAAATTTTATTTGGATGTGTCAAGTACCAAACTGGAAAAGAGTAGCACAGCTCCAGTTTGAATGAAAAGACAGTGCTTGAGTCTGAGCATGGCCTCTGATGAGCTGTGTCGCCTGGTGGCATATTCATCTTCTCCAGGGGTCCCTTTCCTCCTCCCAGATGCTAAGCCTATAGACCAGCTTCTCCCCCAAGCCCTTTCCAACTAGAATTCTATGAGGCAGTAAATGATGCTTTTACTTCTTCTGTTGACTATTTACTTTAAAACCTAGTATCTCCAGTCTAGACTGTTACCTGTTAAAAATTGGAGGGGAATTAAATAAAGATGAGAATCAAGAAACTTCATCAAAGCTGACTCCTAGAATGAAATTTGCCCCAGCTTTTGAAAATCTAAACAGAATTCAAAAATTTGTGTTGTCTTTAATCCATCTTGAATTAATTTTTGTATAAGGTGTAAGTAAGGGATCCAGTTTCAGCTTTCTACATAGGGCTAGCCAGTTTTCCCAGCACCATTTATGAAATAGGGAATCCTTTCCCCATTTCTTGTTTTTGTCAGGTTTGTCAAAGATCAGATAGTTGTAGATATGTGGCATTATTTCTGAGGGTTCTGTTCTTTTCCATTGGTCTATATCTGTTTTGGTAGCAGTACCATGCTGTTTTGGTTACTGTAGCCTTGTAGTATAGTTTGAAGTCAGGTAGCGTGATGCCTCCAGTTTTGTTCTTTTGGCTGAGGATGGACTTGGCAATGCAGGCTCTTTTTTGGTTCCATATGAACTTTAAACTAGTTTTTTCCAATTCTGTGAAGAAAGTCATTGGTAGCTTGAGACCTAAAACCATAAAAACCCTAGAAGAAAACCTAGGCAGTACCATTCAGGACATAGTCATGGGCAAGGACTTCATGTCTAAAACACCAAAAGCAATGGCAACAAAAGCCAAAATTGACAAATGGGATCTAATTAAACTAAACACCTTCTGCACAGCAAAAGAAACTACCATCAAAGTGAACAGGCAACCTACAAAATGGGAGAAAATTTTTGCAATCTACTCATCTGACAAAGGGCTAATATCCAGAATCTACAATGAACTCAAACAAATTTACAAGAATAAAACAACCCCATCAAAAAGTGGGCAAAGGATATGAACAGACACTTCTCAAAAGAAGACATTTATGCAGCCAAAAGACACATGAAAAAATGCTCACCATCACTGGCCATCAGAGAAATGCAAATCAAAACCACAATGAGATACCATCTCACACCAGTTAGAATGGTGATCATTAAAAAGTCAGGAAACAACAGGTGCTGGAGAGGATGTGGAGAAAGAGGAACACTTTTACACTGTTGGTGGGACGGTGAACTAGTTCAACCATTGTGGAAGTCCGTATGGTGATTCCTCAGGGATCTAGAACTAGAAATACCATTTGACCCAGCCACCCCTTTACTGGGTATATACCCAAAGGATTATAAAACATGCTGCTATAAAGACACATGCACACATATGTTTATTGTGGCACTATTCACAACAGCAAAGACTTTGAACCAACCCAAATGTCCAACAATGATAGACTGGATTAAGAAAATGTGGCACATATACACCATGGAATACTATGCAGCCATAAAAAAGGATGAGTTCATGTCCTTTGCAGGGACATGGATGAAGCTGGAAACCATCATTCTCAGCAAACTATCGCGAGGACAAAAAACCAAACACCACATGTTCTCACTCATAGGTGGGAATTGAACAATGACAACACATGGACACAGGAAGGGGAACATCACACACAGCGGCCTGTTGTTGGGTGGGGGTGGGGGGGAAGGATAGCATTAGGAGATATACCTAATGTTAAATGACGAGTTAATGGGTGCAGCACACAAACATGGCACATGTATACATATGTAACAAACCTGCACATTGTGCACATGTACCCTAAAACTTAAAGTATAATAATAAAAATAAATATCACTATAATCTCACTCTAAAAAAAAAAATTGTGTTGTGTCGTATACCTATGGTGTCAGGCCTCTGAGCCAAAGCTCAGCCATTATAACCCCTGTGACCTGCACATACACATCCAGGTGGCCTGCAGGAGCCAAGAAGTCTGGAGCAGCGAAAAAACCCCAAAGAAGTAAAACAGCCAGTTCCTGCCTTACCTGATTAACCAAAATTACAACATTTTACCATTTTGACTTGTCCCTGCCCTACCTTAGCTGATCAATCGACTTTGTGACATTCCTCTTCTGGACAATGAGTCTTATGATCTCCCCACTATGTACCTTGTAACCCCCTCCTCTGCTAACAATAGATAACCACCTTTTACTGTAATTTTCCATTACCTACCCAACTCCTATAAAGCAACCCCTTCCCCATCTCCCGTCGCTGACTCTCTGTTTGGACTCAGCCCATTTGCACCCAAGTGAATAAACATCCTTGTTACTCACACAAAGCCTGTTTTGGTGGTCTCTTCACACGGACGCGCTTGACATATGGTATCTATATAAAGGGCCACAGTTACTGTGTTCTCAATGTATTTCATGTTGTATATGGTTTGAATTTGACAGGGAGGCTGGTATATTGTTGCATAGATTCTTCTGGAATTCAGGGTTTGTACTTTGCCACCTGAAAGGGCAATTTCAGGTGCCATTATGCATATGTTCTCATTTAGGTTAGTTAACGAGCTCCTGTTTCCTTAGAAGGGTTTCTGCTCCTTGGGGGCGTGAAGTATGCTTTCTGAGAAGTTATTTGCTTACCTTAGAATTGCACCCATTATGATAATCACAATGTTCCAGGGATCCATAGAACAAAGTGGTAGGGTCTCATCTAAATGATAGCAAACATTTCAGCTCGGGCTAAACACAGCCCAGGAAGGAGTGATCCTCAGTGCAGAGCTTCGCGTGACGATGCCAACCTGGAACGGAAGTGAGGGAGGTTGTCGCATTACCAACGAAGGATTTGAGAATGAGGGACAAAGGAGATTGAGGTCATCCTTTCACAAGAGGAAGAAACTGAAACATTAAACATCGCTTGTCTGTGTAAAAGGTTTGTGACATTTCTCTTCAAAGAGGTGTTATTGCTCTGAGCTGGGTGGCAGCTTGTGCCCTGGTCAACTGAAGCCAGACTCCTAAGGGTTAAAGGTGATTATCTGAATAATCTTTTCTCCTCTTTATCCTGCACCTGCCAGCCTTGAACATTCCAGCACATTCCACTCAAATGCATATCCCATTCAAGGGTTAGAGGCTTTTTAAAACCAGGTTGCAAAGGTAAGAGGAGGGGAGCAAGGCTGTTTCTAAGTGAAGAAATTGAATGCACCTCACAATAATATTGGTTATCTCTTGGTGACGGTTCTAATGATCCCGAGCAAGGGCTAGAAGATGTAAAGGAAGATTGGATGGGCATCAAAGTAAATTCCACTGATTTGACCTTGTCTATAAGTAATTAACAAATATTTTGATTGTCTCCTGTGTTTCCGGCATATTTCAAGCTGATGAGCAAGAGATACTAAATCCTGCTTTCATAGACCTAATATTTGCTCTTGATAGAAGGGGGGAAAGACTGAAAAAAAATAAAAAGAGAGAGAAGGAGAGACTATCAAGTAGTGACTCAAACAGGGTGGTAAGTCAAACGGTGGATGGGGTAGTCAGCAACGACTTCCTAAGTGAACTTGGGACTGATGGTTGAATGATCATAAAGGGCAGGCTAAGCTCAGAGACAAGACTCTTGCCTCACTTCATCTAGGCTGCTTATATCTGGTTTATACAGTGGAGTAAAATCTTAGAAACTACTAGAGTAGATAATATTGAGAGACCCCCAAGTCTTGTAAAAGTCTAACATGCAGGCAGCCTTAGCTTTTTTTGGATGGTAGAGTGAAGATGCTAAAATTTTTGTGACAAAAATAATTGTATCTTTACTGAACACTCACTATATCCTGGGTGTTATCTACTATTTAATTCAATTCTCACAACAATCTAATAGGTTAATGCCCATTGGTTGGTGATCCAGCCCCCGTTATTTTTCCATCTACTAATTTTTGGGACATAGCATTTCTACAGCAGAAATGCATTTACATGGCCTCTACCTGTGTGGTTGCATCTATCTATCTATCTATCTATCCATCCATCCATTCTCCCATCCATCCATCCACCCACTCACCCACTCATCTGACTATCTGTCTTCTGAAATAAAAGTTTAATAAAATGACATTTTCTTTTTTTGTAATATATTTGTATAATTTCAATTATATCCTGGTCGATTTCTTTTTTAAAAAAATGCTGGTAATTAGTAACTAAATTTATTTTACAACTTATTTTTGTAAATCAGTGGCATAAATAGTAGCAGTTATGTGTCTGCATTTTGCTTTAGACTGATCTGTGTTTGAATTCTGGGCAGGTATTTACTAGCTATCTAAATTAGGAAACGTTAATTTGCCTTTTACTATAATCTGAATGTTTCCTCTAAAATTCATGTTGATATTGTTGGGCTGTGTCCCCACCCAAATCTCCTCTTGAATTGTAGCTCCCATAGTTCCCATGTGTTGTGGGAGGGACCTGATGGGAGATAATTGAATCATGGGGGCAGTTTCCCTCATACTGTTCTCTTAGTAGTAAATAAGTCTCACAAGATCTGATGGTTTTATGAGGGGAAACCCCTTTCTCTCAGTTATCATTCTCTCTTGCCTGCTGCCATGTAAGACATGCCTTTCGTCTTCTGCCATAATTGTGAGGCCTCCTCAGCCATGTGGAACTGTGAGTCCATTAAACCTCTTTCTCTTTACAAATTACCCAGTCTCAGGTATGTCTTTATCAGCAGCATGAAAACATGTGTTGGAAAATAAACCTTCAATGATACAGTGTTGGAAAGTGGGGTCCAGTAGGAGGTGTTTCAGTCATGAGGCTTTGCCTCATGAATAGATGAAGGCTGCTATAAGAAGGGCTTGCTGGAGTAGGCTTTCCTGCTTCTATTTCCTGCCATGTGACATCACAGTGTTCCTCCTCTCTAGAAGACACAGCAACAAGGTGCCAGCTTGGAACCAGGGTCTAAACCTGCTGGCGCCTTGATCTGAGACTTCCAAGCTTCCAGGACTGTGAGAAAAAAAAATCACGGTTCTTTATAAGTTATCTAGTCTCAGGTATTCTGTAGTAGCAACACAAAATGGACTAAGACATTTTTTAAGGCTCTGCTTTTATCATCCATAACACGGATTAATAAAAGTAACTATCTCAAGGAGTTTTCATGGAGACCAAATGATAAAATGCATGTCAGGCATCTGGCACAGTGAATGGAATAGAATAAGTGCTCAAAAAATATTAGTCATCTTAGTCAGCTCAGGGTGCTGTAACAAAATATTATAGACTGGGTGGCTTAACAACAGAAATGTATTCTCACAGTTCTGGAGGCTGGAAGTCCAAGGTAAGGGTGCCGGGATGGTCAGTGTCTAGTGAGGTCTCCCTTCCTGGCTTGCAGATGCTGCCTTCTCCTCACATGTGGCAGGTGGTGGGGAGCAAGCTCTCTGGCATCCCCCATATAAGGGCACTAATACCATTATGAGGGCTTCACCCTCACAACCTCATCTAATCCTGTATATTTCCCAAAGACCCTTTCTCCAAATGCCATTACACTGGGAGCTAGGGCTTCACCCTCACAACCTCATCTAATCCTCTATATTTCCCAAAGACCCTTTCTCCAAATGCCATTGCATTGGGGGCTAGGGCTTCACCCTCACAATCTTATCTAATCCTGTATATTTCCCAAAGACCTTAACTCTAAATACCACTACACTGGGGGCTGGGGCTTCATCATTTGAGTTTAGGGGGACATAATTCAGTCCCTAGCATTAGTTAGTGTTTATTTTTATTGTCCAAATTTGTTTCTTTTTTACAAATTCTTACATACTTTTAAGCATTATTTCCAGCTATTTTTCCTACTTCTCCACTTGTCATAATCAACTCTGTAAACAACAAATATAGTTTATGAATTTTGTCATATTCATATGTGTGTTTCATTTAAAATGAAGTTCAATTTTATACTTAATGGTTAATATTACTATATTCTGATATAGTGAAGTAAAGGACTTCTAAAGCAAAATGTCCTAACTTGAGAAAAGAGGGGCCATTGACAGGTAGGTCTATTTTGCCTACCTTTTGTCCTTAATTGTAAATAATACAATGAATCAATGAGATAATACCACTATAAAAATGTCTGAATTATGATTTGTTTTCAAATATTCTCCCCATTTTTACCTAAGATTGCATGACGTTAGGTTCCTGAAAATTCACAAAGTGACATCATAGACACTGGTGATCCAGACATTGGCAATGAGTTAAAAGGCAGTAAATGATTCTAGGGAGGAATGGAACTTATCACTGAAATAATAATTTCTGATTACCTTTGATCAGTCAGAAACTTTTGGACTATAAACTCCATAGATGGACCACTTTTATATGTATTTTGAGTTTGATGGTTTTGTTTTTTAGTTTGCTTTATTGTGTACGTGAAAACAAAAAATAAGGCCTAAAGGAAGTGAATAGTTGATATTTGGATAAATCTCTCAAAATGTTAAAACTTAATATGTAACTTAAGTTAAATATAAAGCTATAAAATGTATTCATAATTAAGTGCAATTTACACTTTAATGCCTAGAAAGTAGGAGGCATTTTATTCATTTCAGTGTAAAGTGCTGTATTTTCCTTTCTTTGCTATTTCTAATGAACATTTGTATGTGAATTGTCCAGGTGTTACCTGGAATACTATTTTCATTAATACTCATGTTAAAACAAGGAAACAAATTTTGATAAAATATACCGTGATAAAATTCTACTTGCCATTTTTTTTTTAAAGATGACCGCTAGTTGTAGGCTAACAGTTACATAATGACATGATTTAGTGGCCCCTGGGTTAGCCCCATGTCAATGGGCTTTGGCGAGACTCATAAGCTCCAAGGAAAGAGACACAAAGTGCCATGCTTACTATTGAAAATCATAAAGTTCTTGAGTAGATATTCAAAATAATAATATGCATTCCTCAATATAATAGCATTTGTTTTTGCACTACAATTGTCATATTGAATATTTAGGAATTGTTGGTTGCTCCACAAAAAGTTTATTTTAAATGTTCAATTCTGGTTCATTTTCATAATAGTTTACATAGAGAATTAACATATGTTAAGGATAAAAATTCTTGTAAAGGTCACTTCAGAACTAATGCTTGATTGTAAGTCGTAGTATACATTTCCAAAAATAGAAAGTGCAGCGTATCTAGTGGTTTGGGATGTTACACTTAGCTTGTGAATGAAATACTCGTAGTTTTGTCTTCATTTAGGTTGACCATTATAATTGAGAGATGAAAGATAACTGGAAATAACGACTACTATTGTACAATGCTTTAGAACTGACAAATTTTAGAGTGTCCTACAGATTATAGCATTTGATCTTCATAACATCCTGTGAAATATTAATATTACAAAAATGATAAATGATTCAAACACATCAGTCATTTATCAGTGTTTCCTATGTGTTATCCCACAACTAACTTATAGATCACTTACCATTATTATCTGTACACATTAAGTCTCCTGCCCAAGCTTTATGGCTAGTCAATGGCAGATATAGAACTTGAACTCTTGTCTGTCTGATTTCAAAACTGTGCCCTGAGCCAACCATATAAAATCAGCTTATTTAACTGAGTGGAAAGAAGCCTTCAAAGCCTTATGGCTAACTCTGGATGCTTGAATAAGTGCAAAGTGCGAGAAATAATAGAACTGGTCTACGTTGCTTTAAAGAGGCAGGAAGATTGCTTGAGGACAGAAGTTTCAAATCAGCCGGTCAACCTAAGAAGATCCCATCTCTATAATTTTTTTTTAATTAGCCAGCTGTGGTGGTATGTACCTGTAGTGCTAGCTACTCGGACGTCAAAAATGGAAAGATTGCTTGAGCCCAGGAGTTTGAGGCTGCAGTGAGCTAAGAATGTATCACTGCACTCCAGCCTGGGTGACGGAGCAAGATTCTGCCTCAAAATAAATACATTAAAAAAATAAAAATAAAAATGAAAGTAATACCTCACCAGGACCCATAGGGTTAAAGGGAAAGCAAATTTCAATGCAATATAAGATAGAATATTCTAATAACTAGTGTTTCTCAACAATAAATCACCACTATTGTGTTTAAGTGTTCTCCCTATCACTGAAGTGTGCAAACAGATGTTGGATAACAATCTCTCAGCAAAATAGAGAAGCAATGTAGGTATCTGGTGTGATTTAGACTGGGTTCCTAGGTGGCCTTTTGAAAATTAGATTCTATGCTTGTGTATATACGGAAAATGGACTTATCACTACTGGGCATGTTGCAATAAGGTAACTGCAGAAAGAAACTGACTATGGAGGGCAAGTATGACTTTTGCATTAAATATCCCTCAGATTCCAGCATAGAGACTTGTGATTAAAAAGCTATTCAAATAATTAAATATAATTATTATTCTTTTATTTCTCCTTAGATGTAAAATGTAAAAGATATTCATGAGAATATAAGACTAAAAATAATGGGTGCTTAAAAGCTTGTGGGAGTAATGAAAGTACCTGCTGGAATCTACAGAGTGCCTCATCATTACTAAAGATTACAGTTATATATGGCACATTTTGCTGCCAAGCTGTGTTTTACAGCAGAGGAAAGACTTGCATATCGGACACTGGAGGGCACATAGGGATTACGTAAGCAAAGGATAGATAACACTTAAGGTTTCTCATCTCACATTATTCTAGAATTGAAGACAGTTTTACCATTTTTTTGTTGTTGTTTGAAGTGAAATGACAAATATCTTTGTGATTCTATATATTTCTAACTCATACACTTTTTATATTAAGAATATATCATGTTTTTTGGCAGTGAAATCAAGATGTTTTATGCCTGAGAATATAAATATCTCAACAAATTATTTTTAGTTTATCTATTTTCTTGTGGCTTTCTAATTTTTACTTCCAGTACTTTTAGTTTTGTTCCTTTTAAATTTTAATATTTAAATAGAATCAAGCTCCAATTTACTTGTTTGAATTACTGTTTTTCTCCTATTATGCAAGTAACAAGTCCAAAAAGTAAATAGATAATTCAAAGAGTTCAGAGTAAAAAAAGCAAGAGCAAAGTCCATTCACCTGGCTCCTGGTCATTCCACAGAGCCCTCCTGTTTAGTTTTCTCCTGGGAGTCACGTTTCTGTCCCAGATATCATGTTCCCCCTTTACCTGCTGTATCAACCACAAGCTCTGCTGAGTGATTTCCTGGGACAACAGATGACAAGCTCAGCTGACTTTCTCTCATCTCACCTCACTTCTACACTTCTTCCTTCTCTTCCAAATATTTGGTAGAATTGTACTCAATTCCTTTCATTTGATATCCTTATAATATTAACACACTTAAATTTCAATGTCTTTATTTTATACCTTGACTACCCCCCACATAAATTCAGGATCTCAATGTCCTTCTACAACCCTCAACTTCAGAAATCTGTTCGTCAACAATTATCTAAAAATTTTAAAATTTTATAAGAACAGCATTATATTGTCTTCTCTGCTTTGTGTATAGATTGATCTAAAAATTGAAAACCAGTCAATATAAAAATAGCATGTATTTCTAACCATTATATATATACCAGTTGCTGCGTATAGATATATGTCAGAAGGAAAGGCTGACCGCTCAAAGGTGAATATTCCAAGTGCCATGTTTAAATAGGCTCTCTTTTAAAAAAATTTAGCTAATTTCTAAAAATCATATTACATTGTATTCTGTTTCATGGGGACCATGTGTCTTTCTGGTACTGTTTTATTGTTGCTTTCCCCAAATATTTTGATTACATTTTTTCTTCCCTCTTCTGAAAAATGATTATGTTTTTCTTTATCACTGACATCATCTTATTGCTTCATCATATAATTGGTTAAAGCAAATCTGCTGTCTTTGTGAAATTATCCTTCCTGAAGTCCTCTGACTTGGTTCACATTCAGACAGCTTAGTGGGCCTTGCAATATTGTCTATGGGTTGCAGAGATTGGAAGAAGAGAAGAGGGTCTCCAGGGCCCTGAGGGATGATGCTACTTAAATTCTGGTAAGAGGAGAATAAATCTGAACAAGAACCAGATAAAAAGTCACGAGATAAGTTGGAGCCAAAGCAAGTACATTTTTGCATACAGAAGCAAAGGAACGAACTTGCTCCAGAATTGAGAAAATGGTCAGTAGTACAAAATCTTTCTGAGAGGACAAGACAGATAAGGACTGAAATATATCTCTGTTCTGTGGTGGCATTACTAAAAGCTTATTTGTTAAAGTGACAGCCCAAAGCCAATATGGTGTGGGTTGATGAGCGAGTGGGGCATAAGGAAATGGAGACAAGTGTTGAAAGCTCTCCAGACTAACTTGGCTGTGAAGAGAGAGTAAAGATGGTGGCTGGGAGGGAGTAAATGGTGGAGTGGGAGATGATTTTGTTTGCCTGGGATTTGTTTCTGTTTTTGTCTTTTTTTTTTTTGTAATGAAAGTGGGCTGAGTATGATTAAGAGCACTAGGCAAATACCTAGTTAGAAGGATAGATTGAGCGTAAAAGAGAGAGAAGTAGTCTCTAGTCTCTACCAGGAGCTGGCACGCTTTTTCTGTGAAGAGCGGGTGGAAAGTGTCTCAGGCTTTGCAAGCTCTACAGTATCCGCTACCACTAATCAATTCTGCCCTGTAGCCACATGCGACATGTAAATAATAAGCATGGCTATTCTCAATACAAGTTTATGTATAGATACTGAAATTTAAACTGTATGTAATTTTCATGTCATGACATATTATTTTTAAATTTTTTTCCAATCATTTAAAAATGATAAATGATAAAAACCATTCTTAGCTCTGGGCCATACATAAACAGGCAAGGACCAAATTTGGCCTATTCTCTGGTCATGTTAATTGTAAGTTTCCTGAGTATGTAGATAGGACTGGGATTTTTCTCTCTCTTTTTTTTTTTTTTTTTGAGACGGAGTCTGGCTCTGTCTCCCAGGCTGGAGTGCAGTGGCACAATCTCGGCTCACTGCTACCTCCAACTCCTGGGTTCAAGTGATTGTCCTGCCCCAGCCTCCCTACTAGCTGGGATTGCAAGCATGCGCCACCACACCCAGCTGATTTTTGTATCTTTAGTAGAGACAGGGTTTCGTCATGTTGGCCAGGCTGGTCTCGAACTCCTGACCTTGTGATCTGCCCGCCTTGGCCTCCCAAAGTGCTGGGATTACAGGTGTAAGCCACCCTGCCCGGCTCGGGATTTTCAAAGAAAAGGTAGAGGGGATTAGCCTTAAATTTAGGAGAAAGGTTCAAATTCTGACACTACCATTATAAACTGGGTGACCTTGGGAGACTCACTGAGGTGTTTTGGGCCCAGGTTTCACATGTGGATAAGCACCTACCTCATAGCATGGTGGTGGAGAGTAACTGAGATAGCAGGCATGATATGCTTCCTTCAAGGCCTAGAGCATCAGTCAGCATTATATAGTAGATTAGTCTTTCCTTCCACACAAATACAAGGACAAATATGTGTGAACTTTGGGATATTTGATAAATTATAAACTTTCAAAGTAAAAATAAAAGCAATCCTATGACTGATGATTAGCTATTGTGTGAAAGGAGAGGAGAGGGAGTTTTGTTAAAATGCATTACAAATAAATTTTAAGCAATAAACATGAGCATTATAGGAGAATAAATATAACTATGTATATAGGTAATGACATATTCTCAGAGGAGATATGCATGAACTGAGAATTATTCCAATTGCCTGGTTAATCCTGCAGAGCGGGGATCAGCAAACGGGGCCTGGACCTACTATTTGCCCACAAGCTGAGAAAGTTTGTACAGTTGCAACAGAGAATGCACGGGGCCCAGAAAGCTTAACATTTTCACTATCTAACTTTTTATAGAAAAGGCGTGCTAGGCCGGGTGCGGTGGCTCACGCCTGTAATCCCAGCACTTTGGGAGGCTGAGGCGGGCAGATCACGAGGTCAAGAGATCGAGACCATCCTGGCCAACACGGTGAAACCCCATCTCTACTAAAACCACAAAAATTAGCTGGGCACGGTGGCACCTGCCTGTAGTCCCAGCTATTTGGGAGGCTGAGGCAGGAGAATCGCTTGAACTCGGGAGATGGAGGTTGCAGTGAGCCAAGATTGTGCCACTGCACTCCAGCCTGGGTGACAGTGTGAGACTCTGTCTCATAAAATAAAATAAAATAAAATAAAATAAAGTAAAATAAAGCATGCTAATCCCTGTTCTGAAGCTTCGTTCAGGCTCCAGAGTCTAACCTAATCTCCTCTGAGTCAATTACTCTGTGTGGTTGGTAGAAGAGCTTCTCAGTTTACTATAAAAGAATTAAAACATATTTGTTTGCTAATTTCACAATATTTCCAAATGAAATCATAATAGTAATGCAGACAAATCTTAAGAAATTTTATTCAACTTTTAATGTCTTTTTCTCTTCTACTCAATTTTTATGATTAAATATTTTTAATGAATTCCTTCCTATATAAACTATCAATGTGCAACTGCAAAAAAATAGATTTCTAAAAGTGAACCTCAATTATATAATGAATGATGGTGATATATATTTACTGTCAATAATTTATATAAATTCATTGAGCTCTTGTCCTTTTTTTGCAACATTTTTCTTCCTTTTGCTTTCTCATGTAATAGCCATGAGAAATATCAAGACACCAGACTATTACATAGTGTCTTCATAGTTATTAAAAATGATTTGTTTTAAAACAAATCCAATGACATTGAATAAATAGGATTTGAGGTTTTATGTACACAATGTTATCTTCTCTTATATAAAGTTATATGTGTCATTGAAACAACTAACAATGTAAAATAGGTTGACAAGTACAAAGTTATATCTGGGAGGCTGATTTTACAGCTTTAAGTATTTGTTTAGTATTTTCTTCACTCTATTCTTGTCATACTCTTTGGATCTTTTATGTTTCCCTTGAAAAATCTGTTGAATATATGAAACCTGTTGTTAGATTCTTCTATAAAAATGAAATTTTGGAGATATCGGTAGTAGGTCTGTGAATATCTTCTAAATGAAAAGTGTTTGCTTTTACTTTTTGGTGTTTAATTCAAGAACATCAGAACGTGGCCATTGTGTATAATCACCCAACTTAGGCTGTGTATTTCTCGAGTGGGAGTTCAAAATAAGATGGTTTTTTTTTTTTTTTTGAGGCGGAGTCTCGCTCTGTCGCCCAGACTGGAGTGCGGTGGCAGGATCTCGGCTCACTGCAACCTCCACCTCCGGAGTTAATGTGATTCTCCTGCCTCAGCCTCACAGGTAGCTGGGATTACAGGTGCCCACTACCACACCCTACTAATTTTTGTGTTTTTTAGTAGAGACAGGGTTTCATCATCTTGGCCTCCCCAAGTGCTCGGGTTACCACACCTGGCCACAGTAAGATGATCCTTTGATGAGAGAATTGGTCGTGTGTTCTCTGCACTTTTTTGTTTGGTTCGGTTTTCAACCAATGTCCCCCACCCCCTACCCACCCCTGTTTTCACGTTGCAGATCTAAAAACACATCATTGCCTTTATTCTTATTATTTATTTTGCTATCAAGGAACACCAGACCAAGTACTGAGCACATTCTCTCTTGCACTCATTTTGTGTGTGCTTGCAGGTGTGTGTGCTTGCAGGTATGTGTGCTTGCAGGTGTGTGCTTGCAGGTGTGTGTGCTTGCAGCTGTGTGTGCTTGCAGCTGTGTGTGCTTGCAGGTGTGTGTGCTTGCAGGTGTGTGCTTGCAGGTGCGTGTGCTTGCAGGTGTGCGTGCTTGCAGCTGTGTGTGCTTGCAGGTGTGTGTGCTTGCTGCTGTGCGCTTGCAGCTGTGTGTGCTTGCAGGTGCGTGTGCTTGCAGGTGTGCATGCTTGCAGCTGTGTGTGCTTGCAGGTGTGTGTGCTTGCTGCTGTGTGCTTGCAGCTGTGTGTGCTTGCAGGTGTGTGTGCTTGCTGGTGTGTGCTTGCAGCTGTGTGTGCTTGCAGGTGTGCGTGCTTGCAGCTGTGTGTGCTTGCAGGTGCGTGTGCTTGCAGCTGTGTGTGCTTGCAGGTGTGTGTGCTTGCAGGTGCGTGTGCTTGCAGCTGTGTGTGCTTGCAGCTGTGTGTGCTTGCAGCTGTGTGTGCTTGCTGGTGCGTGTGCTTGCAGCTGTGTGTGCTTGCAGGTGTGTGTGCTTGCAGCTGTGTGTGCTTGCAGGTGCGTGTGCTTGCAGCTGTGCGTGCTTGCAGCTGTGCGTGCTTGCAGCTGTGTGTGCTTGCAGGTGTGTGTGCTTGCAGGTGCGTGTGCTTGCAGCTGTGCGTGCTTGCAGCTGTGCGTGCTTGCAGCTGTGTGTGCTTGCAGCTGTGTGTGCTTGCTGGTGCGTGTGCTTGCAGGTGTGTGTGCTAGCAGGTGTGTGTGCTTGCTGGTGCGTGTGCTTGCTGGTGCGTGTGCTTGCAGGTGCGTGTGCTTGCAGGTGTGTGTGCTTGCTGGTGCGTGTGCTTACGGGTGTGTGTGCTTGCAGGTGTGTGTGTGCTTGCAGGTGTGTGTGTTTGCTGGTGCGTGTGTTTGCAGGTGCATGTGCTAGCTGGTGCGTGTGTTTGCAGGTGCGTGTGCTTGCAGGTGTGTGTGACTGGCGTGTTGTTGTCCACATTTTGAGAGGGGGAAAATTATTTTTTTCTAGTGTAATCTCCTTTCAATTTATTTTTCTGTTCTGAAAGAACAAAGGAACTATTATTAAGTTCAAGTACTAAGAATACTACTGTCCAGATTAAGTAAAGATAATCAGTTAGTTTGGGGGATGGGAGAATTAGTCAACTATACCAAGCTGCAGACATCTAATTATTCTGTGTCTTCATTCTCCCCTTCTTCCCTTTAGGATTATAACCCTCTGAACTGTTGTAGGGCTCTTGGCCACCCTAATAGAGACCACATCTGGAGCTGTGCATGTAAACATTGGTGACAGACACACAAGTGAAAATAATGTGTGTAAATTCCAGATACATATATGAAAATAAGCGGTTTGCCCTGCACACAGCCTTTCTCCCTGTCCAGGGTCAAGAATGTGGGAGTGTGGTGGTGATCTGAGTTCCAGTGTGCAGGTGCAACACACTCAATAACAGCGCATGAACCAACGCTATATATATATAGAAGTCACCTAGATTGGGGGAAGCACTATTGAGAAGGTATGCCTCACTGCCCTCTACTGCCTGCCCACGCATGGACTCCCATATGAAACAGAAACAATCTTCCATCTTGTTCGAGTGATGTTATTTTTGTCTCTTTATTGCACCGTTAACCTTTACCCTAACTCTCACCGTTCTAACCATACCTGCTATCCCATAACCTTTTTCTTTTTCTGGGATCCCTCCAGGTGCTTCCGACCCTCTGAGAAACATCAGCCACATTGCTAGGTTTGTTGGAGTGATTTCCCTCTGGCCAAGACTAACTTAAGATCTACGCTACTATGGGAACAAGATTAAATCTTAAATGCAAAAATCATTTTTAAAAATTGTACACCATATATATGGCATATGTATGTTATATACACACATCATATATTTGTATATACTATATATGTATATACTATATATTTGTATATACTACATATCATTTTATTCTAGCTGTCCCAAAATACATATACAGTGTGAACATGTGTCTCTTATTCTTACTCTTTTTTTTTTTGTGAGATGGAGTCTTGCTCTGTTGGCCAGGCTGGAGTGCAGTGGCATGATCTTGGTTCACTACAACCTCTGCCTCACAGGCTCAAGCGATTCTCCTGCCTCAGCCTCCCAAGTAGCTGGGATTACAGGCATGTACCACCATGCCTGGCTAATTCTTGCATTTTTAGTAGAGACAGGGTTTCACCGTGTTGGCCAGGCTGGTCTCAAACTCCTGACCTCAGGTGATCCAGCCCCCCGAAGTGCTAAGATTACAGACGTAAGTCACCACACCCAGCCTCTTATTCTTTAAAATCAAAGCATTGCTAAAACTAGAAATGAATAATAGGATATCTAGATTTTAGTAAATTTTACTGTTAATTGCTATTATTTTGTATTTCTCTGTGAGCTTCAATATTTAGTAAATAATATTGTCTCAAATATTAATGAAAATATCAAGTATGGTTTAACATGTTTTCTCAGTCCTGGTATCATCTCTCTCCTTGACATTTTTCAGGTTATAAATATCACAGAATATGATAAGATATGCTAATAGATTAATAAAGTAAGTCATACTTTATACTATGAAGATATCACTAAGGCTTTTATTAATATGTTTCTTATTCCTTAATTTAAGAATTTAAATATAAATGAAAAAAAATCTGATAAATCCCACCTTCAACAGCGTTGGCTGAAAATGTTAATCAGTCTGACACTCCTCACAGTGTAACTTTAAAATGCCTTTAGAAGCTCTGGTAGTCCCTGCCATTGGCAGAGGAGGGGAGCCCTATGTGTACTCATGCATTGAAATATGTAGTGTTCCTATTTTTTTTTAGTACTTTGAACTTTGCTTATAAATGACACAATTTTGTGATTCTCTTCCAAACTGTTGAAGTTGAGAAGCCATAGCATCAATTCCAGATCAGCAGCCTCTCAGTTTTAGGTCATGAGATGTTTTAGAGCAGAAATACGATCTGATTAATCTTTTTATCCTCCATGGCTGGCACAGTCCGTATTATACAGCCAACACTTCTTCATTCAGGAAACAGTTAGTGAATGCCTTCTTTGTGTCAGGAATTATCCTAGGAACTGGTGAGAGAATCATGAACAGACAGACAAAGAGGGAACACACATTCTTCTAGCAGTAGGAAAAGAGAAAACAAAAAAATGAACAAATAAATATACACAATGCACAATTGCAGTAAGAAAAATTAGGTCAAGCAGATAAAAAGTTTCTTGAGTACACGGCAAGGGTGGCCACAACTGGCCTGTCTGAAAAGGTCACATTTGAACCTAAATAAAACAGATAGGGAAGAACATGTAGTGGATTGAAGAGGGCTGCAAATTGTGTCCTAATCCTCCCCTTGAAAGGTGTTCTCAGAATCCTCCCCTGAACCTTGCTGTGATGTACAGTCTATAGAAGAAACCATGCTCTGTGAGTTCCCAGGTGGGAACCTTGGAGATCTGTAGCTTCCACTGTTATGATCCTGGAACATTCCTTCTTGTAACGCAGCCACCATGTTATAAGAAGTTCAAGCCACATGAACAGGCCACATGGAGGAGGACCTACCTCCAGCTGAGCATCCAGATACCAGCTGCTACCAGCTGCCTGCAGGTGAATGAGCCATCTGTTGTGTTTCTGCTCAGTTGAGCCTCCTCCAGGTGAGTGCGTCCCTGACACCACATGTGAAAGAAGAACTGCCCAGCTGAGCCCAGTCCATCCAGAGGATAGTGAAAGATAATACATGTCTTTATTGTTTTAAGCTACCAAGTTTCAGTATGATTTATTACACAGCCACATGTATCTAAATCAAGTATTTTAAGACAACATAGAGCAAATGCAGAGGAATCAAGGTGAGATTGTACTGGGCACTTTCCAGAACAGCAAGGAGAGCATTACGATTAAAGTGAAGTTACTAAGTGGGAGAATTTTAGCACAGGGAGCCAGAAGCAAGATCATGTATGATCTTCTATTCCAGGAGTCACCAAACAATTTGGTCCACAAGCAGCCTGCACTGGGTTTGTAAATAAAGATTTTATTAGTGCAAAGCCACACCCATTTACTTAAGCATCTTCTGTGGCTGCGTCCATGCTCCAGTGGCAAATGTGAGAAGTTACAACAGAAGTCACATGGCCCTACGTAGTCACATAAGACCTACGCTATTTATTACTTGGCCACATTCAGAAAAAGTTTGCCAAACCCGACCATTGGAACCCCTTGCAGTGCTCGAGCAGAGGACTGGCATGATATGGCTTATGATTTACAAAGAGCTTCCTGGCTGCTGTGTAGAGAATTAACTGAAATGGAAAAGACAGAAACAGGGAGAGTATTAAAAAGGCTGGAGTCATAAGATGACTAAGTACAATTGGTAGAGGTTGTGAAAATTGGTCGATGCAAGATATAGTTTGAAGGCTGTATTGCTGGCTTTTAGGTTGATTAGATGTGACCAACTTCAAGGATGACTCCAGATTATTTTGGCTTTAACAACTGATCAATTCAGCCAGTAAAAAGTAGTTGAGTAAATTATTTTTGATATAGCAATTGCCAAAAAGGCATATGTTTTTGCTATACCATGTAGCTATATTTTACTTGTTTTCAAATGAGATTAATTTGTCAATAGTGAGTGTATAAACCAATATTTCCATGGAAAGTCTGGACAGACAACATTACTTTTTCTATTACAGCAACACATTTTGTTGTTGAGTTTTCATTTGCTAGGACTGAACATTCATCTGTGGGACCATTCCCTGAAAGCAGCGCACTGGGGCATCAGGAGAGACAGCCTGTAGGGTTCCTGCTATGTCAGCCGTCGGTCTCTGGAGGAAGTCCCTCTAGGTCTGAGGGTCTTGTATGTTACCAGGTAACCACTAATGGTGCGGTTCTTTGTCTTTCTTGGGAGTGATTTGTCTATTCTTAACCATTTTGGACATGGTTGCTTAAGCACACTAACAAATCGTAACATGAAGAGACACTTTTCAAAAGAAGGCATACATGCAACCAGCAAGCATATGAAAAAAGGCTCAATATCAGTGATCATCAGAGAAATGCAAATCAAAACCTCAGTGAGATACCATCTCACACCAGCCAGAATGGCTTTTATTCAAAAGTTAAAAAAAAAAGAACAGATACTGACAAGGTTGCAGAGAAAAGGGAACTCTTATACACTGTTGGTGGGAGTGTAAATTAGTTCAATCATTGTGGAAAGCAGTGTAGTGATTGCTTAAAGAGCCAAAAACAGAACTACCATATGACCCAGCAATCCCATTACTGGGTCCATACCCAAAGGAATGTAAATCACTCCACCGTAAAGACACATGCATGCTTATGTTCACTGCAGCACTGTTCACAATAGCAAAGAGAGGGAATCAAGCCAAATGCCCATCAATGACATAATGGATAAAGAAAATGTGGTATATACATACCATGGAATACTATGCAGCCATAAAAAAGAATGAGATCATATCCTTTCCAGCAACATGGATGGAGCTGAGGCTATTATCCTTGGCAAACTAATGCAGGAACACAAAACCAAATATTGCATGTTCTCACTTATAAGAAGGAGCTAAATGATGAGAACACGTGGACACAGAGAGGAGATCAACAGATACTGGGCCTGCTTGAGAGTGGAGGGTGGGAGTAGGGAGAGAATCAGAAAAAAACAGCTTTTGGGTAGTAGGCTTAATACCTGGGTGATAAAATAAGTACCTGGGTACAACAAACCCCTGATACACAAGTTTACCCATATAACAAATATGCACATATACCCCCGAACCTAAAGTTAAAAAATTAAAAATTAAAAAACAAATTGTCACATTTGTACACAAATGGCCTACTAGATTCAGAGGGGTTCAGTAGAGGGAGATCATGTAAAAATAACTGCACGTTGAGGCTCAACAAAGGGAGATGCTCCCTAGGAAACAGGAGGTGACGTGCATTAGATTCACAGAAGAGCAGACCCCACAGGGGGCTGTGTGTACCTCTCCACCAACCACGCAGTCCAGGTGCGAGGAAATCGAATGTGGAAAAAGACAACTCGTTTAACAAGCGACCTCTCACTACTGAGAAGCACCTTGCTGAGGAATATAGGCCTATAGCTGTCACTTCCAAATCCAGTAACTTTTAGTTTCAACACCAAAGTATGTGACCTGGCACCTCTCAGGAAATGGGAACCTTCTGAGAACCTGGAAACTTTCCCTTGATTAGAAGCAACACTATGCTTCATGGAAGCAAATTCCTCCTGTTCACAGTGAACCCTCCACAAAGAACCCAGCAGGCAGCTTCCTGGTCCTCCTTTGAAGAATCAGGTCATACATTTGCTGCAGCTGAATCCCATGAAAGCTACAGGAAATTGTTGAAGTGTGTCCACTCAACACAGGGCTCCTCAGTAAAGTTCTCATTTCTCTCAACAGGGTTTGTGTGATGATTTTTCCCTAAGGGCAGAGAAGGCGGACGAGAATCAGGCAGACAGTAACAAAGTGTCTGGGGGATGTGGCATAATGAGAATTGCTTCAGGAGGAGGAGCACTGGGCTCCCAGGCAGAGCCCAGGGCCTATGGCTGTCATTAAATGTGTTTCTCTTACCTTTGAAATGTTATCACCAAAAATGCAGGACTAGCACAGTTCTGCATAGTTTTTTGAACCAAATGAAAAGATGAGCTTATTGGTGTGTAACTGCAGCACAGCTGGGAAAATTAAAAAGAACTCAAAGAACTGCTGTTATCTCCATCTGATGGCAGCACCTCCACCCTAACCCTAAGACCGCCCAGTGGGAGCAGGAGGCTCCCGCCTCTGGAGTGCTGAAGATAAGAGTCGTCCCAAATCACAGCCCGAAATGAAAATTGGTATCAGATGCAATGATTGAGTACTGACAATTTTTCAAGCTTAGGAATGGCGTTTCTTTGCAGCTGCAAGGCTGACTTTTGTATTTATGAGCTCTTGGTGAGTACTGCGACAGGTTTATTATTTGTTGGCTTTTTCCAGCATTGCACGGTAAAAATTGTTTTCAAAGAGTATTCAAAAGCGAAGCTGGCTGTCACTGTAGCAAACCAAACCCATCCTCCGATATATTTCACTCCCTTGATTGATAACTGGCTCCATGGTTTGGCATTTCAGGAAAAGACTAGAAAGAGAACAAGTCTCTGAGGTCATTAATGCTTGTTCTCCCTCAGGCTCCCTTGGGCAGCTGCTTGTGTCATTATCCACAGTTCTTACCGCTGATCTCAACAAGTCCTTGCTGGCCCCAAACACTGGATTGTCACCAGGTAGCCTTTGCATTTCCTGCACTCCTCTTATTCTGATCACTGCCTCCGCACAGGTACTGAAGGGGCTGCCTCCTGGGGAGAGTCCTCAAAGCCCCAGGTTTGGTTGGACCCTCAGATCACAGCTTTTCAAAAGGAGCCTTCCTGGCAGCTTCCCACACTCAAACGAGGAGCGGAAAGCGGTGAGAACTCTTTGCTGCTGGAAGCGGCACAGGACACAAGAGAGTGTCTAGCTTGAAATGGGCGTTCACCTGCGCATCCTGCGAATCCGTTTCCACGGCCATTTGATGTCATTATTCTTGATGTCCCACCTATTGTGCCGTGAGTTAGCACAGAGGAGAGCCATCACTGTTCCTCTAGTTACAGCATCGAACAACCTGCTCTGCTGTCAGGGAGAGAGGCTGTTATTTTCTATTGCTGTAAAAAAGCTCAGTGCCGTGGATGAAATGTCAGGAATCGTTAAACCAAACCAGCCCCCGAAGAAAGGGCAGTCAGTGATCATGAAACTGGGATCTCTAATTAACCAGAACAGGAAACTTGGGGAATTTGGGCTGCATGTGTGATTGGAGGAGTGTGTGGAAGTCTCCTCAGAGCCCTTCCCTGGTTTGCCTCATTTCAGAGATTCCTCGAGCTCCAGATGGATTCAAAATCCCTAATAGGTCTCAGATCCTGCTGAGGATTCAGCATAAAGTGTTCTTGTCACTTGTCAGAGACCTGCGGGTGTTGCCGTGGTGCTGGAAGAGTGAACTTTTGCAGAACATTTAAATTAAACACAAATATCCTTTCCATCTGTCCTCTATGGAATATGCTTTTCTAGGCAAAAGTGTTTTTTCCCCAAAATTCTTACTTTTCCAATTGGAGAGTAAGAAATCTAAGCCCTTCAAATTTCTTTTCTTTCTATTGAGTGCTATTATACTTTGTCTATAGCATTAAAGGATTTATTTTTTATTGCTTGGGGAAACAGTTCAATATGACATTATTAAATGATATGGAGTGGAAAGTGTAAACCAACTTTTAAATGTGCTTCAGTCAATGGAGGTAAATAATGACGGTTCGGGGATCCTTCCAGCGTCTTCGCTGACTGCTCAGGAGGCTTTGGGGTCTGGGGAGTCAAACGAGGAAACGTTGTGAGGCACCATCTCGGCAGCTGTAGGGAGAGCTGAGATTCGGCCTGACGTGGCTCTCCACCACCCTAGCATTCTCAACAACTTTGCAAATAAAACCTACACTTCTATTTGCTTTATTTTACATATAAATGTGTGTGTGTGTTTGCATGTGTGTATTTTCCCCCAAAATATATGTGAAAAATATATTTGCAAAAATTCTGTGGTAGGCTATCATACGAAAATATGGATTCTAAAGAATCTTTGCTATGCTCTGATTTTTGTAAAATCCATTTTATTGAGTTAAATTTATATATAATTTACCCATTTTAAGTGTACAGTTGATGGGTTTTGACAAGTATATATACTCCAGTAACCATAAGCACAATGAAATTATAGCAGTTTTCCAGCTCCCATCAAATCAATCCCCTTTGAAGTCAATCCCCTTCTCTAGCCTCAGCTCCTGGCAACCACTGATCTACTTTCTGTCCTTAAAGTCTTGCCTTTCCTGCAGTGTCACATAGATGGACCCACTTCTGCAGGGTGTTTGTTTCTGGCGTCTATCACTTACCATCTTGCTTCCAGGTTCACCTGTGCCGTTTTGCTGTCAGCTGTTCTTTCTCATTTGCTGAGTGAATTTCTCATGCAGGTGTCCCACGATACATTCGTCCATTCCCCAGCGGATGGGCACTGGACTGTGTCTCATCTCTGGCCATTAAAAATACAGTTGCTACGAATGTTTGTGCACAGGGCTCCTAGAAGCAGAGGAGAGGAAGGCACATGAACACAGACCGAGGGAGGGCAAGGAGGGAAGGCCATCACCTGCACATCAACGAGACAGACCCCAGAAGAAACTGGCCCTGCCAACACCTTGATCTTAGACTTCCAGCTTCCAGGACTGTGAGGAAATACATGTCTGTGGTTTAAGCCACTCAGTCTATGGTGCTTTGCTATGGCAGCCATGGCAAACTAATGCATTCACTCACTCCTTTACTTCATCAAACAATCATTTACAACAGCTCTCCTCTGCTGGGCGCCACTCAAGGCTCTGGGCAGATGGCATCCTGCTCTACAGAGCCAACCTTCCAGGGGTCGGCAACACGTAATAAAAGGAAACAAGCAAACAAGACAAAACAAGATGAGACAATCATGTAAGGTTAGACGCTATGATGGAAAGAAAACAGGAGACTGTGCTAAGCAGGGATGCGGCCACTCGGGACTGGGAGAGCAGGAAGGTGGCAGAAAGAATACAAAAAATTTTAACCCCAGAGCAGAGCCACAGGAGACAGGCCTCGAGGTGACCCTGGGAAGAGGACACAGGAAGCCTGAGCTGCAGTGACAAGCACAAGGGAAGATGCTCAGCCACTGAGTGTCAGCTTGGTGTCAAGCTCCATGCGCCAGACACTGTCACTGTCGTCACAAGGATGCAGGATCGCTACCTCCCCCTTCACAGAAGGGGAGACTGAGGCTAACTGGGGGCGTGTCCTTCCCACACTCTCCCAAACCCACAGACCTGAACTCACACGGGAATGTATATCTTGGGGGTAACCAAAGGCTTTTCAACAGGTGCGAGACTTCGTATAAGAGAGATCACTTTCAGATCCTAGCTTCATTTTAGTTTCTCCTAAAATTAATCTCCCTGAGAACAAGCCTGACATGAAAGAACTGGCCTTTCCTTTCCTGCCTCCCCGTTCCCAGTTGGAAAGCACGTCTTCCCAGGTATGAATCTTTCTGGGAGCCTGACCCAAGTTATAAAAACCTGGAGTAGCCCTAAAGGAAGGACGAGGGATATCACTGTTGAGAGAGTTCATGGCTCTGATGACGACTGCATGAAAATGACTCCGGGCCGGGCGCGGTGGCTCACGCCTGTAATCCCAGCACTTTGGGAGGCCGAGGCGGGCGGATCACGAGGTCAGGAGATCGAGACCATCCCGGCTAACACGGTGAAACCCCGTCTCTACTAAAAATACAAAAAATTAGCCGGGTGTGGTGGCGCGCGCCTGTAGTCCCAGCTACTTGGGAGGCTGAGGCAGGAGAATGGCATGAACCCGGGAGGCGGAGCTTGCAGTGAGCCGAGATCGCGCCACAGCACTCCAGCCTGGGCGACAGAGCGAGACTCCGTCTCAAAAAAAAAAAAAAAAAAAAAAAAAGAAAATGACTCCGATGACTGCGTGAAAATGCTTTCGTGGGCCAGGTAGGGTCCACTTCTTTGCTCTGGAGGAGAAGCTGCTAGATAATTACCTATGATTGTTGTTAATGTAAATGATTATGGAATTTTCAGCATATACTT
Organism: Homo sapiens; assembly: GCF_000001405.40. Classification (NCBI taxonomy): domain Eukaryota; kingdom Metazoa; phylum Chordata; class Mammalia; order Primates; family Hominidae; genus Homo; species Homo sapiens. Next base: position 189,370,137 of record NC_000004.12, on the reverse strand, counting down.
CAAAAGGATTTAAAACCATTGAGTGACGTTGCTATAAACAAACTCCTTCAATTTCCATCTACTTGTTTATGGGAACAAGGTTTTAGAAATTACATCTATAAAAGTGAAAAGTAGGAATAAAACGGATGTTGAATCCGACCTCATTGTAGCAGTAACATCTGTGGAAATGTGACCCACTGGAAAAAATAAGCTCCATTCATCTCATGAAGAGATGCATTTCCAATAATAACTGACTTCAGGTTTATCAATCACTTAAAATCTAAAAAATATTTATGTGTTTTTAAAATTGAGTTCTAATAATAACCGTAATGATAATACAATTCTGAAGAACTTCTTAAATATTTACGTGACTTATGGTCACATGAAATACTAAGTATAACAAATTTAAATTTATATCTAGAATATTGCTTGCAGAATATGATTGGGTTATCAATAAAAGACTTTTAAGCACAAGTATGTTACATAAAAAAAATTCTGTGAGGATGAAAATGGATTTAAGGAGAAAAAAGCAATGTAAAATTTCTGGCTGTGAGAAAAGCTTATTTATAAAGGCTTAGTTTTATATAGTACGTAAATATCACTGGATATACTTAAGCTAATAATGTAATCAATTATTTAAATTTTTCAGTATTAAAATAGGCTGGAAATTAAATCCTTTACAACTGCCTGAATTTAGGATAATTTTTTAAAATAACCAACTCATCTTCAGTGTTACCAGGTCAATGCTTGGGTCCCAATCTCAGTGTACTTTCGCCTATGTTGACTTCTTCATAGGACTCATAATCTTATTTATATAAGATATAGCCACCCTGAGACTACTTAGTTCAGAGTTGCTCTTTGACCATCTATTCCTCTCACAGTCTTAACCCTTTCCACTCCAGTAAACATTCTTCTTGATGGCTTATATTATAAATTGCAATGTGACTAGGGCTGCATGTTTGCATGAGGCATGGAGCAAGATATCATGCAGTGGTTGTAACTCTGCTTCTAGATTCTAGATTGGGATCCAGATTCTACATCTTCAGAGCTGGTTTTTGGACAGTTTTAGTTTTTAACTTTTTTGTGCCTCATTTTTTACATTTTGAAATGGGTATAATCATAGCAGCTACTTCATTGGGTTGTTGTGAGGAGTGAATAAGTTAACACATGTAAAGTGTATAGAGGTGTGATTAATACATAGGGTGATATTGTTATTAATTTTTATATGGAGCTTGTAGAGTTGCTCATTACTTTATAGACACCTGTGTAAGTCAGTATCTATGCATGCTGTAAGACTCACTAAAACTTAGTGAATGCACGTTATCACATTTTTTAGAATTGCTAATTTGGCCTTTGATATATATCCATGCAAAATACCTTTAAATTCCATACAGCGTAAGCATTTCGTGTAGTGTTTCAATTTCACTTGAGTACAAAGTTTATCTACCTTATTTTTCAAACTATTTTTTTTGTAACCAAAGACATATTGTCCATAAGCAATGTGAAGCCTTTTTATGATTGTGAAAGAATGACTTAGGGCTTGTCTATTTAGGGTGGAATTTAAAAAGTTATCAGATTACTTAGTGAGTGATCAGCATCCCCTTTTCTTTTGAATAGCTGTTTCTAATCTTGTGGTAAAAAAAAGAACTGATTAATTTCCTCCCTCGTTGTATACAGGAGTGAACAAAGCAATCAGTAATCAGAAGCTCAGATTTAAATCTTCTGTTGGGTGTGAATGGCAACTTTGTGCCCGTCTCTAACTTCCTTCACTTTCTCTGTGGCCGTCACACTGTGTCCCTTGCTCGTGGCGAATTTCCCTGCCCTCATTTTCTTTCTTTTTTTTTTTTTTTCCAATGTTACAGGCTAACCCAAGTGGTTAAAGATTGAGCCTGCATGTTGTATGTGCAGACACACCATGTCACCTGACCCAAATTATTGTTCATGAGGTCTCATCATTCATGTGATTTTACAAGACGCAGATAAAATGTTTGGAAATTCCAGTGCTTTCTGCCTTGACTACTCACTGTCTGCAGAGCAAAAGTCATGTAAAAATCTGTTTTGTTGCTGAAATATTGAAAAGGAGAGTACTGTGTAGCAATTATGACATTGTACTGGAATGATTTATATCATTACGTAATATTCCTTTTACCTAGAACACTAGCATATACTTCATATGACCATCTCTTTTGAAGTGGGAAGATAATCAAGACAAATATTAATGTTATAAAATCAGGAAATTATTTGCTTAGGATCTTTACAGCTGGTTTGTGGTGGACATGGCCGTGAAAGCAAAGTACTGCTCAATTTAGAGGGCATTTTGCTCATGCAGTGTCCATCAGCATCACCAATCCAATGTGGGCACGCCAGGGGATTATCAGAGCCCGTTCCTCGTTCACTCAGAAAGTGTTGCTGAGTATCCATGTCCAGGTGCTATAACTAACACATGCTGATGGTCTGGGTGCTTTTTTTTTTTTTTTTTAAATCCTCCAATTTTTCCCTCTCAAATAGCTGGGACCACAGTCATGCACCACCATGCCTGGCTAATTTCTGTATTTTTTTTGTAACGATGGGATCTCACCATGTTGCCCAGGATGGTCTCTAACTCCTGGGCTCAAGCGATACTCCCACCTTGGCTTACCAAAGTGCTGGGATTACAGGAGTGAGCCACTACACCCAGCCAAGGGTCCTTTTTAAAATTAACTTAATTTTAAGAAGCGAGGTTGGGCTCCTGTATTTTATTGAAAGTTAATCTAGTGCTAGCTAATAAATACTTTCATTTCAAAGAAAAGCCTGGATGATCTTTCATGTCTCTCTTTCTGAAAGATATTTAAATTCTCTGTTACTTCTTCCTAAGCAAACCAGATCTACTTGTTATAAGGCTATTTTTGTTGGAGAAATTGATACAAGTCTTTTTATTTATTTTTAACTTGTGGGGCCCTTTAATTTATGCCATTTCCTTTAATATGTGCAGGCACCATGTCCAACATATTATTGAAAGACTTTGGCTATAGAATTTCTTATTCTTGTTAGTGTGACTTTCTGAAAGCTCAATATTTGGTATGGCATTATAAGCATTTACTAGTTAACAAGACCTACTATTCCAAATTTCCTCTAATAATGAAAGTTCTTTTAGTTGTCACATTTTATATATCTGATATGAATTTAAATATTAAGTGGTGGAATATTTCATATTATTTTCTTATATTCCTAGTTATTAAATTTTAAATTATCTTACTTTTAATATTAAGTAAAATACTATTATTTAAATGTTAATTTAAAATTTCTATTTAAAAGGGTATTAATCAATTAAAATAGTACTAATTTTCTTCAATTAGTTTCGGATTAAGTCAAATAATACACGAAGGCATTTTAATTATAAAAGATTCAAGCAATCCACATAAAGTTATGTGAAGACCTTCACTCTTCTCTTCTTTTTTTAATCTACTCATTTTCCCAGAAGTTCCACTATTAATAGTTACTTGTGTTCCTTTTGAGCCTTCTCCTGATACATTATGGAGGGATCCGTGTTACATATATCACACACGCACACATTAATACACCAATTTTTAAGTACCCCTCAACTTGTACTTTTGGTGTAAAACATGGACTAAATTAGGATTGTCTATTTTTTGTTTTGTTTTTTGAGATGGAATCTCACTCTGTCACCAGGCTGGAGTGCAGTGGCGCCATCTTGGCTCACTGCAACCTCTGCCTCCTGGGTTCAAGTGATGCTCCTGCCTCAGCCTCCCCAGTAGCTGGGACTACAGACACGTGCCACCACACCCACCTAATTTTTTTTTATTTTTAGTAGAGACAGGGTTTCAGCATGTTGGCCAGGATGGTCTTGATCTCTTGACCTCGTGATCTGCCTGCCTCAGCCTCCCAAAGTGCTGGGATTACAGGCGTGAGCCACTGCACCTGGCCTCTCTCATTATTTTTTATTTATCCTTCTTGACACTCAGTGGCCCTTATAAATTTGGAGACTTGAGTTGTTTTTCAGCTTTTAGAAATCGATTTCTATCATTTCTGTAATTATTTCCACTTTCCATTGGCACTTCTCCCATGGGCATTTCTAAGATTTTGGAATATTCTTTGTGCTTCTAACTCTCAAACACTTTCCACATTTGGATCTTTTGGCTAGTTTCCTGGGAGAATCTTTTTAAAAATATTTCAACTAATTTGCTTTTCAATTGAGTGCATTTTACCTTTTAGATCACCCATGAATTTTTTGACAATTATATTTAAAAGATTCTGAGATCACCAGGTATTTCTTTGTAAGGTATAAATAATCTTCTCTAATATCCTTGTCATAATTAGTTACACTTGTTATATTTATTAATTAGGTTGCTGTTAGTGCTTCTTTCCATCGAGTTTGGTGTATTTGACTCCTGGCACAGGGTTTGCCCAAATGCTTGTGGATTTGTCTTTTCCTTTGAAATCCTTGTCCACTGGGCTCTTGTGTTTCTAGGAGTCAGTCATGGTCCATTGGGCTCTTGTGTTTCTAGGAGTCAGTCATGGTCTGTTGGGGTCTTCTGTTTCTAGGAGTCAGTCGTGGGTAGCAACTGCAGGTGAGGCGCTATTTGAGGGCTCTCAGGATGGATGAGTTCTTTCTCGGATGCTAGCAGCTCCCTGGGCACGCTCCTCATTCTCTTGCTCAGGAAATCTCACTTCCTGCCTTCTCAGGGGCAAATGCTCTTCCCGACCACTGCTCCGTAAAGGGGAAGAAGATGTAGGGGCCAGAGGGGTCCAGGTGCTTCTGTTGTGGTTACCATGTTAACTACCCACCACAACTATCCCAGAGCAGTTTTTATCTGTGGAGCCTTAACTCGGAGCTCCTCAAAACCCATGTCTAGTCAATAGCATTTTCTCATAATTGTCTTTCAGATTTCTTCCAGGCTGTTTTCCCCCATATTCTTTCTTTGTTGGCTTAATACACTTTCTTTCTTTTAGGAATTCTGCAGGCCTCCTGCTGTGGATTGAATATTTCTGTCCCTCCACAATTCTTATATGGGCCCCCTAGTCCCCATTGTGATGGTATTTGGAGACAGGGCCTTTGGGTGCAGATGTTATGAGGCCAGAGACCTCATGGTGGGATTAGTGTTCTTATGAGAAGACCATGAGAGCAGGCTTCCTCTCTGCTCCCCCTGCCACGTGGGACACAATGAGGAGACAGCACGTCTCACGCGGATGCAGCCTTCACCAGGCACTGCATCTGCCAGCGATTTGGTCCTCTCAGCCTACAGAACTTTGAGAAATAAATGTGTGTTGTTTAAGCCACCCAGTCTGTGGTATTTTTCGTTATAGCATCCCAAACTGATTTAGAGACCTTCTTATACTCTTTCTTGAATTTTTTTTTCCTTTTTTAAAAAATTCTATTATTTCATGAGAGGTAGGATAGAAGTGATTTGCTCACTCTGATTGTTGGCTGGTTTGTTTCTCTCCTGAATTTTCAGCAGTAAACACAGGGCACACCACTGGGCTACATTGTTCCTGAGGGAACTGGCTCACAGCAAAGTGGGGTGGACACAAAGGTTGTCGCATCTCCCCGAGGTTTCCAGTTCTGTGCGTTCTCCCACTCTGGAAGACTCAAGAATCTTAAAAATCATTTATGTGCAATTCTAAAAGATGAAGTAGTTATTTCCTGGGGGAGTCTACATTTTTGAAAGAATCTAAGTCACGTCTTAAAGCGTTGCACGTACTTACAAGCAATCTGGGAAAGTTACAGGCAAAGGTAAAGGGCCGGGAGGTCACAGGCAAAGGTAAAGGGCCTGGAGGTCACGCACATTCCCGCCAGTAGGCCACGTACACTGCCGCCACGCGGTCACGCACACTGCCGCGGGAGTTCACGCACACTGACGTGGGAGGTCACGCACACTGCCGCCGGGAGGTCACGCACACTAACGTGGGAGGTCACGCACACTGCCGCGGGAGTTCACGCACACTGACGTGGGAGGTCACGCACACTGCCGCGGGAGGTCGCGCCCACTGCCGCCGGGAGGTCGCGCCCACTGCTGCCGGGAGGTCGCGCCCACTGCCGCCGGGAGGCCGCGCACACTGCCGCTGTTGTGTGGGTTTGTGTTGAAGGTAAAGGGCCGGGAGGCCGCGCACACTGCCGCTGTTGTCCGGGTTTGTGTTGAAGGTAAAGGGCCGGGAGGCCGCGCACACTGCCGCTGTTGTCCGGGTTTGTGTTGAAGGTAAAGGGCCGGGAGGCCGCGCACACTGCCGCTGTTGTCCGGGTTTGTGTTGAAGGTAAAGGGCCGGGAGGCCGCGCACACTGCCGCTGTTGTCCGGGTTTGTGTTGAAGGTAAAGGGCCGGGAGGCCGCGCACACTGCCGCTGTTGTCTGGGTTTGTGTTGAAGGTAAGGAACATCCGTGCTCATTTTCAAACTTAGGTTTACGTGTTCTCCCCAGGTTCTTTTGTTCTTTTGTCATATCAAAGAGGTCTTGAGTTACTGGTGTTCAATCAAAGAGGACAAATGTATCATTATTATATCTTAACATCCTATTTATTATTAATTACATGCTAGTGCTATTCTGGAAGGCCCCAGAAGTTCCAGATAGTGAATCTTAGTTGAAAATGTATTATTACATAATTTGAATAAGAAATATTTTGTTAAATTCACAACATATTGATGGAGAATCAACTTATTCATTTTGATACAATAAGCTTTTATATTTTAGAGTTTCTGAAAACACATAGTTTTTTTCTTAATATTATAGATTATGCTAAAGATAACTTGGAAATCAGTTGGTCAAATGCCCTAATTTAATAGACAAGGACATGAAGGTAAAGAAATAAGATAGGTGAAGTATGCTCACTCAACTGGCCGTCGGCTGCAAATGGAAAGCAAAGTTTTACTCCAGCCCCCAAGTCCTCATTCTTTCCATCCTGACATGCTGCACACAAGGAGAGCTTCCAGTGAATATTTGTCCCTAATCAGGAATTATTCCAAAGAGCAAACCTGAGTATAAGAAATTAAAGAAACTATTTTCTTTTTCATCAAATCTCTTTAATAAACTTTAAAAATAGCATTTCCAGTAACTCGTGCCTGATTTCTCTGGAACAAAAAGAAAGCAGAAAGTAAAACAGGAAATACACAGGCAGTCCTTGAACTGATGGAATCATTTTAACAAATATTAAACAGTGAATAGCACATTATATTTTTACTGCGTGCAGCTTATGTCTTATTTTTTACATTTTACTTAATGGTCCCTGACTTTTCTGATACTTTTTGTAAGCAGAAACAAAATAATGGGGTGCTTTTTCATGAAACTAGGTCACCCCTCATAATCACTACCACAAGTTACATATTCATGCTTAAATGTAGCAATTGTTTTTCAATCAGAAGTTGAAATGATGTATCATGTGGGGACTCTTTCCTCGCAAATGGTAATAAATTCTTTAGAAAAATGCTCACTGGGAGGAAGAGTTATGGTAACTCACTGGAGGCAAATGCTTCTTAGATATCATATGGAATTAATGCAGTGACCCAAAATGTGAGTGTGCGTGTGTATGTGTGTGTGTGAGACTGTGTGTGTGAGTGTGTGCGTATGTCTGCGTGTGTATGTGTGGTGTGTGTGCGTGTGTGTGTATGTGGGTGTGTATGTGTGTGTGAGTGCGTGTGTATGTGTGGTGTATGAGTGTGACTGGTGTGTGAGTGTGCGTATGTGTGGTGTATGTGTGTGAGTGTGTGACTGAGTTGTGTGATGTGTGTGAGTGTGCGTGTGTATGTGTGGTGTGCCAATGTGTGCTTGACAACACAATTTATGCAATCTGGAAAATGTCAGTCTTTCAAAATGATAAAAATGTTTGAATTGCTTAAAAAATCAGTCATTTGGCATAAAGTTAAACACTTAAAACAGTGGAAATAATATTAGCAATAGCTTAACCAAGTGCTGTTTATATGCTAGACACTTTTATAAACTTTTACTTTTGATTTAATCCATTCAATCCTTACACTACAGGACAGACATTACCGTTACTCCCATATTAGAGGGGCATGGAAACTTGCTCAAAGTCAAACATCAGGGAAGTCACAGAGCCGGGGTTGCAGCCAAGCCGTCCGACTTGCCATTCAAGCCTTCAACTGTCTCCAGGCTAACCCTCCCAGAGCGCCTCACCCCCTTTACTTTCCTATCCAGCAGCCAGTATTGTTACCAGAAGCCTAGGAGTACTCAGGATTTTATGTACTTTAAGTTGACGTGTGTGTGTGTGTGTGTGTGTGTGTGTGTGTGCGCGCATGTAGGAAGGTAATGGTAGTGGTGGTGGATTTTTAAATTGTTTTTTTTGGTAGTGAATTCATTTGTGATCTACTTTTTGATAATTTAAACAATCTAACTTCTTAATTCTTTTCCCCCACCTGAGTGGTTTCATCTTAATTTCTTTCTCTTCAATATATTCTTTCTTCGGTAACAGTAAGTGATTAACATGTATTGTCCCATGTTCTAGAGTCTTGATTTTGTTTTAACTGTATTGTCTAGGATCTCAAATTATAAGGTATGAATACATTGCATTATCTAATTTTAATTTGGAAAATATTATATGCATATTCTTGGTAAATACCTTATTAATTTAAATCAGCTTTTAGGAAGAACTTTGTCAAATTCGATATCAGCATATATTAGAGTTCTCTTCAATCAATAAAAAACTTTTTGCACCATTCCCTCAAGTGGATGCAGTATTCTCAAGTGTCCGTCATGGAGCAGGGACTTTCTTTGTTTACTGTTGAATCCATCCTCGCCGCCTCTCACACACTCTGGCATCGTAGGCATTAAATGAATATCACAATGAATGAACCAATTGCCAGCATTTGCCTGCAACTGTTATATTATCTGTGCACTTTATGACTTTGTTTAGATGATTTTAAATGCTGAGATCTTTCCTTTTTGATATTTTGCACTAAACATCTAAGAGTATAGATGGCAAATTTCCTCTGACTAGGATCATATACTCTTTTTATAACATAATATTGCTATGAGGATGCAAATTAATATTTTTCAACTGTCCATTATAGTACCTGGGACATGATAGGGTTTAAATAAATGGTAGCTATTAAGAGGTTGAAAAATCAATACAACATGCAAAACATTCTCACGTGAAGTCCTATGGATGAGGGAGCAGTGCATTCCACTGGACGTGGCAGGCTGAATCACACACACTTCCCCACGCACAGCTCTGGTTATACTGCTGTACTTTTGTTCTGGGGAAGCTCTAATAGTGTAACCTAAACTGTAGGACCTCAGCTGCATGTCATGAAAGCTAGAAATCTCTTTCTCGCCCAGCAAGTCCTCGCTCAGGGAAGCCAGGCCAGGGCTGTCCTTGACCATCCCTCTCCAATATGCTGTGTGCCCTGCCTTCTCTATTGAGGGGTTGTGGGGATCTGATTACTCTCTGATCTTCCTTCTCTTACAGATCTGTCAGGTTTCAGAAGTGTTCAAGAGTCTCTTTTCAGAGAAAACCCTTCTCTGTCCTACACGCTCTGCTAGGAATGGTTCTGATCTCCTGACACCCCAGCTTCTCGTCAATTAATTGTCAAATGGTCCATATATGATACCTCCCCTTCTCATCTCCTGTTTCCTTCTTATCTCACTGTACCACGACCTCATCAGTCCTGTAACATGTGATCACTAGTGCCTTTTCGGGGACTCAACCCAAAGGGCACTTCTCTTTCAGTAGATTTTTTGTTGTTGTTAGCATTCAATAATCAGTTAACTATTTTGTCTTGGAAACATGATCTCCTCTCAGCTTCCATGACACCCTACTTTCTGACCCCCCTGCCAATTGTTTCATTTATGTTCTTTGCTAGCCACTCATTCTTTATTGTGTTCCTCAATACTGCAGATTTTTAGGCCTTAGTCCTGGGCTTTCTTCACTCTTTCTACTCACACTAAGATGGATTAATTCAGTATACATAGATAAAGAGGTCTTGAGAGGTAACATGATGTGGTCTTTATTAATGAAAGCTTGGGAGTGAATTTGAACTCCTCCCACTCCCCCGTACCTTAGTCATTGGTTTTCTCCTTCTGTTGGAAGCATGATTTCCACATCAATAAAAATAGACTTACCTTTAGAAGAGCATGGTTGGGGCCAGGTGTGGTGGCTCATGCCTGTAATCCCAGCACTTTGGGAGGCCAAGGTGGGCAGATCACGAGGTCAGGAGATCGAGACCATCCTGGCTAACACAGTGAAATCCCGTCTCTACTAAAAACACAAAAAATTAGCCAGGTGTGGTGGCAGACGCCTGTAATCCCAGCTACTCGGGAGGCTGAGGCAGGGGAATTGCTTGAACCTGGGAGGTGGAGGTTGCAGTTAGCCGAAATCGCACCACTACACTCCAGCCTGGGTGACAGAGCGAGACTCTTGTCTCAAAAAAAAAAGAACAGCATGATTGGAACATCCAATTGTGTCTGCACCTTTAGACCCATGTCCCCATTATCGTGTGTTTCTGCGTTTGGTTTTTCTGATCCCAAATGTGGAACATCCTTCTATTCTTTCTGTGCATTTTGTCACAGCACTTACAGTCCAGCACTACAATGTATGCAGGTCATTTTAAATCTCGAGTCTATCTTCCAAGAGTCCCTTTTCTCCATGCTTAGTTACATGTATATTTGAAAAGCATGACTTTGGTTTTATTAAAATTAAGGGAAACAACAAAATGAGAGAAGGCTGGGAGAGAGTGCAATGATGTTTCACCAGAGACCTCATGTTCACTGATACCGAGGCATTAAGATTCCCCATAGAAAGTCATTCAAAATGGTAACTATAAACAGATTGTATGTTGCCATGACTAGTTATCGTAGCATAAATATCATAAGCATTTATTGGGCAGTTATTGTGTACAAGGCATCTTTATAAGTGCTTTTATATGCACAAATCCACTTAATCCTCAAAGCACATCTATGAGCAGGTGCTGTAATTATTAATTATACACGGCTTACAGATAAAGAACCTAGGGAGATTAGGTAACTTAACCAGGACCACAAGGTTAGTGACTAGCAGAATTGAGATTTGATCCCAAGCAGTTTTAATCTAGATTTTGTATTTTTAACAAATGTGTCCCATTGCATAGTTACTATAGAAAATTCAGAAGTTTTTTTTTTTTAATAAAGCCAAAAAATATTTTTTGGAAATAAGTCACATCACTTATTCAACTGGGGTGATTTAATTAAGTCTTCAAGTAATTTAAACTGAAAAATGATTATTGTTTATTTAGACTATTTAGAAAAAAACAAACTTTCAAAAGCCACAAAGCTAATTTATATGCCTCTGCATATTTTCAGAGTAAAAATTTTTTTGAATGAATAATTTTGAAGCTTTTCCTAAATTTAATGCTTCTCTTAAATTTGGTCAATTTTTTTCCCTGTTTGTCTGGCATGTACTTACCTTGGACCTCAGTTGCCATGTCTTAAATGTTGCTTTGTACCTGGTCTGGTATTCTATTTTGAGGGCAGTGCTGTTTGGGGATAGGAGGCTCGTCAGCCATAGGGTTCTCTTGCAGCAGTTTTCTGATGGTAATAGATCATTTGAGTGATGCTATTCCCAGTGCAGCTGTTTGGCGATTATGTTTTGTAATCCAGCCGCTTTCTGTTGACACTGCTTAATATGCTGAACTCTTCTGGAAACTACATTAACTTTTTCAGAAGGCTAGATACTGTGTGATGTTCTGAATTGGAATTTCCTAAGTAGTCCTCTTGAACCCTGAAAAGAAGAATTTTACTTCCAGATGTGTTCTATTTCTAAGAAATAGGTTTAGCTCCCTAGAGAAGCGACTCAATGAATGTTAATTGATGATGATGATGATGATGATGATGATAATTGTACAAGAGCTATAACCCATCTATTATCTTTGTAACTATTATATTCTTTTCATTTCTGACCCTACTAAAATTTGTTTCAAATATTTGACTGAATCTGAGCAAATATAAATTGTATATTTACATTAATTTTAATATATATTTTATTTGCTTCTTTTGGTTTTGAATGTTCATTAGTATGCATGATATTACTTAGCTATGTTTTAATATTGTCAGAAGTAGGTCTCCTTCTATATCACTTTGTTATATTTCAGTTAAAAAAACCTTATATTTTCTAAGCAAAGAGGAGATATATTTATTAAAAATGGAAAATATAGATAGAGAAAACAAGAAAATTACTTCTAACACCACCATTCAGACACAAATACTACCAACATTTTAGTGTATCTCCTTCAAGTATTTTTCTTTCAATGACTATCTCTTATTTTTCCAAAAAATAGGGTCACTTAGTTTTTGAGTGTTTGATCATAGCAGTTGTGCTTAATAGACTAAGAGTCTCTTTGTGCATCACTGCACAGTGTTATGCGACACTATTTGTGATTGATGCATGCATATTTGGCCATAATTTATTTACCTATCGCTTTAGCAGAGGGCATTTAGATTCCTTCACATTTTTTTGCTGTTGTTACAATAATTTCTTTACAGATAAATGTTTGAATATTCCTGGTTCTAAGGAGAAATGCTAGTTCTAAGAGTTTGCAAAAGTTTAAGGTTCTGCCAAATTGCCTTGTAGAAGAGTTACTTAATTTAAATGTTTGACCACAGTCTACAAGTAGTGCATGGACTGAGTTTTAAAAGCACAAGTACTTACATAAATCCCATCGATCAGCGTGTATCTCAGTATAACAGGCCTAACAGGAAGGGGCGTTAAGTGAATTTCCCAAGATTTGGCATATTTATCGTGACCAGGTTTGTGTTCATGGGTTGCAGAAATGTTCTAATAACAAGCTCACAAGCAAACAGGAAACAAATCTGTGAGAAATGCTGTTGCTTTCTCTTCAATAAAACAATAAAAAATACTTTTCAGATGATAAATAGACTCCAGATAGCATCATTTTCAATATTCTTATATTTGACAAGCATTGCCAGCAATATTAAAATAATAATTTAATTGGTTATTTACTATATGCCAGGTGCTATTCTAAATGCATTACATATGTTATCTCATACTCTGAATGCTCATTTGTTATGAATTAAAACATCCATCTCATATTCTAAGTTAACTAGACTATAATAATAAAATATAGTTAGTCTGGTTTTCCAGGACTTACCAAAATATAGGTCCCCCCAAATGTTACTTCCCAGAAATGTTGTTCCTGTCTATTGCATAGCATTCAAGCCACTGGAACATCAACCACAGATAGCAATTTTATCCCTATACTAAGTTTTCCATGGTTAGAGTTTATTCAGCTTGTTTGGTATTAAACATTTTCATATTATTATCACATAGATGTGATCCTATGTCTCTTACTTAATAATATAAAATCTAAGTATTCTTAAGAAAGACTAATCATATGTTATATGTGTTATGTACACCATTAAGCTTAGTGACTTAGTGAAAACTCAACATATCACATTCAATCAATTCTTTAAACTAGTTTCTTAATTTTTAAAACAAGTGAAGAAAACCATAATGCTGTACAACCAAAGAAAAACAATATGATCATTTTGATACTTCACATAAAAAATAAACAAAATTTTACATCTTTTCATTTTTTAATAGCTCTTATTTACCTCTAGGAATAAAAGTTTATTTTCTTTATATGCTAATAAGTATCTGACAGTCTTTTGTAAATAGTCTCGACATTTTTCTGGGCAAATTCTCAATTTTCATTAAACCCAGCTCCATCTCCTGTGCGTCCCCCCAGAACAGGTGAGCACAGTGGAAGCCATCAGTGAGCTCTGTGGGCCGGGACTCCCATCTTCCCACGTCTCAGCTGCCGGGGCAGGGCACTCGCATCCATCTCTGCTTTGTTGCACCTTCTGCTACTTTGGATGAAATCTCCGCGCTTCTGTCTGAGAACAACCTTGTGCTCCAGAGCCGTTTACCTCCCACTTCCCAAGGACTTTACTCTTGCTGCTGTTGGCCCTTACTCTTGCCCCACCCATCTGCCCTTCTTAATTTTCAGCCCTTTTATAGGCTGTGGCATCTCCGGTCTTAGAAAACCATCTTCCCCTCACTCCCAAGCACAGTGGAACTTCTGGAAGGAGATCTTTCCAGTTCCTGTTTCTACTTCTTCCTCACATTTCCTTGTCAAAGTATTTTCTTCCTGATTCCAGGGGAAGCTAATGTTGCCAGATCCAATGGCCACTCTTTGTTTAAGTGCTCGCTGTTCATCCCATTCGCAGGGAGGGATTCTCGTCCCAGGGCTATAGTATTGTCTGAAAACAAATCACCCGCCACCGAGCAGACGAGATTGACGGCAGTTTATTAATCACCTGCACTCGCAGCCCGAGGGACCTGGAGGCCGTGCACCGTCGTGGGGCGGCCCGGGGGACGCTGTCGTGGCACAGCCCGGGGGACCGGGAGGCCGTGCACCGTCGTGGGGCAGCCCGAGTTACGGGGAGGTCGTGCACTGTTGTGGCGCAGCCCTGGGGACACCGTCGTGGAGCAGCCCGGCGGACCGGGAGGCCGTGCACTGTCCTGGCGCCCGAGGACTGTGTTGGGGACAGAATGAACTGCTGGAGCTGTGAGAGGCTTTGGAGTGTCAGAGTGTGCGTTGTCCTCAGGTTCTCATGGGGGAATGCGCTGGGCTTGTTGGAATAATGTCTCTAGGGCTGGCGGGGAACAGAAACACGCTACTCAGGGATCCGCAGCAACCGTGCCTGGCTGTTCCATCAGACTGGCTGATGAGAGGACCTCATTCATGGGCGAGTGTGGAGGGGATGCAGGGAAGCCGCTGCAGGCCCTGCTGCCTTTACCAGATGTCAAAGCCACGTGTAATTTGGGGTCTTCATTTTTAGAACTTGAACCACACTTCTGTATACTTTTCTTACTTAGTTTTTTAGATATTTTTTCTCCTGAGATGATGGTTCCCTTTCTTATAAAACACTTTCCAGCCTTGCTTTCCATGACTGCTGGTTTCTCTTTAAGCTCAGTGGTTATGTCTTCTCAGAATTCTTTGCTGTTTTTTTTTGTTTTTGTTTTGTTTTGTTTTGTTTTGTTTTGTTTGAGACTGAGTTTCACTCTTGTTGCCCAGGCTAGAGTGCAGTGGCACAATCTCAGCTCACTGCATCCTCCGCCTCCCAGGTTCAAGTGATTCTCCTGCCTCAGCCTCCTGAGTAGCTGGGATTACAGGCGCCCACCACCACACCCAGCTAATTTTTGTGTTTTTAGTAGAGACGGGATTTCACCATGTTGGTCAGGCTAGTCTCGAACTCCTGACCTCAGGTGATTCACCCACCTCCACCTTGGCCTCCCAAAGTGATGGGATTACAGGCAGCCGCCACCTCGCCAGGCTAATTTTTGTATTTTCAGTAGAGATGGGGTTTCACCATGTTGGCCAGGCTGGTATGGAACAACCACCCGCCTTGGCCACTGTAAGTGCTGGGATTACAGGTGTGAGCCACCGTGCCCAGCCAATACCACCTATTTCCTAAAACCTTTCAGCAGCCTCTCGCAGCTCTTGGAATAAATCTGAACTGTCTGGAAAGGCAAGCATGTAAGCCTGGACCTCGCTTCCACTCCGGTCTCCACTGGGGACACGCTCCCCTCCCTGCCTGTCCACTGCAGTGACACGGAACCACTTCTGTTCCTCACAGTGACAAGCTTATTTCTCCCGTGGGGTCTTTCACCAGACACTGTGGTTGCTTGAAGCGCTCATCTCATTGTCACACCTCTGGTATCTTCTTGATCTCTGCTTAAATATCCCCTACACAGAGGAGGCACTTCTGACCATCAACACCCAACACCCACTCAGGCACTGAAGTCATCATCCTGTTTAAATGACCTGAAAAGCTCCTTCCATCGCCGATATTGTCCGTGTTTGTTGAATCAGTTTTCACTATTTAATGACTTTTTAACTTGGTTTTAAATCAAAATTCTTAAAATACTTCTACATTTTAAAAATCACAATGTGTCTTATAATCATTTGCTTATAATAGTTTAATTGGGACTTCATTTTTCTTTAGCATAACATAATAAATGATGGTAAATCTTATAATTGATGCATCCTTGATTTACTGATTACAGTATCCAATTATTTATTCATTTTATAACTGTCAGTTAACTCTGAGTTCCGCAAGAGCAGGAATTGTGTCTGTCTGGTTGCACCATCAGAATCTACAACATTGGATTATTTTTGTTAAATATGTGAAAAAAAAACCAACAGAAAATTAATATTTAATGAAAAAAACACTGAAGTACTCTGTTTAGATTCAGTAATTAGAAACAAACACCTGTAAGCACTGTTATATATAGCAGTATTCTGGAGGTCCTAGGCAATGCAATTTTAAAAAATGGAAGTTTGGCTGGGCGCGGTGGCTCATGCCTGTAATCCCAGCACTTTGGGAGGCTGAGGCGGGCAGATCATCTGAGGTCAGGAGTTTGAGACGAGCCTGGCCAACATAGTGAAACCCTATCTCTACTAAAAATACAAAAATTAGCCAGGTGTGGTGGCGGGCACCTGTAATCCTTGGTACTCGGAGGCTGAGGCAAGAGAATTGCTTGAGCCTGGGAGGCAGAGATTGCAGTGAGCCAACATCACACCACTGCACTCCAGCCTGGGCAACAAGAGCAAAACTTCATCTCAAAAAAAAAAAAAAAAAAAAAATAGAAGTTATGGCTGGGCACGGTGCCTCGTGCCGGTAATTCCAGCACTTTGGGAGGCCGAGGCGGGCGGATCATGAGGTCAGGAGTTCAAGACCAGCCTGGTCAACATGGTGAAACCCCGTCTCTACTAAAAAAAAAATACAGAAATAGCCGGGCGTAGTGGCATGCGCCTGTAATCCCAGCCACTCAGGAGGCTGAGGCAGGAGAATCTTTTGCAACTGGGAGGCAGAGGTTGCAGTGAGCCGAGATCGTGCCACTGCACTCCAGCCTGGGTGACAAGAGCAAAACTTCGTCTCAAAAAAAAAAAGAAGTTTAAATATCAGACAGGAAGACACATACGAACAATGGCCTTTCTAGAAAAGAGAAAACTTAATGTTAGTATTAGGCCTAATGAGACTATTGAGTAGCTTGTTGAGTACATGAAACATACACTCAAATCAAATATTTAGAAGCTAATAAACACCAATTGGAAAAAAATGGTTACAAAATTTTATTGTATAACAATGAAAATAAAAATTCTAAGCATAGGATGTATGAAGAAAACTACAAAATTTCGTTGAGAGGAATATAACTTCATTAAATGAGGCAAAAAAAAAAAAAATCCAGCATGGCCAGATTGCATTTTTTTCCCTAAATTATTCAATAAGCTGAATGGAAATGTAAGCAAAGTCTCCGTGTGTGTGTGTGTGTGTGTGTGTGTAGAAATATGTGTGTGTAGAAATATATTAGAAATATATACACACAGTGTATATATTATATATATATATATACTGTTACTGATTCCAGTATAAAAATATTTCTGTATAATTGAGCCTGTTTCTAAACTTTTCATGTTTTATTTTTTCTACTAGAAAAAATATATTCTTCATGTATTCATATATGAAGTATATATAGTATATACTATATGTATAGTATTAATATAGTATATATATGAAGTATACTATACATAGTATATGTGTAGTATGAAGTATGCTATGTACGAAGTATACTATATATAGTGTGTGTATATGTGTATGTGTATATATGTGTGTGTGTGTGTATATGTGTATATATATATATATATATATACTGCTACTGATTCCAGTAGAAAAAATACAATGAAAAGTTCAGAAACAGGCTCAATTATACAGACATATTTTTAAAATATTATTTTTCCCTTCTTTATCTGCTTTCTATGATATTAACTGAACATCTCATTTGATTCCATTTTATTCTCCTTCTTAATATATCAATTATACTTCTCTAAAAATATTTTAATGGCTGTTCTAGAGTTTGCAATATACATTTTTAACTATTATAGGTTCACCTTTAAAAAGTACTGTACAACTTCTCATGTAATGTCCGTACCTGATTACCTGATAACAGAGTACCCCCAATTCCTCACCCCCCATCCCCAGGGACATTGCTGTCACTCATTTCACTTGTCTATATGACATAATCATCTGATACATTGTTGTTATTATTGTTTTAAGCAAACAATTGTCTTAATTAATTTTAGGGTTAAAATATGAAGACTAAAATATTTTGCCTTCATTTGTTACTTGTTTGATGCTATTTTCTTTATGTAGCTCTATGTTTCTGGCCTATATAATTTTTCTTCTGCATGAAATGTTTCTTAGAGGGCAGGTCTGTTGGTGATGAATTCTCTCAGTTTCAGTTTGAGAAAGTCTTTGCTGCTCCTTTACTTTTGAAAGATATTTAGCCCACTTGATCATGGTGGATAAGCTTTTTGACGTGCTGCTGGATTCCGTTTGCCAGTATTTTACTGAGGATTTTTGCATCAATGTTCATCACAGATATTGGTCTAAAATTCTCTTTTTTGTTGTTGTTGTGTCTCTGCCAGGCTTTGGTATCAGGATGATGCTGGCCTCATAAAATGAGTTAGGGAGGATTCCCTCTTTTTCCGTTGATTGGAATAGTTTCAGAAGGAATGGTACCAGCTCCTCCTTGTACCTCTGATAGAATTCGGCTGTGAATCCGTCTGGTCCTGGACTTTTTTTGGTTGGTAACCTATTAATTATTGACTCAATTTCAGAGCCTGTTATTGGTCTATTCAGAGATTCAAGTTCTTCCTGGTTTAGTCTTGGGAGGGTGTATGTGTCGAGGAATTTATCCATTTCTTTTAGATTTTCTAGTCTATTTGCGTAGAGGCGTTTATAGTATTCTCTGATGGTAGCTTGTATTTCTGTGGGATCGGTGGTGATATCCCCTTTATCATTTTTTATTGCATCTATTTGATTCTTCTCTCTTTTCTTCTTTATTAGTCTTGCTAGCGGTCTATCAATTTTGTTGAACTTTTCAAAAAACCAGCTCCTGGATTCATTGATTTTTTTGAAGGGTTTTTTGTGTCTCTATTTCTTTCAGTTCTGCTCTGACATTAGTTATTTCTTGCCTTCTGCTGGCTTTTGAATGTGTTTGCTCTTGCTTCTCTAGTTCTTTTAATTGTGATGTTAGGGTGTCAATTTTAGATCTTTCCTGCTTTCTCTTGTGGGCATATAGTGCTATAAATTTCCCTCTGGTTCAACTATGTAAATCAATAAATGTAATCCAGAATATAAACAGAACCAATGACAAAAACCATATGATTATCTCAATAGATGCAGAAAAGGCCTTTGAAAAAATTCAACAACTCTTCATGCTAAAAACTCTCAATAAATTAGGTATTGATGGGATGTATCTCAAAATAATAAGAGCTATCTATGACAAACCCACAGCCAATATCATACTGAATGGGCAAAAACTGGAAGCATTCCCTTTGAAAACTGGCACAAGACAGGGATGCCCTCTCTCACCACTCCTATTCAACATAGTGTTGGAAGTTCTGGCCAGGGCAATCAGGCAGGAGAAGGAAATAAAGGGTATTCAATTAGGAAAACAGGAAGTCAAATTGTCTCTGTTTACAGATGACATGATTGTATATCTAGAAAACCCCATCATCTCAGCCCAAAATCTCCTTAAGCTGATAGGCAACTTCAGCGAAGTCTCAGGATACAAAATCAGTGTGCAAAAATCAAAAGCATTCTTATACACCAATAGCAGACAGAGAGCCAAATCATGAGTGAACTCCCATTCACAATTGTTTCAAAGAGAATAAAATGCCTAGGAATCCAACTTACAAGGGACGTGAAGGACCTCTTCAGGAGAACTACAAACCACTGCTCAATGAAATAAAAGAGGATACAAGCAAATGGAAGAACATTCCATGCTCATGGGTAGGAAGAATCAATATTGTGAAAATGGCCATACCTCCCAAGGTAATTTATAGATTCAATGCCATCCCCATCAAGCTACCAATGACTTTCTTCACAGAATTGGAAGAAAACTACTTTAAAGTTCATATGGAACCAAAAAAGAGCCCGCATTGCCAAGTCAATCCTAAGCCAAAAGAACAAAGCTGGAGGCATCACACTACCTGACTTCAAACTATACTACAAGGCTACAGTAATCAAAACAGCATGGTACTGGTACCAAAACAGAGATATAGATCAATGGAACAGAACAGAGCCCTCAGAAATAATGCTGCATATCTACAACCATCTGATCTTTGACAAACCTGACAAAAACAAGCAATGGGGAAATGATTCCCTATTTAGTAAATGGTGCTGGGAAAACTGGCTAGCCATATGTAGAAAGCTGAAACTGGATCCCTTCCTTACATCTTATACAAAAATTAATTCAAGATGGATTAAAAACTTAAATGTTAGACCTGAAACCATAAAAACCCTAGAAGAAAACCTAGGCAATACCATTCATGGCATAGGCATGGGCAAGGACTTCATGTCTAAAACACCAAAAGAAATGGCAACAAAAGCCAAAATTGACAAATGGGATCTAATTAAACTAAAGAGCTTCTGCACAGCCAAAGAAACTACCATCAGAGTGAACAGGCAATCTACAGAATTGGAGAAAATTTTTGCAATCTACTCATCTGACAAAGGGCTAATATCCAGAATCTACAATGAACTCAAACAAATTTACAAGAATAAAACAAACAACCCCATCAAAAATTGGGCAAAGGATATGAAGAGACACTTCTCAAAAGAAGACATTTATGCAGCCAAAAGACACATGAAAAAATGCTCATCATCACTGGCCATCAGAGAAATGCAAATCAAAACCACAATGAGATACCATCTCACACCAGTTAGAATGGTGATCATTAAAAAGTCAGGAAACAACAGGTGCTGGAGAGGATGTGGAGAAAGAGGAATACTTTTACACTGTTGGTGGGACTGTAAACTAGTTCAACCATTGTGGAAGTCAGTGTGGCGATTCCTCAGGGATCTAGAACTAGAAATACCATTTGACCCAGCCATCCCATTACTGGGTATATACCCAAAGGACTATAAATCATGCTGCTATAAAGACACATGCACACATATGTTTATTGCAGCACTGTTCACAATAGCAAAGACTTGGAACCAACCCAAATGTCCAACAATGATAGACTGCATTAAGAAAATGTGGCACTTATACACCATGGAATACTATGCAGCCATAAAAATGATGAGTTCATGTCCTTTGTAGGGACATGGATGAAGGTGGAAACCATCATTCTCAGCAAACTATCACAAGACAAAATACCAAACACCACATGTTCTCACTCATAGGTGGGAATTGAACAATGAGAACACTTGGACACAGGATGGGGAACATCACACACCGGGGCCTATTGTGGGGTGGGGGGAGGGGGGAGGTGGGAGGGATAGCATTAGGAGATATACCTAATGTTGAATGATGAGTTAATGGGTGCAGCACACCAACATGGCACATGTATACATATGTAACTAACCTGCATGTTGTGCACATGTACCCTAAAACTTAAAGTATAATAAAAAAAAAATTTATACTGAATATAGAATTCTAGGTTGATGGCTTTTTCCTTCAACATTTTAAATACTTTATTCCACTCTCTTCTTGCTTGCATGATTTCTGGTGAGATGTCTGCTGTAATTATTTTCCTTGTTTCTCCGTTTCTAAAATTTTTCTTAAATATTATTTTTAGTTTTAAATTTCTCTTCCTTCAGTTTTCTGCAGTTTGAACATGACATGCCTGCATATAGTATTTTGGTCTTTATCCTGCTTGATGGTCTCTGAGTTACCTGTATCTGTAGTTTGGTGTCTATTATTAATTTTGAAATATGCTGGGCCAATATTTTTTTCTGCTCTTTTCTCTGTTTCTGCTTCATTTGTCACTTTAATAACACGTAGTTGCACCTATTGGTATTGCCCCACAAGTCTTTTATGTCTGTTATGGTTTTATCTTCATCTGCTCTTTTTGCAGTTTAGTTTGAATGATTCTGTTTACTCACCTTCAAGTTCACTGGTTCTTTTCTGGACCGTGTTGGATCTATTACTAAACCCACTAAGGGCATTCTTCATTTTTGTTACTGTGTTTTATTTTCTACAACTTCTTTTTTATTCTTTCTTGCTTTTATCTCTCTGTAAACATTACACGTGTATTTTATGCATGTTTCTACTTTTTACTTTAGAATCCTTAACATATTGGTCCTACTTGTTCAATTCTCTTTTAATTCTAAAGTACGTGTCACGTCAGAACCTGGTTCTTATTATTGCTTTGTCTTTTTAGATTATATATTTTTTCTTGCCATGCCCTTTAATTTTGTTTTGTTCAAGGCTAGACATGCTGTGCCAGGTCACAGGAACTGAGATAAACAGGCTTTTCGTATGGATTAGCGGGACTAGGAGTTGGGCTGTGTTTAGTATTTGTCGTAGCTATTGGTATAAGAGTCTTCAAAATCTTCTAGTGTCCTTGTTCCTATCTCCCGTCTTAACTTTGGGCTTTGGTTCTTATAATCCCAAGAGGGATTTTGTGTCCTGCAGCTCTCTCAGTTGTAATTCACTGGTGCTATACGGGAGGCCTTTTGTTGTGGTAGAAGATGAAGAGGAGGATAATTCTACAAACTTCTGAATAACTCTCAAGTCTTTTAGTTGGTCTGTGTCCATGACCTTCACAAGTAGTATATATTTTGTTCCCTCTGCTCCTTACTCCCTTCTCTGACTCAGCTTCCCCAATTTATTTTCTGTGGCTTTGGCACCTGTTGACTATGGTTGTGGTTTTGATTGTGTTTGTTTCCACTTAGTTGAGACAGAAAGGCTGAAGATGGCTTGAACGAGGAGTGATTTTCTTCTCCCGGTTGGGATAAGATTTCAAAATTGCACTATGGCAGTGTTTTCTTCTATAAAGTAGACCTCTTTATGGACAAGATTCTAGTATATTTCACAGTTGTTACCCTTCCCTTTCCCTGGCCAAAGCTAGGAAGGCATTGTTCTTGAATTATCATTGAGAATCCAGTAGGGTTTCCAGAGGGACACCCTATGAATGTGAGGGGAGCCCTGAGACTGTGACGCAAGGAGCTTCTGCCTCCATTTAGTCCACATTCAGCCTCTAGTAAGTCAACAAAATCACTGTTCAAGTGTGCCTGCCAGGTCCTGGCTCCAGGGGCTTCCGCTCTAGGTAAGCAGATTTGGGTTTTATGCCTCTTTGGATATGCCTGTCTTTACAGCTTTCGGGACAGAAGTTGATCCTTCAAATTCAGACCCTTTGATGGTTCTAAGAAAGCCATTGATTTTCAATTGGCCCATCTTTTTCCTATTCTAAGGACAGGAGTATTAGCTCACTAGCTCTTTATGTATCAGAGCTGAAACTGTGCACATTAATTTTTGAATTTTAAATTAATGGGAGAAGAGATGGTTTACAAAATTTATTCTGTTAGGATATAATCTGAGTTAAAATTTTTATAGTTCCTTCTCAAATATAACACTCAAATCAGTTAAAAATACTATTTCAATGACAAAATTAGGTAATTAAATACTGGAAGTAAATTTAACATTAAAAAACATTCAAAAATGATATGATAATTGGGACAGACTCTTCTAAATGTCTCACTAAATCCTGAGACAAGCTGAAACCACACAGGATTGCATGGATTTGACCACATATACATAAAAAAAAATCCCCCTGCACATCAAACAAAAGACATAAAAAAAATTCTACCATAAACAATGTTAAGTTGAAATACAAAGGAACAACATTTAAACCAATAAGCAGTGGAAAATTGACTATCCTTATCTGATAAAGGAAAACTTTACATTAAAAAATCAGATCATCAAAAACTTTACATAAAAAATCAGATCATCTGTGCAAAAGCAGACCATGAGTATAACAAAAGGCTCTTGTGTGGTCAATAAGCATTTGAACAGTTGTTTTAAAAGACGTATCAGATTGGTGATGAGGAAGATGATAGCACCAGCATCATCCTGGCGTAGTGCACCTCTAATTTAGTGACAATTTGTGTGTGATTACTTGTTAGTGTGTATCAAAACTCTTGTAGGCTGCAAATTTTTTTAATTAGCAATTTCTCTCTTTTAATATTTTTCTAAATAAATAGTCTGAAAAATAAGCTAAAATGTTTATTATCACACAGTTTTAAATATCTAAACACTGGAAACAATCTCAATATCCCTCAGTTGAACAATACTTGATAACTCGAGGCATAAATATGAAATCGAATATTCAGTGATTATTAAAATGATGTTGAAGGGTTTTAATTTTTGATCTGGAAAAATGTTTTGAACTTTGTCTTAAGTGTTAGAAAAACACATCCAGGAGACAATAAATGAAAATGAAAACTGAGGTTATTTCTAATTGTTAAAATGATATATCATTTACATTTATTATTTGCATTTTTAATGTGTATTGAATACTTTTTTGGGGGGTAGAGATACCTGTCATTATATCCCTGACAAGAGCCCTGTCCAACTGAAGGCTTTGGAAGTGATGGGTGGCTTTTCCAGTTGATATAGACCCATTTTCGGAGCTGATTGGAAGGGGATGGACGAATAATTTCAGATGCATCAAGTGAAATTTTTATCTTTCGATCACTTTATTTTACAAATTTTGAAGTTAGAATCAAGTAGAGCTGTAATATCATTAGATTTAAGGATGGAAACTACTACATTGGGCCACTGTAATGAGCCAGGTATAATCAGATGGGTGAGCCAAGGGAGGGCTAAAAATCATGTTAAGGTGTCTCAGAGAGTGTAAAAGAAAGATCATGCTGCACCAGGAGAAAGAGCAAGAGCAAAAGGAAGGATGAGAGACGTTTTATGCTGACTTTCGTGTTCTTAGTGCATTTCGCAGGAACTCAGCTCTATTTCTTCAATTAGAGTCCCATAGTATTTTTGTTAATAAATCCTCTTTATTCTGGCATGGATTTGTCTAGATTTCTATACTCTGTAAACAAATGATTATAAGAACTTTTAAATAATTGTTTAAAACATTTAAAAATGTACATTTTCTTTGACCTAGAAATTCCATATAGTGGAATTTATACTAAGGAAAAAATTGAATACATATCAAAAATTTAACAATTCAGTCAGAATGCTGCTTATAAAAACAAAATTTGAAACTATCCCAATAATTAACTCTTTGTGGATTTTATGAGAGAGTATAAGAGTATGCTTCCATTTTGGTAAGATATTGGAAAGCATATGTAGTCATGGGAACAACAGACACAAAGAGAATTCATTAATTGTGTCATTAAGGATTACTTGTATAATTTTGTTTTTTTCTCTTTTATGTTTTTTTACAGTTTTATTCAACAGACTTATGCTCTGCCACTTTTTGTATCAAAAATACAAAATTTATGTTGTTTATAAAAAGACAAAAATGGTTCTGCTCTGCCTCGAGGGAACAGTCAGTACATCATCTCTGGATTCTCTCTTATTTTTTCCTGACCCTTTTCTTCTGTACAATCTACACCATCTCGGTTAGTGGTAGAAAACCCTGACTCTTCCCTTTCTCCTCCGCGCCTGTAGCTTTGTCAGGTCCTACCCATTGCACCTATTTAACACGAGGTGATTTCCTTCCCTGTTCTCCATCTTCATCGCCACAACCACTGCCTTAGTTTGGGTTCTTATTATTTCCCATTCTGAAATGGTCTTCCTGCCTCTACATGATCAAACTCTGGCTCACCTCACATCTCCTGACAAAGACTAAAATCTGTTCTCAACGCCTGCTTAAATACTTCACCAAATCCCAGCATCTAAATCAGGGTGACAAGCTTTCTCTGTAAGGGGTTAGGTAGTAGACACCCTAGGCTTTGAGGACTTCAGGGTCTCTTCGCCACTCTCCAAGCTGCTAAGACAATGTACAATGAACAAGTCTGCCTGGTTCCAATAAAACTTTAGATGACAAATGGTGGGCCGTATTTAGCCCACAGCCGTGGTTTACTGGCCCCAGATCAAATGATAAAGCCTAATTTTAATTATATTTACCTTCGTCTCATATTCCACTATCCGGCACCCAGTTCATCCTCATTAGATTCTGAGATCCAAAGCCCAAATACACAGATCTAGGCTTCCTTGCTTTTGCAAATATGATCTTCTTTTCTCTTTTGAAAGAACTTTTACTTCCTTATCCATCGATACATGTTTATTCATCCTTAAAACTGAGATTTGGTGGCAATTCCTTTGAGAAGAGCTCCTCTGGTCCCTCAGCAAGCTTGACCTCGACCTTGCATGAGTATATTTACCACACTGCACTGCGGTTGCTCCCTCTTATGCATGACTGTCTTGCTAGACTGCAAGCTACTTTAACATGGGGTCCTAGCAGTAAGTCCTTAATAATCTTTGAAGAATCCAATAGAATTTTGTATGAGAGTGGGTGTTTGGAAAACTTTCTTAGTTAGTGGACTTTGTGGGCTGAATAGTATAGACTAAAGACTTCTGCAGAAGCAGAGGATGTATTAACCATACAGTTTTCATGAGAGCCTATTTGATTGGATTTTGGGGCAAAGGAGAGCTTTAAGCACAGAGTTATAGGGACAGCACATTAATATTCGAGAAGGTGGTCAATGGTCCTGAGCTGTTCAGGCATTCCAACTAAGGACTAAGAAAGCTTACATAGTTCTGTGTTAAACAGTTTTTTGTTTGTTTGTTTGTTTTTGCTTGTTTTCATTTTGGATTTAGGCGGAAAGAGGAATGTGAAGTTAGAAATATGAAGAAAAGAAGCATCAGCTTTTATTTTCTTTATTCTTGCTTTTAATAGCTAGTTTATGTTTTATGTTTCTGGCAAAATGTATTTGAGTTGGTTTTGCTGAGAGTTTAATAAAGCAAAATAGTGGATGTTGAATAGATCTTATTGACCCTGAGTCATCAGTAGAGAGCCCTGCCAAACATCACTCTCAGCGAGATTACCTCAAATTGCTAACACAGTGTTTCTAATGTCTTAAAATTAGAGAAAATAAGAGAATGTCTGCAGAATCCAATCATACAAGACATAAGGTCATCATAGCACGTAGGAAACAGTTTTTTCATGACTGATGGAAAGATGAACACACATAGCCATGAGAATGTTAACCCATTTGACACATCCTTCATTTTTTACACACTTGCTGAATATAAGGTGATATGGTGATAATAAAGGCAGAGATGCAAACTGAAAACCTGCTTTAACTACCCGTGTAACTATTTTCAATCTCCACTAGTGTCTAACCCCACTTGGAACATCTGAATTGAGTAATGACAAGATTTGTGAAATATAGTTAAGTGGAAGGCTCTGGAAAAGAAAGAACTAAAGAACTGGTAGAACACATTATATGGGACCATCAATTTCTTTAGCATCCCATTCTGTTTAATTAGGGTCTGTAGAAAAAAACACTACTATGCATTGATCTCTCCTTTTCCCATGCAGACATAGTCAACATTTCTGAAGAACTTGTCAAAACTGGCATGCACTGAGAAAATTACCCGGGCCTGATTAAAAGATAAAACACGTAGAAATGAGAAATATTCCAAGTGATGGACACCTCACATACCCTGACATGATCATTATACATCCTGTGTATAACCAAACATCCCATGTACCCCATAAATATGTAAAATAATATGTTAATAAAGCATGAAGCTGATCATTGTTATGCCTGTTTTCCTAACACTAGGATAGCACCTGGAACATGGCAGGACAATAATATATTTTACATTTATAATATAATGTATAACATTTATATTATAATACTATATATATATGATTGTACGTGTAAAGTAATAGACTTCTACATTTCTGTCATTTTCAACCTCAGATCCTCCTTTTGAGCTGCAGGAATGCACTTGAAGCTCAGATTGCTGCAGATTGCAGCCTCACTATGCTCAATTTGAACTGGGCGTTAGGTAGCATTTAAGCTTTTTTGAAAAATGGAGACCAGCACTGATTCCATGTTTTATGCTGATAACAACACAGTTCCTTTCAAAGGCAGAGATTTCACAAGATGATTTCAATAAGGCATTATGTTGATTGCAGTGGGTTGAATTTTGAAAAACACTAATCTTTGGTAACTTAATCAGGACAAGAAGAGTAAAGAAGTATTACTTGGTGTGGGATACAGATTGGGACTCAGCAGTTATTCGGGTAAAGGAGAAGGGTGAAGATGGGGGAGAAAGCAGGGAAGCCGGAATGTTGGCGGCATGCCTGTCAGTATGTTTTAAAGTAGAAGTTAAATATCTTACATATGATTATGAATGAGTCTTTTGATTAGAGACAATATGATTCTTTGTAAGTTGCACTTGTGGGTCATAGTTCATAACTGTTACTTTTTAAAAAAAAATTTCCCAAACATTCATCTCCTACACTGCAACACTTTTTATTCTTGTTACTTTTCTTTAATATTTTTACATTTATTTGATATTAAAAGTATTTTACTTTAAATTTCCTGTAAGGAAGGGCTTATGTTAAAAATATTGCATAATTATTGTTTGAATTGGAAGACCAAAACAAAGGCTGTATAATGAAAATGTAAGGAATCTTCTGCCACAGTCATTCCATTTCTGAAGTGTTGTGCTTGATACGTATCCATCCACCTTTCTGCTTGTTCACACACAAACTTACATAGAAACATAATCACAAAGTGGGCAATATTTTTAAGTGACTCTAGTGCACAGAAACAGTCATAATTGTTCTATGAATGCCCCCCACCCCCGCCCCGGGGAATTTTCAAATATTTATATGAGTTTAAAAGCTAATCATTTAAAAATCCATAAAATTTTTTACAATACAGTGAATACCTACTATACTGTATCTATATATTAATATTTTCCCTATTTTATAATATTATTCAAAGTCCCCTATCCATCCCATCCCACTCTTCTCCCTTTTCAGAGGAAAGCATTTTCATGCATTTCTGTGTCTGGTCTTCCACTGTAATTTACATATTTTTATGTTCGGAAATAAAATGTACATAAAAGGCAACATTCAATATGTATCATTCTTTGAGTTTTTTGTTTTAGCACCATGTTGTCAACCATGGAACTAGTACGGCATTGTCTCTTTTGAATATACTAGGATGTGTCATCTGTGCTCATACTGATGCACTGAGGGGTGGTTGGCAGCTGTTCCCTATTTCAGTGAGCATCACTGCAGCCGTCTTCTGGAACACGTGCGAGAGCTGCCGCAGAGGCATGTAACTCCGCATGCATCCACAGTCATGCAGCAATGGCATTGCACGGGAGCTTGTTAGAAATGAGGAATCTCAGACCTCATCCCAGGCCCCCTGAACCAGAATCTGCATTTTAACAGGATCTCCGGTGATTTGTATGCACAATAAAATGTAAAAATATTGCTTTAGAAGGTATACCAGAAAGCGAAATCACTAGGTCTCGGGAAATAAATGCCTCAACTACACTGCATATCATCAAATATTTTTCCTAAGTGGCTGTTACCACGTATAGTCCTGCCAGCAATGTATGAGAGTTTGTGATTTTCTCCATTTTGGCCACAGATTGGTACCAACAGAATTTTTGCATTTTGGTAGTCTGTTTGGTGTGAAATAGTCCCTCACTGCAATTTTAATTGGCATTTTCCTTATTACTAGTAAAATTACTCAGCAATGATCTCTCACTTCTGCATCTTCAATGCTTCCCCTCTCTACATCAAATCTAAACACGCTTTAATTTTTCCAAATTAAACAAACTTACCCAACAAACAGACAAATAAATGCTACTTCACTTAATTTTTCAGGCTAAAACTTATTTCTCTGACCTCTTTATGGCAAAATTCTCTGGAAAATTATCTGCATCAATGTGTTTCAAATTCTTCGGTGTCACTTGCTGCCATTTACTTTAAAAAAGCTCCTCTTTCACTAGCACATAATACTTTCCTATTTCTAAATCCAATGATTAATGTTCACACCTTAATATACTTGCTATTTCAGCAATATTCGGCACAGACAATCACTTTTGTCTTCATGGAATACTTCGTCACTCAGCTTCCATGACACTAATCCTGCTGGGTCTTCTCCTCCTTCACTGACTACTTTTCCTTGGACTGTTTGCTGGTTCCCTGTCAGTTTTCTGACACTTGGAGTTTCACAGATCCTGTCCTTGAATCTTCTCTCTTCTTGCTCTAAATTTGCTCTTTAAGTGACCAGATTAAATCTGATGCTTTAGACAGCATCTCTGTGCGCGTTATAACTCACATTGTACCTCCAGTTTGATTCTCGCTCTTAAATTCTAAATTTTAATATCAACTGCCTGCATAAACTCTACACTGATAATATCCATAGCTATCTCTGATTTAACATATCCACAATTAACATCCTTACTCCTCCAACCTCAGTTCCAAAATCTCTTCTGCTCTCTTTTCTATTTCAGCAAGTGTCTAATTTTTTTGCCATCTTCTCTGTGAACCTTAAATGATTCCAAATGGAAGAAGGGCCAACAGGTGACTTATAATATCCAGTACTGGCAACAGCTTTAATTGACAGGAAGATGTAGTAAAATGATTTTTACTCATTTATTCATCAAATATGTAAGCAACTTTTTAAATAAAAGTTGCTATCTTGATGATGAAAATACACACATTAATAATGTTTATCCCCAGTGAACTCTCAGTATACTGTAAGAGATAGGTGGTCCTAAAGGAGAGTGAAGTGATATAGCTGATACAAACCAAGTGGTTAGAGAAATCTGACCAGAGGAGGAGACATTTGAAATGAAACTTAACTATTAGAAGGAGTTATCCAGCAGGGAAAGAAGTA
The DNA here is from genome assembly GCF_000001405.40 of Homo sapiens. Lineage (NCBI taxonomy): Eukaryota > Metazoa > Chordata > Mammalia > Primates > Hominidae > Homo > Homo sapiens. Next base: position 189,339,519 of record NC_000004.12, on the reverse strand, counting down.
AACATGATTGTTCATTCTAGGGTGGTAGAGGTAAGCACCTGTTTTCAGCAAGAAGGAACTGTTTGTATGAATGTGCAGACCCTAAAGAACATAGCATATTTAGCAAATTATAATTCTATTGGAATGTTTGGGCTAAAGTATAGGTGTTAAGGTGTGGCAACAGAGAGACTAAAAGACCTAGTCAGGGAAAGAGCAGGATGGCTGACTACAGTTGCCTGGCACTTATCCCACCCCACTAAAAAGGAAGTAAAGCAATGAATAAACAATTACATTTTGATGGGAGTGCCTGAGGAAGTAGGCTGGGGAGCCCCAGGAAAGTGGCAAAACCTCTGTGGAGCACAGAAACCCAGGATGGCACCTTAGGGAGAAGAGCAAAGGACCATAACTGTCACACTTTCCCTTACCAAAATCACGTTGGAGACAGTAGGTCCTTTTTCTTAAGAAGAAGAGGTAAGCTGGGGACCCCAAGCAGAGTCCCCATTACTACCACAGATGCCTGCAGTTCTTGTCACAGGAGAGTCTCACAGGCCTTACAGGCCTTAATTCAATTTGGAGAATTGTCTAGAGTTCATTAAGCTGCATTGCCCCAGAATAGGAGCCCACATTGTGTAACCCTCACCACCCTTGACCTAAGCTGCTACTGCAGGGCATCATCTTGAAACCGCTAGATAGGTACCCTGCCCTGGGGGCCAGTGGCCAGTGGCCACTTCCTCTCTCCATCACCGAAGCTCTGCCTTTATTCCACCACATTCACATGGATGGCTGCAGCACAACAGCTTTGCCTGCTTAGAGCTTAGGCCCAGTGCACAGCTGAAACCCACGTCTGAACCCACTTCTTATCCCAACCTTTAGGAAAGAGGCAGACCTGCACAGTGGAGGCCAACACAGTCATTTGTCCTGCTGAATTCATACACGCCCTGTCCAACAGCTGGCGTGGCAGTGGCCCTCACCCCTGGAAAGTCTGCCATACAGTTGCCCATCCCACTGTGCCCTTGCACACCAAGCCCAACAACCAGACCAGCAGCTCCACCCTCAGCAAAACTAAGCTGCCAACATATTGATAGAAATCTTAGCAACACAGAAAACCTTCCAACCACAGACACAAGTAACAAAATAGAAAGGAACAAAGGATCTACACAACAAGCAGAAAACAGCAAAATTGTAGGAGTGAGGCATCAATAATAACCTTGAATATAAATGGATTAAATTCTCCAATTAAAAAATATAGACTGGCTGAATGGATTTAAAAAACAAACAAAAACAAGACCAAACTATATGCTGCTTACAAGATACTCAACTCACCACCCTTAAAGACAATCATAGACTGAAAGTAAATAAATGAGAAATGGGCCGGGCACAGTGGCTCACACCTGTAATCCCAGCACTTTGGGAGGCTGAGGTGGGCAGATCACTTGAGGTCAGGAGTTTGAGACCAGCCTGGCCAACATGGTGAAATCCCATCTCTACTAAAGATACAAAAAATTAGCTAGGCATGGTGCTGGGTGCCTGTAATCCCAGCTACTCAGGAGGCTGAGGCAGGAGAATTGCTTGAACCCGTGAAATAGAGGTTGCAGTGAGCTGAGATCGTACCATTGCACTCGAGTCTGGGCAACAAGAGTGAAACTCTGTCTCGAAGGAAGGAAAGGAAAGAAAAGATACTTGATATGATGTCTCTCTTCTTAAATTTGTTTTGACTTGGTTTGTGATCTAACATTTGGTCTATCCTGGAGAATGTTCCTTGTGCATTTAAGAAGAATGTGTATTTGGCAGCTGTTGTATTGAATGGTCTGTAAATATCCATTAGGTCTGTTTGGTCTATGATGCAGTTTAAATAAAATGTTTCATTGTTGGTTTTCTGTTTAGGTAATCTGTTCAATGTTGAAAATGGGATGTTGAAGTCCTTTACTGTTGTTGCATTGCAGTCTATCTCTAATCTGTTCAGTGTTGAAAATGGGATGTTAAAGTCCTCTACTATTGTTGCATTGCAGTCTATCTCTCCCTTCAGATTTAATAATATTTGCTTTATATATTTTGGTGCCCTGGTGTTGGACTCATATATACTAACAATTGTTAATTGACTCCTTTATCATGACATAATTATTTTCTTTGTCTCTTTTTATAGTTTTTGACTTGTAGTCTAGAAATAAACATGAACATCAAAAATTTGGAAAAGTTGCAAATACATGAAAAATTAAACAACATGCTCCTAAATAACCAATGGATCAATAAAAAAGATTAAAAAAAGAAACTTAAAAATTCCTTAAAACAATGAGAATAGGAACACATTACAAGAAAATCTATGAAACAGAGCAAAAGCAATTCTGAAAGGGAAGTTTATAGTAATAAAAGCCTACATGCATCAAGGAGAGATACTTCTAATAAGCAACTTAATGATGCACCTTAAGGACTTAAAATACAGTACAAGAAAAAAAAAACCCACCTTTGTAGAGGGAAAGAAATAATATAGCTCAAAGGAGAAATAAATTTTAAAAAAAGATTTAAAAAGTAATTGAAAAGATCAACAGAACAAAGTTTTCTTCCCCAAAAGATAAACACAATTGAAAATCTAAGCTTTTATTTGTTGAGACACTTATTATTGCTAATTCAATTTTTTTTTACTTGTTATTGGTCTGAGCAGATTTTCTATTTCTTCATAATGTAATCTTGGCTTAGGCTAGACTAAGGAAAAAAGAGAAAAGATTCAAATAAATAAAATTAGAAATGGAAAATGAGACATTACCACTAGTACCACAGAAATACAAAAGATGATCAGAGACTGTTATGAACAACTATACACTAACAAACTGAAAAACCTAGAGACAAAGGATAAATTCTTGGACACACAATATACCAAGATAAAATTAAGCAGAAATAGCAAGTCTGGACAGTCCAATAACAAGTGAAAAAAACAATTAGTTATATAAAGTGTACCAACAAATAAAAGCCCAGGATCTGATGGCTTCACTGAAAAATTTTATGAAATATTAAAAAAATTAATACTACTTCTTCAAAAATAATCGAGAAAACTTATGAGAGTACTTCCAAACACATTTTTCAAGGCTCCTGATACCAAAATCAGACAAGGATAATACAACAACAAAAAGGAAAACTACAGGCCAATATCCCTTATTAACATATATGCAAAAATTCTCAACCTAATACTACCATATCATATTCAACAACACATTTAAAAGATTATTCATTATGATCAAGTATTCGTGCAGGGATGTAAGGATAGTTCAATATACATAAATCAATAAGTATTATACATCACATTAACAGAAAGAAAGACAAAAACTATATGATCATTTCAATAGTGCAGAAAAGCCTTGGGCAAAATTAAACATTTCTTCATGATTAAAAAAAACTCTCAAAAAGTTATGTATAGATAGTATGTATTTCAACACAATAAAGAACATATAATATGACAAGCTCATTGCTAACATCATACTCAATGGGAAAAAACTGAAAGTATTTTTCTCTTTTACTATCTGAAAAATCAAGAAAACAGTTTTATTTACAATTGCCACAAAAAATAAGATACCTAGAAATAAACTTAACCAATAATCAACTCAAAATGGATTAAATACTTAAATGTAAAACCTGAAACTATAGAACCACTAGAAGAAAACATAGGGGAAAAGCCCAACTACATTGGAATAGGCAAGGAGCTTTTAGATAAGACCTCAAAAACACAGACAACAAAGCAAAAATAGACAAATGATATATTCCAATAAATTAATAAGATTTTTTACAGCAAAAGTAATAATTAACAGAGTGTAGAGACAACCTACAGAATGGAAAAAAATATTTGAAAACTATGCATCTGACAAGCTGTTAATATCCATAATATATAAGAAACTTAAACAACTCAGCACCAAAAGAAACCAAAAACAAAATTTAAAAATAGGCAAAGATTGGCCTGGCATGGTGGCTCATGCCTGTAATCCCAGCACTTGGGGAGGCCGAGGCAGGTGCATCATGAGGTCAGGAGATCGAGACCATCCTGGCTAACATGGTGAAACCCCATCTCTACTAAAAATACAAAAAATTAGCCGGGTGTGGTGGCGGGTGCCTGTAGTCCCAGCTACTCAGGAGGCTGAGGCAGGAGAATGGCGTGAACTGGGGAGGTGGAGCTTGCAGTGAGCCGAGATCACACCAGCGTACTCCAGCCTGGGTGATAGAGCGAGACTCCATCTCAAAAAAAAAAAAAAAAAAATAGGCAAAGATCTTAATACACATTTTTCAAAAAAAGACATACAAATAGCCAACAGATATATGAAAAATGCAAATACTCAACATTATTAATCAGCACAAAAATGTAAATTGAAAGCCTAATGAGATACCACCTCACTCTAATTAGAATGGCTATTCTCAAAAGGCAGACGAAAACAAGTGTTGATGAGGATCTGGAGAAAAGGGAACCCTTATACACTGCTGTTTGAAATGTAAATTAGTACAGCTGTTATGAAAAACAGTATAGAATTTTCTCAAAAAATTAAAAATAGAACTGCCATAGGATTTAGCAATCTCACTGCTGCGTGTATGTTTAAAAGAAATTAAATCAGTACATCAAGAGATATCTGCACTTTCATGTTTACTGCAGCATAATTCACATAGCCAAGACTTGGAATTAACCTAAATTTACCAAAAGAGATGAATGGATGAAGAAAATGTAGTTTATCTATACAACATAATACTATTCAGCTGTAAAAAAGAATAATAGTCTTTCATTTGAGACAAAATGGATGAACCTGGAGACATTGTGCTAACTAAAATAATGGAGGCACAAAATGACGAATACCACATGATCTCACTAATATATAGAATTTAAGAAAAAAGTTAATTTTATAGAAGTAGAAGTAGAGAGTATAACAGTAATTATCAGTACCTGAAAAGGGAACAGTGAAGAGAAGGATGGGGAGAGGTTGGTTAAGGGAAACAATGTTAGAATTAGATGGGAAGAATAAGGTTCTGGTGTTCTATTGCAAAGTAGGATTACTGTGGTTAAAAATAAGACAATATATATTACAAAATAGCTAAAGAGAGGTTTTTGAATGTTCTCACAAAAAGGATAAATGAATAAAAGTATGAATCTATTAACTACTGTGATGTAGTCATATGTATATGTGTATGGAAACAACAAGTTGTAACTCTGCTGTGGTTTGAATATTTTCCCCTCCAAAATTCATGTTGAAATTTAATCCCTAATTTAATGTGGCAGTATTGAGAAGTGGGACCTTTAAGAGGTTGTTACATCATTAGGATTCTGCCCTTATAAATGGATAATCCTATTATCAATTAATCATTAATCCATGAATGAGTTAATAGATTAATTGGTTATTCTTGGGGAGAAAACCGGTGGCTTTATAAGAACAGGAAAAGAGACTTGAATTAGTACCCTGAGCCCCCTCACCATATGATGCTCTATGCTGCCTGGGGACTCTGCAGAGTGTTCCCACCAGCAAGAAGGCCCTCACCAGATGCAGCCCCTTGGCCCTGAACTTCTCAGCCTCTATAATTGTAAGAAATAAATTCTGTTTCTAAAAAATAAATTACTGTTTTAGATATTCAGTTATAAGCAACAGAAAATAAATTAAGATAACCCCCAAAATATGTACAGTTATAATGTATTAATAAAATTTTTTTAAAAAGCTAAGTGCCACTCAGCATGTATATTAAAAGATATTTCTTTTTTTTCAACTTTTATTTTAGATTAGATTCACAGGGTCCATAGGTAAATTTCTTACCTGGGTAAACTGTGTGATGCTGAGGTTTGGAGTACGAATCCCACCACCATCACCAAGGTACTGAGCATAGTACCCCAAAGTTAGTTTTTCAACCCTTCCCCCCTTCCTCCCTTACCCCTTAGTAATCCCCAGTATCTACTGCTGCCTTCTTTATGTCCATGAGTACCCAATGTTTAGCTCTCACTTATAAATTAGAACATGCAGTATTTGGTTTTTCTGTTCCTGCATTAATTCACTTAGGATAGCAGCCTTCATCTGCATCTATGCTGCCGCAAAGGATATAATTTTATTTTTTTATGGCTGAGAAACATTCCATGGTGTATATATATCGCATTCTTTTTATCCAGTCTGCCATTGATGGGCACAAAGGTTGATTCCATGTCTTTGATATTGTGAATAGTACTGTGATGAATGTGGAAGTACATGTGTCTTTTTGGTAGAATGACTTGTTTTCTTTTGACTATGTTCCCAGTAATGGGATTGCTGGGTCGAATGGTAGTTCCAAGTTCTTTGAGAAATCTCCAAACTGCCCTCCATAGTGCTTGAACTAACTTATACTCTCACCAACAGTGTATAAACACTCCCTTTTCTCCGTAGCTTCACCAGCATCTGTTATTTTTTTTACTTTAGCCATTCTGATTGGTGTTAGATGGTATGTCATTGTGGTTTTCATTTATATTTCTCTGATGATAAGTCATGTGGAACATTTTTTCATAGGTTTGTTGGCCACTCATATAGGTCTTCTTTTGAGAAGTATCTGTTCGGCCGGGCGCGGTGGCTCACGCCTGTAATCCCAGCACTTTGGGAGGCCGAGGCGGGTGGATCATGAGGTCAGGAGATCGAGACCATCCTGGCTAACAAGGTGAAACCCCGTCTCTACTAAAAATACAAAAAATTAGCCGGGCGCGGTGGCGGGCGCCTGTAGTCCCAGCTACTCGGGAGGCTGAGGCAGGAGAATGGCGTGAACCCGGGAAGCGGAGCTTGCAGTGAGCCGAGATTGCGCCACTGCAGTCCGCAGTCCGACCTGGGCGACAGAGCGAGACTCCGTCTCAAAAAAAAAAAAAAAAAAAGAGAAGTATCTGTTCATGTCTTCTGCCCATTTTTAATGGGGTGACTTGTTTTTTGCTTGTTTTGTTGCTAAGTTCCTTGTAGATTCTGGATATTAGACCTTTATGTAATTAGATATGCATAGTTTGTGAATGTGTTCTCCCATTTTGTGGGTTGTCTGAATACTCTGTGAATAGTTTATTTTTCTGTGCAGAAGCACTTTAGTTTAATTAGGCCCCACTTGTCAATTTTTTGCTAATATTTTTGTAATTGTTTTTTAGGACTTAGTCATACATTCGTTCCCAAGGCTGATGTCAGGAATGGAGCTTTCTGGGTTTTCTTCTATTTTTATAGATTGAGGTCTTAGAATTAAATCTTTAATCCATCTTCATTTAATTTTTGTATATGGTGACAAGTAGGGGTCCAGTTTCATTCTTCTGTGTATCATAAGCCAACTATCCCAGCAACATTTATTGAATATGAGCTCTTTTTCCTCATTGCTTATTTTCTTTTGACTGTAGAAAATCAGACGGCTGTAGGTGTATGGCTTTATTTATGGGTTCTCTACTCAGTTTCTTTGGTCTATGTATCTGTTTTTGTACCAGTACCACGTTGTTTTGTTACTGTAGCCTTCAATATAGTTTGAAGTCAAGCGATGTTATGCCTCCAGCTTTGTTCTTTTTGCCTAGAATTGCTTTGGCTGTTTGCACTCTTTTTTGGTTTTATATGAATTTTAGAATAATTTTTTCTAGTCCTGTGAAAAAGTATGTTGGTAGTTTGATAGAAATAGCATCAAATCTGTAAATTGCTTTGGGCAGTATGGCCATTTTAATGATGTTGATTCTTCCAATCCATGAGCATGAAATGTTTTTTATTTGTTTCTGTCATCCATAATTGGTTTTAGCAGTGTTTTGTAGTTCTCTTTGTAGAGCTCTTCCATCTAGTTGTTTAGATGTGTTCCTAGGAGTTTTAATTTTTCATTGCTATTGTAAATGAGATAACAATCTTGATTTGTTTCTTGGCTTGAATATTATTGGTGTATAGTAATGCTACTGATTTCTGTACATTGATCTTGTATTCTGAAACTTTGCTGAAATCATTTATCAGTTCCAGGAGCCTTTGGGTAGAGTCTTTAGGGTTTTCTATGTGTGGAATCATATTGTCCATGAAGAGAGATACTTTGACTTCTTCTTTTCCTGTTTGGATGCCCTTTATTTCTTTATCTTGCCTGATTGTTCTGGCTAGCACTTCCAGTACTATGTTAAACAGGAGTGGTTAGAGTGAGCATCCTTGCCCTGTACCAGTTCTCAAGGAAAATGCTCCCAGCTTTTGCCCATTCAGTATGATGTTGGCTGTGGGTTTGTCATAGATCGCTCTTATTATTTTGACATATATTACTTCAATGCCTAATTTCTTGGGGGTTTTTATGATGAAGGGGTATTGGATTTTGTCGAAAGCTTTTTTCATGTCAATTGAGATGATCATATGGTTTTTGTTTTTAATTCTGTTTATATGGCAAATCATGTTATTTAATTTGTGTATATTTAATTTCTAAAATAAAGAAGAAAGTCCTAGTGAGGGATCAAGTCATGAAGGACTCTTTACACCAAGCTAAGAGTCTACCAATTTTCTGAAAGCCAAGTGAGCCAATTAGGATGTTATTCAAGGAAGTGACAGGATAAAGCTTGCACACAGAAGCATGTCATTGGTTGGAGGCAGAATCAACAGAAATGGATATTTCTTCCTTTTGAAATTAAGAGACAAGAATATTTTGATGTTAATGAGTTGAAATTAGACTGAAGGGAGCATTAAAAAAGGGATCAAACATTTAGAATGATATTCCAGTAGTTGATATGGAGGGTGAAGAGCACAAATGGCATCAGGATTAAGTTTGGGCCAAATGGGCAATCCTAAGGCAGTCCCAAACACTGATGGATATGTAGATTCCTGTTTCTCTGTAACGAGCCAGCCATCATCTATGTTAATTATGTGGGCTCCAAGAGAAATAATCCAGGCTGCCAGGGATAGACTTTTGTGTGCTAAAGCTAACTTATAGGAGCCATTGTTCTTTAGAAGTTTCTGAAGTTGTTCAATTCAATTATTTTTAGATTTAATATGATGTATAAACTTATATCTCAGACTGTATCATGATTGTATAAACTCACATCTTAGAAATTCACATCAGCAACAAAAAACAAATATTCCTCAGTGGCTGGGAAAAGCTTAAATCACATGATAAAGTCTAAAATCTGGGATATACAATTTGGATATACAACTGTGGAAGTGGTCTTCATAACACTCTTACATCAAAAATACTAAAAATGTTAATGGATAATATTGTGGTTTAGCAATATGAGTCACTTTTTTCTTCTTCCAACTTTTCTATTTTTTCTGAAGTTTAAATAATAAGCATATATTTACCTAAATATAAATAATGAATATGAACGTATATGAAATAGAAAGCTTGTGTTTCTTTAAATACACACCTATTGTGATTCTGAATAAAAGATTAAGAAAGTAGAGATAATTTTTATAGGAACAAGAAGGGTTTGGAGTGAGTTTTGGGTTTTCCTAATGATCAGAGGAAACTTGAGAAACTGACATTTCTTTCTTCTTTATAATTGTAAATTTAGTATAATAATGTTAGTAGATACAAAAGAAAGAAAAAATCTTAGAATATATTAAGAAATGGTTAAGAATGATATTACAATTTCAAATTGGTTGAAATGATAATAAAAATGACAATAGCCAAAACAAATTAAATTATAGCTGATATTAATTGAGCCTTACTGTGTTCCTGGTAATATCTCAGGTACCTTACAATAACTAGCTTATTGATTGATACATAATGATAATAGAAGAGAAGAAATTAAGATAATAAATTAAGATAATAAGGATCATGTTTTAGGAGCCCAACTAGAAGGCTCGCAAGAATTCACCATTATTTCAAACTCATTATTTGTAAAACTCAACTGTCTTTTCTCTCAAACCTGCTTGCTTTTATATTCATGCTCTTTCAATAGTGACTTCATTCTTTCCTTCTCTTTTTCTCACCCACAGCTTAGAGTTATTTTTGACCTCTCTCTTTTGTTTCCCTTTTAGCATCTAATTCATTTAATCAGTCTACTAGTCTGTTTTACCTTTGCAAAATTCACCTTTGCAAATTACAATTAAAATTGAAAGAGCAGTGCAGATGCTGTTCTCAAAGCCTGTCTTAAATCTGAGAGAGGAAGGAGAAAAAAGGAACAATGTAATTTTTGGAGAGGACAGCATTATATGTACCTCTTCTAAACAATTCTACATAAGGAAGATTGTATAATTTATTTAACTTTTTTAAAAAGAAGAAATAAATCTGTGATCATATAGATTATGATTTAAGTTGTCCAAGGTCATGTAGCTCCTAAGTCATAGATGTAAGAGTCACTCCAGGGTATATGTAATTCCTACAGAATAATGTAGACTTACCAGTATTCTAGACTGTCAAATTATTGACTATATAATGTACAATTAGTTTCATTGATTTGTCTTAAAGTACTAATTCAATAATGTCACAATCCATTATAAAAATAAAATTATCTTTTATAGTTATAAATGTTTATGAAAATGATTGTTCTGTGTTAGACTAAGATTACCAGATAAAATACAAGATACTGGTTACATCTGAATTTCATATAAGTAAGGCATAATTTTTTGGAATAGTATGTCCCATGTAATATTTGGGACATAATTGTACTAAAAACTTACTGATTGTTTATCTGAAACTCATTTAAAGTATGTCTCAAGTATTGCATGCTTATACTAAAAAATTACTTGTTTATCTGAAATATGCATTTAATTGGGTGTCCTATGCTTTTATTTGCTAAATTTGGCAACTCTGTGCTAGGCACAAATATCCAATCTTGTAGATGTGGCTTCAAGTAGGGGGTAGAATATAATAATCATCAATGTGTCATTATCATCATCATCATATGCTATATCCATGAAATGCTAGTGTATTTTATTTAATCCTCACCCAACCATATGAGGTAGTTACCATTAATAGCTCTTTGACTGATGAGGAAAGTGAGACAAAAATCATAATCATTAAAAAAAAATTAGAACCATTGATTTAAAAATTATTCCATGTTTAATTTGGTAAATATTACATCATATTTGGGTATTCACGGGCCAGAGATATGGTTCCCATACCTGAGAAAAATTAATTAAAGTCCACATTTGAAATATCATTCACATATTATCAAAAGTATTGGTAGTTTATGAAACAGAATTTGATCCAGAGAGAAAATTAGCAGGGAAACACTAGACTTCAATTACACTTTGAACCTAATGGACCTAACAGACATACAAAACTTGCCATCCAACAGCAGCAGAATACACACTTTAGTCTAGTACACAAAGAATATTCTCCAGAATTGGCCACATGTTAGGCCACAAAACAGGTCTTAAAAAAACTGAAAAGATTAAAATAATATCTAGTATAATTTTAGATCATAATGATATGAAATTGGAAATCAATAACACAAGCTTATAAATTCACCAATATGGGGAGGTTAAACAACCTGTCCGTTGAACAACCAATGCATCAAGAAGATATACAAAGGAAAATTTAAACATATCTGAGACAAATGATAGTGGAAACAATATTTCTAAACCTAAGAGATGTACCAAAAGCAGCTCTAAGAGGGAAGTTTATAGCAATAAATGGTAACATCCAAAAAGGAGAGAATTTTCTAATAAACAACTTAATCATTCACCTCAAGAACCTAGGAAAGAACAAACTGAACCTAAAAGTATCAGAAAAGAAAAATTATGGAAACCAGAGCAGAATTAAATCAAACAGATGCCAGAAAAAATCTGAGTTGTTTGTTTAAAGAAAATTGACAAAATTGGCAAACCAAATAAAAAAGTAATAAATGAAGGTGAAGAAATTATAACTGACACCTCAGAGATAAAAGTATCATAAGGGACTATTATGAACAAGTATATGCCAACAAATTGGATAACCTAAAACTAAATGAATACATTCCTAGAAAAACACAACCTACCAAGACTGAGTCAAGAAAAATTAGAAAGCCTAAACAGAACAATAATAAATGAAGACAAAATCCTCCTGACAAAGAGATGCTCAGGACCAGATGGCATCAAGGTGAACTCTAGACCAGACCTTCCAAAAATAATTAATAGAAATACTTTTTAAACTCTTCTCAAAAAATAGAGATAGAGGAAATTCTTTCACACACATTTTATGAGGCCAACATTATTTTGATACCTAATCCAGACAAAGACATCACAGGGGAAAAAAACAACCCCCCCCCTCCCCAAAAAAAAATTACAGGCTAATCTCTCTGAAAAATATTTACACAAAAATACTCAATAAAATATTAGCAAACCAAATTCAACAACACATCAAAAAGATTTTATATCATGACCAAGTGAGATTTATCCCTGAGATAAAGACTGGTTTAACATATGCAAATGAATGTGATATATCACACTAAGAGAATGAAAGATTTTTTTTTAAAAAAAAGATCATCTCAGTCAATGCTGAAAAACCATTCCACGAAGTTCAACATTTTTTTTTGATAAAAACTCTTAGCAGTTTAGGTATAAAAGAAAAGTTCCTCAACATAATGAAGCCTATTTATGAAAAATCTACAGCTAACATCATAATCAACTGGAAAAATCTGAAAGCTTTTTCACTAAGATGTGGTACAATGTAAGGATGCCCACTCTCATCATTTCTATTCCAGATAGCACTGTAAGGACTAGCAAGAGCACTCAACAAGAAAAAAAAAGCATCCAAATTGGAAAGAAAGAAATAAAATTATCTCTATTTGCCAATGACATGATTCTGTATGGAAAATTCAAAGATGCCACATACAGAAAAACGATTGCAACTAATAAATGAATTTTGTAAACTTGTAGGGTACTATATCAATACATGTAAAATTAACAGCATTTTTCTACACAAATCATGACCTAACTGAAAAACAAAACAAATCACATTCAGGACAGCATTCAAAAAAAAAAAGACTTAGAGATAAATTTAACCAAGGCAATGAAAGATGTGTACACTAAAGGCTACAAAACACTGATGAAAGAAACTGAAGAAGACATAAATAAATGGAAAGATAGTTCCCATATTTATGTATTGAAATAATCAATATTGTTAAAATGTTCATACTACCCAAAGCAACCTACAGATTCAATGGAATCCCTATAAAAATCTCAATAGCATTCTTCATAGAAATGGAAAAAATCAATTCTAAAATTTGCACGGAAACATAAATGACCTTGAATAGTTATAACAATTCTGAGAAATAAAAACAAAGTTGGAGGCATCATACTCCTTGATTTAAAGTTCTATTACAAAGCTATAGTAATCAAAACAGTATGATATTATCATAACAGTAAACATATATACCAGGAGAACACAATAGAGAGCCCAGAAATAAATCTAAAAATATACATTCAACTACTTTTTTTTTCTTCTGAGACAGAGTTTTGTTCTTTCAGCCAGGCTGGAATGCAGTGGCATGATCTCAGCTCACTGCAGCCACCAGCCCCGGGGTTCAAGCGATTCTCCTGCCTCAGCCTCCCAAGGAGCTGGGATTACAGGCACCTGCCACCACACCCGGCTAATTTTTGTATTTTTAATGGAGATGGGGATTTCACCATGTTGGCCATGCTGGTCTCAAACTCCTGACCTCAGGTGATCCACCCACCTCAGCCTACCAAAGTGCTAGGATTACAGGCGTGAGACACCGCAGCTGGCCCTTTTAACTAATTTTTAATAAAGGCACTGAGAGGACACAATGGAGAAAGGATAGTCTAATAAACTGCACTGAAAAAAAAGTGAATTGCCACATGCAAAAGAATGAAATTGAACCCTTGTCTCAAACTATACACAAAAATAAACTCAAAATGGATGAGAGACCTAAATGTAAAACCAGAAATTATAAAACTTGTAGAAGAGAACATAAGGGGAAAGCTCCTGAACATTGACTTTGGCAATGATTTTTTGGATATCACACCAAAATCTCAGGCCACAAAAGCAAAATAAATTATATAAATGCTAGTCATCAAATTATAAAGCTTTCATATAGCACAGGAAACAATCAACAAAATGAAATGGTAGCTTCTAGATTGGGAAAAAATATTTGCAAATCATACATTTAATAAAAAATAAATATCCAATATTTATAAAGAATTCATACAATTTATTAGAAAAATAAATGACCCCATTAAAAATGGGCAAAATATATCAATAGACACTTCTCCAAAGAAGACATAAAAAATGTTAACAGGTATATGAAAAGATGTTTAACATCATTTATCATCAGAGAAATGCAAATCCAAACCACTATCAGGCATCACTTTGCACTTGTTAGTTGGCTATTACTAAAAAGTTGAAAGATAACAAGCGTTGGTGGGGGTGTAGAGAAAAGGGGCAATAGACACCTCAGAAATAGAAAGGATCATAAGGGACTATTATGAAAAAGGAACCCTTGTACACTGTTGATAGGAATGCAGATTGGTACAGCCATTTTGGAAAACACTATGTAGGTTTCTAAAGAAATTAAAATAGCACTGCCATATGACTCAGTAATCCTTCTTCTCAGTATATACCCAAAGGAGATGAAATCATCACTTCAAAAAGATATTTGCACTCCCACATTAATTGCAACAGTATTCACAATAGCCAAGATATGGAAATAAACTTAGTGTTTGTTGATGGAGCAATGAATAAACTGCTGAATTTATATACAATGGAATATTATTCAGTCCTAAAAAATAACAAGATCTTGGTGTTTGCCACAAGGTAGATGAGGCTGGAGGATACTATGCTAAGTGAAATAAGCCAGACACAGAAAGAAAAATATTACATGATTTTGCTTATATGTGAAATCTAAAACCAAAACAAAAATTCAAATATATGGAGGTATATTTGGTACAGACACAACACAGATTAGTAGAAGAAATGTATACAAATTTTAATAGTAATTTTTGCATGCACATGGAAACCCTCACAAGAAAAATGAAGACCCAAAGAAGAGTCAGTGCTGAACACTTGTACACTAGTTTGGACAAAGAGTCATACATTGTGAAAACCTAACAAGACAAGGGGCCTCAGGTGAGAGCAGCCAATTGTGGAAAAGTGATTAGGAAGGTAAGGGTGAGTTTAACAAGGTTTGTTTAAACCGATTTCTCCCAGCCTCATCTCTCCATCCCTGATAACAATGCCTTTCTTCCTCCTGGTACAGGGAGGGCACCTTTCACATGGGAGTTTGATCTCTTGCTTTCACAAAGAAAAGATAAGTTCAGAGTGCCTCTCTTGCATTTGCTATTTTTCAGGTGCCTTTAACTCAGAATAGTTAATATGCCAACGTGTCTTATTTTGGGGAAGCATATTTTGATCCCCTATGTTGGTGAAGGATGGGCTTGGAAAATTTGTCTCATTCTTTGAGAAGAGTAAAGGTGGCATTTGGGAAACATTAGCCTTGGATAAATCATTGGGCCTGTAGTTAGATATGAATTTGGTGCCAGTCATGATTAACTAGGTAAAATACTAGTCCTCATAATTTCACATTATAAAAATGCTCATGATTTCAAATTAGTGGGATCTTTAGAATGCTGAGTAATGATGTCAGGGAAGATAATTGTTACTTAAGAGCAACTTCCCACAGAAGTTAAGATACTGGGCTCTGGAGTTCAATGGCATTGAGTTAACATCCTGCCTTCTTATCAGCATTTGGCAAATTGCTTAAATGGTCTAAACCTCAGTTTTCTGCTATCAAAGTGAGAATAATAGTATACAACTTGCAGACGTGATGTTAAGAAAAGAAGGGTGTCCTCAGTAGAAATACTGCAAAACATTTCTGGAAGAAAGAACATGAGAAAACAAAACAGCTCTGAAAAATAAAATACATCAGAGCATCTCTTTTCCAGCATAAGAACATATTCAGAAAATCATCATCAAACTTGGAGTGAAAAAATTTCACTCCACAAGACCTGGAGGGGAGAGCTGGCAATCACCAGGTCGGTAGGTAGAGGAGTGTGGTCAGACCTCGATTCTCCAGAGCATGCCTCCCCAACTCCAGCCCCACACACTGACCCGCAGGGACAGCGGGGGCTGACCTCACACTAAAAACCCAGAGCTGCACTCAAAGCAAGGGGCCTACTTGCCTAGCGAGAGGCTCCTACAGTAAATGTGAGGAACAGCAAGAAAGCAGAGCACAATGAGTGAATATAAAAGCGGTGGGTGGAGGAACAGAAACAAAAACGAGGGCAGTATCCCTGTGATAGGGAGCAGCACACTCATGTCCTCCTCTCTCTCCATGGTGGAAGCTGGCCAGAAGCCTACCTACCATTCATATTCACCTCTTCCAAAGACATTATCTAAGCATGATACATCCAGCAGTAGAAGTACAAGCCAAATATTTAGTTATGTAGATGAGAGGAGCATGTCATGAGTGGGGACAATCCATAGCTTTTGAGTTGCTGATTTCTATTTTGAGAGCATCCTCACGTTGTAACCCATGGTCACTTAGTATGTACTAGAAGTCCTTTCTCTAGCCCACCTGACAGCCAGGAGGCTAAACCCTGACCCAGTTCCTGTCAAATATGTGCACGGGCATGACACATGGATGCAGAAGAAAGGCAAGGATGCACTCTGCTTGACAGGGACAGGGGAGAAACAAATGGCTTTTAGAGGCCTCAGAGGCAGATGTTCCAGCAGCAGTGGCACCAGTGACCAAAGGATTATTTGCAAATGGGCCAGGAGAGCATTTGAGAATTGTTCCTACCTGTGTCTCTCAGTGGATTTTCAGGCCCTCCCAGGGGTGATAGGCACTAATTTGATTTTTTAAGTACATTCATTTGCTGATTAAAGCAAAAATTATATTTTGTTGCTTGCATCAATGAACCCCCACCCCCTACCCCGCCAAACCGTGGTACAATAACAGACCTTAAAGGAACTGGGAACTAGAGCTTGGTTGTCTGGCATAGAGTGGGACTCCTAAAGTCTGTAACATGAAGTGGCAAATTGGTGTCACTGCAATTACAGACCCCTACGAAAGGCACGCGGAATGGCAGGAATGTGGGGTGTGCTGGCTATGTCTGACACTGTTGGAAATACATCAGCAGCTTAAAACTTCAAAATCTCAACTCAATGCATGTTAAAAGAAGTGCGGTGTCTCTGTAACCATTTGGTAGTATCTCCTATCTCTAAAGAGAATAATCAATATATCAGAGTCAGACTATTGGTTGGGGAAGAGTGTGCATTGAAAGATTAGATGGGAACATTGGAGAAGATTCAAATGAATCAGAATAATCAAAAGTTCTGAGCCCAACCAAACCTCCCTTATCAGGTGAAGCAGCCTCTTTTCCAGTCTGATAAAACTGTCCTCGACTTTACTGAAAACTCTGTGGCCACCTGGCAGGAGAAAGCAGCTCTTCAGGAAGAAGCAATTTCTCCTAATGTTATATCCAGCCACACCTCATGGCTCGTGGGTTCTTGTATGCCCTGTGGAGTCCACTGCAGAGTCAGACCTGGAAAATGGTTGGTGCAATGGCAGAAAGGCAACATTTTCCTAAGATATTATCAATCTTTACTACCAACAATCTGGGAAATATATGTAGGATTTTTTTTAGGCTGCACATCCTCCCCAGACTAGGAAAATAGAAGCCTGGCATTTTGCTGGGCTAGGCTTAGCATGGACACCCTCGCCAGAGGTTCTGCGCTCCATCCAGCTGCTCAGGCGTGGGGACTGCCCCTGCATGCCCAGTCTGTGGCCTATGGCTGCATCTGAGACCCAGTGGAGGCCTATATCAAATGAAGCTGAGACTCCGTCTATGCCTTGGTATAATACAAAGGAAGGATTCGGAGAGTGGAGGAACGTGGAATATCGGAGTGAACTAGGCACGTATGACTCTATCACCAACTCCTTCTCTATGTCCCTAAGAGTACCCTGTACTAAAGCAGTGAAGAAAACACTGATGTCAAAGTGAGTAGTGGACAATGATGGGAATTCTTCATATGTAAGGGATAAAAGTGGGCGTGAAGACCTTGGCATGGATTAGTTGAGGAAGACTTGAGCAATTTTTAACACAGATTTTGAGGCTTGCCTTTCTTTGGCCCATTCTTTTTTCCTTTTTCTCCAATATTCCAGTCTCTTTCAACATGACCCTTTATATTCTAAAGTTGTAAACCAATAAAGAACATAGCTTTGGGGCATCCTGTTTTGTCTGGCTTGAAGACTGTCAGAGGCAAAAAGTTGCAAACTTGCCAATCTCACCTGATGCAATCCTCTGCCAAAAGGTGCCTCACTTTTAGTTTTTGCCCATTTTTTGGTTGCCCCTCTAAGTCCCCTCAAATAGTTGTTTTTTAAAAAAATATTTTATTCAGACTTTTGCAATTGTTATATACAGGAAAGTTAGTTGGATTAACTAAGAAAAAAAGAGAGGAGACTTAAATAAAACCAGAGGGAAAAAGGAGACATGACAATTGATACCATGCAGAAATGTTAGGAATTATTAGAGGCTACTATGAGCAACTATATGCCAATAAATTGGAAAACCTGAAAGAAATGAATAAATCCCTAGACACATACAATCTGCCATTATTAAATCAGGAAGAAATCCAAAACTTAGACCAGTAATAAGTAACAAGATCAAAGCTGTAATAAAAAGTCTTCCAGCAAAGAAAAGTCTCGAAGCTGATGGCTTCACTGCTGAATTTTCCCAGACATTTAAAGAAGAATTAATATCAATCCTCTTTATTCTGAAAAATAGAGGTGGGCAGAATACTTCCAAACTCATTCTAGGAGGACAGTATTACCCTGATACCAAAACCAGACAAAGACACATCAAAAAAAAAAAAAAAAAGAAAAGAAAAGTAATGTTTATGCTTGATAAACCTTGATGCAAAAATTTTTAACAAAATACTGGAAAACTGAATTAAACCAAACATTGAAAAGATTATTCATCATATTTAAGTGAAATTTATCCCAGGGATACAAAGATGGTTCAACATGCGCAAATCAACTAATGTGATACATCGTATAACAGAATGAAGGATGAAAGCCGTGTGATCATTTCAATTGATGCTGAAAAAGCATTTGATAAAATTCAACATCTCTTCATGATAAAAAGTCTCAAAAACTTGAGTATAAAAGAAACATACCTCAACATAAAAAAGCCACATATGACAGATTCACAGCTAGTATCATACTGAATGGGGAAAAGCTGAAAGCCTTTCCTCAAGATCTGGAACACAACAAAGATGCCCACTTCTACACCTGTTATTCGACATAGTATTGGACATCCTAGATAGAACAATCAGATAAGAGGAAGGAATAAGGGCATCGAAATTAGAACGAAAAAGCCAAATTATCCTTGTTTGCAGATATAATCTTATATATGGAAAAACCTAAAGACTCCACCAAAAACCTATCAGAACTGATAAATTGTCAGTAAAGTTGCAGAACATAAAATCAATATACAAGAATTAATTGCATTTCTATTTGCTAACAGTGAACTCTCTGAAAAAGTAATCAAGAAAGTCATCCCATTTACAATAACTACAAATAAAATAAAATATCTCAAAATTAACTTAACCAAAGAAGTGAAAGATCTATGTAATAAAAACTATAAAACATTGATGAAAAATATTAAAGAGGACACAAAATAAGGAAGCACATTCCATGTTCTTGGAATGTAAGAATGAATATTGTTAAAATGTACATACTTTGGCAAGCAATCTACTGACTCAATGAAATCCTTATCAAAGTACCAATAACATTTTTCACAAAAATAGAAAAAAATTCTAAAATTTACGTGGAACCACAAAAGACACACAGTACCCAAAGCAATCCTGAGTGAAAACTGGAAATATCACAATACCTGATTTCAAATTATAACACAGAACTATAGTAATCAAAACAGGATGGTACTGGCATTAAAACAAACACATAGACCAATGGAACAGAGTAGAGAACACAGAAACAAATTTATACACCTACAGTAAGCTCATTTTTAACAAAGGTGCTGAGAACATACATTGGGGAAAGAACAGCCTCTTCAATAAATGGTGCTGGGAAAACTGGATATTCATATGCAGAAGAATGAAACTAGACCTATCTCTTACCATATATGAAAATAAAATCAAAATTGATTAAAAATATGAACCTATGAAATCTACGAAACTACTAAATGAAAACATTGAGGAAACTCTCTGGGACATTGGACTGTTATTTCTTGAGTAATATTCCACAAATAAAGATTTTTGAGCAATATTTCACAAAAACAGGCAACCAAAGCAAAAATGAACAAACGTTTCACATCAACTTTAAAAACTTCTTCACAGCAAAGGAAACAATCAAGAAGGAGACAATTCATAGAATGGGAGAAAATATTAGCAAACTACCCATCTGACAAAGGATCAATAACCAGAATATATAAAGAGCTCAAACAATGCAATAGGGACAAATCTAATAATCTGATTTAAAAATGTGCAAAAGATCTAAATAGACATTTCTCAAAAGAAGACATAGAAACAGCAAACAGGTATATGAAAATGTGCTCAATATCATTGATCATTAGAGAAATGCCAATCAAAACTATATTGAGATATCATCTCAACCCAGTTAAAATGGATTTTATACAAAAGATAGGCAATAATTAATGCTGGCAAGGATGTGGAGAAAAGGGACCCTCATACATTGTTGCTGGAAATGTAAATTAATACAATTACTCTGAAGGACAGTTTGGAAGTTCCTCAAAAAACTAAAAATAGAACTTCCATAATAGGATCCAGCAATCCCACTGCCAGATACATACTCAAAGGAAATCAGTATACCAAAGAGATCTCTGCGCTCCCATATTTATTGTAACACTATTCATAATAGCCAAGATTTGGAAGCAATCTAAGTGTCCATCAACAGATGAATGAATAAAAAATGTGATACATTAACACAATGGAGTACTATTCAGCCATGAAAAAATGTGATTCAGTTGTCTGCAACAACATGGATGGAACTGGAGATCATTATGTTAAGTGAAATAAGCCAGGCACAGAAAGATACACTTCACATGTTCTCACTTGGGAACTGAAAATTAAAATTATTGAATGCGTGGAGATAGAGAGTAAAATGGCCATTACCAGATACTGGGAAGAGTAGTAGGGTGGGGGATTTGGGGATTGGTTAATGGGTACAAAAACATAGATAGGATGAATAATATCTAGTATTTGATAGCACAACAGAGTGACTGTAGTCAATAATTATTGTACATTTAAAAATAACTAAAAGTATATAATTGGATTGTTTGTAATTCAAACGAAGGATAAACGCTTGAAGGAATGGACATCTCATTTACCTTTATATGATTATTATGCTTTGTATGCCTGAATCAGCATATCTTATGTACCCCATAAACTTATACACTTACTGTGTCCCCACAAAAATAAAAAATAAATAATTCTTTTTTCTTTCCAGTTTCCATTTTGGATGGTGTCTCTTGCTGTATCTTGTACTTCACTAATCTTCCTTGATGTCCAATCTGCTGTTAACACTGTTCAGCATATTTCATCTGCAATATTATGTTCTTTTCTAGATGCTCTGTTTGCGTTTTTAATACCTTCCATGTCTGTACTAGTATTCCTTTCACCTTTTTGAATAAATGGATTATATATTCTTTATTGAAATATAGTTTTATACATGCAATTTAACCATTTATAGTGTACAATTCAATGGTCATTAGTAAATTCACAAATATGTGAAGCCATCATCATAGTCAATTTTAAAGCATTTTCTTTACCTGAAGAAGAACTTACGTGTCCTTCAGGTACCACCACACGATTCGCGTGACAGCCTTTACTCAGCTCTAAACAACCCATACTACCCTTTCTGTTTCTATAGATTTCCCTATTCTGGATATTCATATGAATGGTATCATAGATACAAATGACAGATAGTATTTTGTAACATTTTTCACTTAGCGTAATGGTTTCAACGTTTATCTGTTTCAAAACGCGCATCAAAACCTCATTTCTTTTTGTGGCTGAATGCTATGCATCATATAGATATAACACAGTTTGCTGCTACATTCATCCATTGATTGACATTGGGCTGTGTCCATATTTTGGCTATTATGAATAATACTGCTATAAATATTTGTGTATATGTTTTCATGTAGAAATATGTTTTTATTTCTTCTGGGTATATAGAGATGTTCTCTGACTTACAATGGTTCAAGTTATAATTTTTAACTTTATGATAGGTTCATCAGGACATAACTTTATTGAAACCAAAGGAGCTCCTTATGACTTATGATGGAGTTATGGATTTTACTGAATGAGTATGTTGTTTGTACCATCAGGGACAATCTGCTGTATTGCAAACGTTAAATGCATTTTTAACTTTGGATGCATTTATTGAGATGCAACCTCATCATAAGTTGAGGATCATCTTTGCCTAGGAGCAGAATTTCTGTCATTTAATAACTCTGCATCTAGTTGTTGGAGAAACTGCAAGACTGTTTCCCCACATGAATGGACTATTTTCTATTACCACCAGCATTATTGAGGGCTCCCATTTCTTGACATCCTCATCTTTTTAAATTGTTATCTGATTTTTTTTATTCTAGCCATCCTAGTGGGTATGACATGGTATCTAATTTTGGTTTGATCTGTATTTTCCTGATAACTACTGATGTTGAGCAAATAATTTTATGCGCTTATTGGCCATTTATATATCTTATTTAAGGAAACATCAATTCAGATTCTTGGCCCAATTTTCACATTTTTTTTTACTATGGAGTTATAAGGGTTCTTTACATATTCTGTGTATAAACCCCTTATGAGTATGGCTTATGACTTTTTTCATTTTGTGTGTAATCTTCTTATTTTCTTGATGGTGTTTTTTAGCACAAAAGTTTTTAATTACTTTGACATTCAGTTTATCAGGTTTTCTCTTTTTATGCTGTGCTTTTGATATCTCATCCAATAATTCTTTGCCAAATACAAGGTCATGAAGATTTTACTTCTGTGTTTTCTTTCGAGAATGTTACAGTTTTGTTCTTACATCTAGGTCTTTGATCCATTTTGGGTTAATTTTTGTATATAATATAAACCAGGTGATATGGTCTGGATGTGTGTCTTTTCCAAATCTCGTGTTGAAATGTAATCTCCCATGTTGGAAGTGGGCCTAGTGAAAGGTATTTAGGTCCTGGAGGTGGATCCCTCTTGAATGGCTTTGGGCCCCTGCAGTAATGAATGAGTTCTCACTCTGAGTTCATGTGAAATCTGGTTGTTTAAAAGAGTATGGCACATCCCTTCTCTCTCTCTCTCACTCCCTCTCTTTTTATCTTTCTCACTGTGTGACACACCAGCTCCCCTTTTGCCTTTCACCATGACTATAAGCTTCCTGAGGGACTCAACAGAAGCAGATGCACGCACCATGCTTCTTGCTCAGCTTGCACACACAGTGAGCCAACATCCACCACTTTTCTTTATAAGTTACCCAGTCTCCGATATTTATTTACAGTAATGCAAAAATAGACTAACACAGAAAACTGGTACTGAGGAGGGACATATTGCTGTAAAGATACTTCTGTGGTAAGTGAAAATGTGGAAACAAAAATGTGGCTTTTGAACTGGGTAATGAGCAGAGGTTGGAAGAGTTTTGAGGGCTTAGAAAAAGACAGAAAGATGAGGAAAGGTTTACAACTTCTTAGAGATTGGTTAACACTTTTCCCATTTAGAAAAAAAGTGGAGCATGCTGCCAGCCTTCATTTAACTTTACATAAACACACTCTGAGGATGAAGCAAATCTGACTGATTTTCAATGTGAAAATAAAATACAAAAACTGTTCTTGAAGTTATTTCTAAACAGAACTAACCCCAAAATCATCTGAATCATCAGAGTCATCTCTTTTGGAAAAATGAAATTCATCACATAAATCTTTGGCAAACACCTATTTGAGAACAGTGTTAACATCAAGTGTAGAAATGCCACATTTTCTAGGATTTGACATTTTCAGCCATTGAGAATCACTATATTTTGTAAATGGAAATACCACTACTAAAAACACAATGCTACAATAGAATAAAAATGAGGTATTTTGTTTCCAAAGTCAATATTCTAGCATAATGTGAAAATAGTAATAAAAGGGAAATTTTTGCGGCAAAGTTATCTTGGGGTTAGTGCCGCAGCCACAAGCGCCGCCAGTGAGTATTCTCGGACAAATGGGAAAAGAGTTAAATGGTTGTAATCAAAATGCTGATAAAATATGGACAATGAAGGCCAGAATAATGTGATGTCAGATAGAAATGAGGAATTTACTAGGAACTAGAGCAAAGCTCACCCTTGTTGTGCCCTAGCAAAGAACTTGTCTGCATTGTGTTCATGCACTACCATCTGTGGAAGTTTGAACTTACGAGTGATGACCTAGGGTATCAGGAGGGAGAATTTCTAAGCAGCAAAGTGTTCAAACGTGGCCTGGCTACTTTGAACAGCCTACCCTCAGATGTGGGAGCAAAGATATTACTTAAAGTTGGAACTTATATTTAAAAGGGAAGTAGAGTGTAGAAGATTCAAAAATTGGGAGCCTGGCTCCGTGGTGGAGAAAGAATCCAAGCGGGCTGAGGAGCAACCACTTGCTAGAGAGATTTTCATGACTAACAGGGAGCCAAGTGCTAATATCCAAGACAAGAGGAAAAAGGTCTCGAAGGCATTTCCGAGGTCTTTGAGACAGCCCTTCCCATCCAGGCTCAGGGGCCTAGGAGAAAAGAATGGTTTCGGGGGCTAGGTCCAGGGTGCGTCCGCCCTGCACAGCCTCAGTGGTTTCGGGGGCTAGGTCCGGGGTGCGTCCGCCCTGCACAGGCTCAGTGGTTTCGGGGGCTAGGTCCGGGGTGCGTCCGCCCTGCACAGCCTCAGTGGTTTCGGGGGCTAGGTCCGGGGTGCGTCCGCCCTGCACAGCCTCAGTGGTTTCGGGGGCTAGGTCCGGGGTGCGTCCGCCCTGCACAGCCTCAGTGGTTTCGGGGGCTAGGTCCGGGGTGCGTCCGCCCTGCACAGCCTCAGTGGTTTCGGGGGCTAGGTCCGGGGTGCGTCCGCCCTGCACAGCCTCAGTGGTTTCGGGGGCTAGGTCCGGGGTGCGTCCGCCCTGCACAGCCTCAGTGGTTTCGGGGGCTAGGTCCGGGGTGCGTCCGCCCTGCACAGCCTCAGTGGTTTCGGGGGCTAGGTCCGGGGTGCGTCCGCCCTGCACAGCCTCAGTGGTTTCGGGGGCTAGGTCCGGGGTGCGTCCGCCCTGCACAGGCTCAGTGGTTTCGGGGGCTAGGTCCGGGGTGCGTCCGCCCTGCACAGCCTCAGGACGCTGCTTCCTGTACCCACGCCACTCTCACTCCGGTCTCAGCTCAAAGAGTCTCACGTACAGAGCTCAGGCTGCTGCTTTGTAGCGCACCAGCCACCGTAAGCCTTCACAACTTCCATGCGGTGTTCCACCCGCAGGCGCACAGAATGCAAGGGTGAAGGAAGGTTGGCAACTTCCACCTAGATTTCGGAGAATGTGACAGAAAGCCTGGGTCTGAGCAGAAGCCTGCCACAGGGGAAGAGCCCCCACAGGGAGCCTCTACTAGGGCAGTGCCAAGAGGGAAGGTGAGGTTGGGGCCCTCCCAGACAGTCTCCACCAGGGCATTTCCTAGTGGATCTGCCGGGAGGGGCCACCACCCTCCAGACCCCAGAATGATAGAACCACTGGCGGCTTGCAACCTCAGAGTAGAAAAGCTGCAGTCACTTAACTCCAACCTGCAAGAGCAGCCATAGGGGGTGCACCCTGCAAAGCCACAAGGGTGAAGCTGCCCAAGGTATTGGAAACACACCCCTGATACCAGTGTGCCCAGGAAATGGGACACGGATTCAAGGATCATGTTGGAGTTTAAGGTTTAATGTCCACTCTGCTGAGTTGCAGACTCCTGTGAGGCCTGAAGCCCCTTTCTTTCGGCCAATTTCATTCTTTTGGAATGGGAATGCGTACCCAATGCCTGTACTGCCATAGCATCTCGGAAGTAAATATCATGGTTTTTATTTTAGAGACTTATAGGTGAGAAGAACCTGCCTTGGGTCTCAGAGGAGACTTTGGTCTTCTTAAATTGAGTTGATGTTGAAATGAGTTAAGATTTGGGGGGACTACTGGGAAGGCATGATTGTTTTGCAATGTGAGAGGGACCAGAGATTTGTAGGGTCAGGGGCAGAATGATGTAGTTTGGATGTGTGCCCCACTCCAAATCTCATGTTGAAATGTGATTCCTAATGTTGGAGGTAGGGCCTGGTAGGAGGTATTTGGGTCATCGGGGCAGATTCCTCATGAATGGCTTGGTGTCCTCATGGTAAGAGCTCTCACTCTGAGTTAATGCAAAATCTGGTTGTTCAAAACAGTGTGGCACATCGCTCTCTCTCACTCCCTCTCTCTTCCCCTCTCTTGCCTTGTGACACCAGCTCCCCTCTCATCTTCTGTCATGATTGTAAGCTACCGGAAGCAGATACCTGCACCACACTTCCTATACATCCTGCAGAAACTTGGGCCGAAATAAACCACTCTTATTTGTAAATTACCCAGCCTCAGGTATTTCTTCCCAGAAATACAATAATGGACTAACACAGCAGGAGTCCAACTTCATTCTTCTGTGCATAGTTGTCCACTTGGCCCAGCGCCGTTAGTTAAGACTTTTCCCACATTGAATGGTCTTGGAATCCTTGTTGAAAATAAGTTGACCATAGAGGCCTGGTTTTAGTTCGGGACTCTCAATTCGATTAGATTGATCTATATGTCTATTGTTGTGCCAAGACAGCAGTGTCTTGCTCACTATTTCTTTGTAGTAACTTTTGAAACTGGGAAATGTGAGTCTTCTTACATAATTCTTCTTTTTCAGGTTTTGGCTATTTGGAGTCCCTTGCAATTTTGTGTAAATTTTAGAATAAGCTTACCAGTGAATACAAAGAAATCAGCTGGAAATCTATTAGGGAATGCATTGAATCTGTACATCAGTTTAGGGAATGCTTTCATTTTAACAATATTAAATTAGCAATATTAAATATGGGTCTTTTGACCAATAAACAGATATTTATCCATTTATTTAAGCTTTCTTTAATGTCTTTCAGCAATGTTTTATAGTTTTCAGAGTATAAGATTTTCCGTTATTTTGCTAAATATATTCCTAAGTTATAAAATTCATTTGGAAGCTGCTGTGAATGGAATTTTATTTTATTTTTATTTGTGGATTGTTTATTGCAAGTGTCTACATATATAAATGATTTTGTACATTGATCTTGTATCCTAACAACCTTGCTGTACTCACTTATATGGTGTAATAATGTTTTAGTGAATTCCTTAGGATTTTCTATATATAAGATCAAGTCATCTATGAAGAGATATAGCTTTACTTCTTTTCAAAGTGGATGAATTTATTTCTTTTTCTTGTCTAACTGCCCTGGCTAGAGCCTCCAGTACAGGGTATAGAGTAAAGTGGAGTGATAAGAGTAAAAATTCTTGTCTTATTTTTTATCTTAGTGGGAAGGCATCTAGTTTTTCATCATTCAGTGTGATGTTAGCTGTGCAGATTACACTTTTAATCTCTCTTTGTACTGAATCTGTGCTCATTATACGTCAGCTTTGAATGATTGATTTTTCTTCTTACTATGGGTGGTATATTTTTGTTTCTTTTAATGTGTCATAATTTTTGTTTGGATATCAGACACTGTGAAATTTACCTTCTTTCAGTATTGGATACTTTCCTAATATGCTTAAGCTTCGTTCTGAGACACAGTTGAAAATAATATAATTCATTGGATCTTTATTTTCTGCTCTATTAGCTGATACTAATATACTTAGTCTAGAGCTATTTTTCCTCATTACCAGGGCAAGATCTGTTTGAGTACATTATCCAATGCCCAGTAAAATATACAGTTTTCCAATATGGTTAGTGAGAATAGGCATTATGTCCACTCCTTTTTGTGCTTTGGTGCTTATTTTTGATGGTTTTCTTGGCCTTGTGTAATTTTACGATACACATGCATTTAAATAGTAAGAAACTGAATATACAAGGGGCTCTTTCTGAAGTTCTCTGAAGTTTTGTCTGTGCAGCTTTCTCCTTTCCAGTATTCTGTCCACAAAACTCCAGCTCTCTTCACATTTCCATTCTCCAGGTCAGTATCTCTAATTGTGGGAGACTGCTGTTCATCACCCATATCCCCCTTACTGCATTCCCTGCTGGTCACTCCCACCAGGCAGCAAGTCACTCCCACCAGGCAGCAAGCTAGGACAAGCACAGGGCTCATATCGTGTGTTTCTCATCTCTCATCCACTGTTCTTCATTGCCTAATGCCCAATGTTGTGAAAAAATGTTTTGTATATTTTGTGTACTTTGTCAATTGATTCAGGCAGAAGGATAAATCTGGAATCTTTTTTGCTCCATCTTGGCCAGAAATAGATGTTTTTTATGCACATTAAAATTTGAAAATCATGATTATGTGAATCTGAGGCCACACAGCTTTGGTTTGAGTTCTGAGTCTGCCACTTAATGATACTCTTAGGCAAGTTATTTAACTAATTAGTACCTCATCTTTTGCATCTGTAAAATAAAATAATACCTATCTCAGGAGTTTGTTGAGTTTTGGGTGAGAAGATGTCAATGAAAAAGAGCTATTATAATATTCTATGTCATTCTGTGTTGTTAAAATCTTAACAACAGGAATTAATGCATACCTTAGACATCAATAGGCCACATTACCTATCCCTACACAATATGCAATCATCCTACACAATATGCAACTGGCGACAAAGCTCTCCTGGCTGTAGAATGTTGCTATAAAATAATGAGCAATATTACATAACTTTACATATAAATATTTATATAATTATATTAATAACAGCTTTTAATTATAGAATTAGGCAATGAAACTGAGTATTTCATAATTTTAATTGTTTTGGTTCAATCTGTGTCAGCAATATAAAAAAACTTTATTGAGTTATGATTTTCAAGTGGGAACTGCATAAATGTGAGCCCTAAGAATTGCTTGAATTCATTGAATTCCTTCAAAACAAAGTCATAAATAATTAAATGAAAATATGATATTTATTTCTAATTATGCAAAGATACAACGCATAGTAAAGATTTTCTGTCAATGCCCACATTTAAAAAATACATTGTTATTTATTGGAATTTTTAAGTTGAATTTTGTTTACTCATAAACTTGTAAAATCATCAGATTAGGGGCCAAAAAAAAAGCTATCTGATTTGCCATTTCTTATCTATTTTGGTAAAACTTTTGAATTAATAGTGAGTTATTTCAATTCAAAAATAATCCTGCATTTCACTAGATTTAGTCAGTAGTACTGTATAACTCTTATTTTTTGCTTTCTCAGATGAAAAATTGGAATGTTAATAGTGACAGACACTAGGAGCAGGTGCTAGTGACTTATAAACCGCTGCATATATCAAACAATAAAATGTTATAAAAATGAGATTGTTGGGTTTTATATTCTGAGAAGCATATATTGTCCTATTCCCATCCTCAGGAGTTAACAAAACAGTTGCATTAGCAAACAAATGCTCTTTTAATTGTGAAAGCAAGTCTTCTATTGAATAATGATTTCTTAGAAATGTTTCAACAAACAATGACCTCATGCCTCCTGGGCAGTTTCTGGGGAAGGTTCCTGCCTACTATTCCCAATCCTAACGTATTATTGTAGAAGAAGAAGTGCAGTTTTTACATTTGTCTCTAAGTGAGATATTACCTACTTTCCCAGAAAAGCAGTGTTCTTCTCATTTTGTTCTTTGCATCCATATTGTATGCTGTTAGAAATGTTTTCATGTTATTTGGTCAAACGCGTAAAGTCAGGAACATTTATTTTTCACCACTTATGCGGAATATCTATCTGATGAGATATTTCTGTTTCTTATAAGCTGGGAAACAGCATGACAGGGCTGCTGTGAAATGAGAAGTGAGTTGCCACCAGCCTGTGTGTGCAAAATGATGTCTCTGGTCCCCTGTAGGAGTTGCTTAGTGGAGCAGATGAAAATACGGTCGAACGCAGGAAGCTGCTGGATCCTGGAGATGAAAACGCAGTCCACTATGTGGCCTGTGGGCCCGCATTAGAGTACCTGCCAGTCCGCCGCGTGGCCTGTGGGCCCACATTAGAGCACCTGCCAGTCCGCCGCGTGACCTGTGGGCCCTCATTAGAGCACCTGCCAGTCCGCCGCGTGACCTGTGGACCCGCATTAGAGCACCTGCCAGTCCGCCGTGTGACCTGTGGGCCCGCATTAGAGCACCTGCCAGTCCGCCGCGTGGCCTGTGGGCCCGCATTAGAGTACCTGCCAGTCCGCCGTGTGACCTGCGGGCCCTCATTAGAGTACCTGCCAGTCCGCCGGGTGACCTGTGGGCCCGCATTAGAGCACCTGCCAGTCCGCCGGGTGACCTGTGGGCCCGCATTAGAGCACCTGCCAGTCCGCCGGGTGACCTGTGGGCCCGCATTAGAGCACCTGCCAGTCCGCCGCGTGACCTGTGGGCCCGCATTAGAGTACCTGCCAGTCCGCCGCGTGACCTGTGGGCCCGCATTAGAGTACCTGCCAGTCCGCCGCGTGACCTGTGGGCCCTCATTAGAGCACCTGCCAGTCCGCCGTGTGACCTGTGGGCCCTCATTAGAGTACCTGCCAGTCCGCCGTGTGACCTGTGGGCCCTCATTAGAGCACCTGCCAGTCCGCCGCGTGACCTGTGGGCCCGCATTAGAGTACCTGCCAGTCCGCCGTGTGACCTGTGGGCCCTCATTAGAGCACCTGCCAGTCCGCCGCGTGACCTGTGGGCCCGCATTAGAGTACCTGCCAGTCCGCCGCGTGACCTGTGGGCCCGCATTAGAGTACCTGCCAGTCCGCCGCGTGACCTGTGGGCCCGCATTAGAGTACCTGCCAGTCCGCCGTGTGACCTGCGGGCCCTCATTAGAGTACCTGCCAGTCCGCCGGGTGACCTGTGGGCCCGCATTAGAGCACCTGCCAGTCCGCCGGGTGACCTGTGGGCCCGCATTAGAGCACCTGCCAGTCCGCCGCGTGACCTGTGGGCCCGCATTAGAGTACCTGCCAGTCCGCCGTGTGACCTGTGGGCCCTCATTAGAGTACCTGCCAGTCCGCCGTGTGACCTGTGGGCCCTCATTAGAGCACCTGCCAGTCCGCCGCGTGACCTGTGGGCCCGCATTAGAGTACCTGCCAGTCCGCCGCGTGACCTGTGGGCCCTCATTAGAGCACCTGCCAGTCCGCCGGGTGACCTGTGGGCCCTCATTAGAGCACCTGCCAGTCCGCCGTGTGACCTGTGGGCCCGCATTAGAGTACCTGCCAGTCCGCCGTGTGGCCTGTGGGCCCTCATTAGAGTACCTGCCAGTCCGCCGCGTGACCTGTGGGCCCTCATTAGAGTACCTGCCAGTCCGCCGTGTGACCTGTGGGCCCTCATTAGAGCACCTGCCAGTCCGCCGCGTGACCTGTGGGCCCTCATTAGAGTACCTGCCAGTCCGCCGTGTGACCTGTGGGCCCGCATTAGAGCACCTGCCAGTCCGCCGTGTGACCTGTGGGCCCGCATTAGAGTACCTGCCAGTCCGCCGTGTGGCCTGTGGGCCCTCATTAGAGTACCTGCCAGTCCGCCGCGTGACCTGTGGGCCCTCATTAGAGCACCTGCCAGTCCGCCGCGTGACCTGTGGGCCCTCATTAGAGTACCTGCCAGTCCGCCGCGTGACCTGTGGGCCCTCATTAGAGTACCTGCCAGTCCGCCGTGTGACCTGTGGGCCCTCATTAGAGTACCTGCCAGTCCGCCGTGTGACCTGTGGGCCCTCATTAGAGTACCTGCCAGTCCGCCGCGTGACCTGTGGGCCCTCATTAGAGTACCTGCCAGTCCGCCGTGTGACCTGTGGGCCCTCATTAGAGCACCTGCCAGTCCGCCGCGTGGCCTGTGGGCCCGCATTAGAGCACCTGCCAGTCCGCCGTGTGACCTGTGGGCCCTCATTAGAGTACCTGCCAGTCCGCCGCGTGACCTGTGGGCCCTCATTAGAGTACCTGCCAGTCCGCCGCGTGACCTGTGGGCCCGCATTAGAGTACCTGCCAGTCCGCCGTGTGACCTGTGGGCCCTCATTAGAGTACCTGCCAGTCCGCCGTGTGACCTGTGGGCCCTCATTAGAGTACCTGCCAGTCCGCCGCGTGGCCTGTGGGCCCTCATTAGAGTACCTGCAAGTCCGCCGTGTGACCTGTGGGCCCTCATTAGAGTACCTGCCAGTCCGCCGCGTGACCTGTGGGCCCTCATTAAAGCACCTGCTAGTTGGTTTTTCAGTCTGGGCTTCAGAATGTTGGTGGTGGGAATTCACGGGAAGGAGTGAGCAAAAAAGTGGGTTTTGTGCTGTGTGCTCAATCACTGTAATAATTTAGAAGAAACTTGATCCATTTCTGCCTTTAAAACACATTGTTTGCAGTTTATTTGCATAGCGGAAGATGTTTGTTAAATGAGTGGATGGTGTGTGTGGCTGTTGTTAGGGATTACCTGACGATTCGTAATCTAACAATGTAATGACTGTTTGAGCAGCCCGACCAGCGCCTCCCCAGTCACCTCCTGAGCTGTTAGTCGTCCCTATAACAGTATCACTGATTGCACTGCCTTTTTTTCTCAGTTAGGCTAAACTTGAATCTAGAAATGAAGAAAGTTGCCATGACACAGATACAAAATTTAAAACAAAAGCAAAAAAATTGTGAGTAATAAACTCTTTAAGACCCTCCAGCACAGGCAAATAGATAAACTTGGTTCAGGAACTTAGCTGCCTTCTAAATTCATGTATTTTTCTTCTACATAATAGGCAACTAGAGAGATGTCCGTTTAACCCATGTTAAGCTTCAACCCCACTGATGAAGCCTCCCTTCCTGCTTCCTTTTAAAAATATTACTACGTGAAGTATCCTTCACATGCTCTGAATTTAGCACTGTTAACTCAGTGGGAAAGTTTGTAGCCAAAATGAAACAGGGCAAGAAAAATTATCTGTACATTAGATCCTGAAGGGATCTAAGTTTAATCCCAGGCTCCTAATAAAACCTATAGAAAAACTGAGCTATACCATAAATTTCTTGTAGAATTCATCATCCAAATAAGATTTTTTTTTTCTGCTTTTGCTTCATTCCTGTGCTGAATGTTTTGGTTCAGAGAGAGATTGCGTCTACTGTAATAGATTTATAGCACAGTAATATGAATTGATACTCTAGTGATGCCTATCTTTGATTTTTGGACTTATGTGTTAGCTCCAACTTTTTAAAGTAATTTTTTTTCTCCTATGAGACATATGATCATTGCTAAACTATCTGAGAGATCTGGAGACACCAATGATCTTCGTAATGAACAGCAAGGGGCCTCAAATGCCAGGTGACATAGTCTTTCTTTTTGTGAAGAAGTTATAGCTACAGGCCAGAGCCAAATCTTTGGTTTTCCATCATAGATCACGTATGCTGAGATAAAGTAGAGGGCATAATGAATCTGTTTCTAATAACCAAAGGAGTAAAGAGTCTGTTTTTAATAAGCATAGTTTTATAATTAAGCAAGAGCCAAAAAAAATGCCAACTGAAATTATAATTATGACAAAATCTCCTTTTAAGAGAAGATGTATTGGATCATTTACAGCCAAGCTTTGGACACATTAAAGTTTTAAAACTGTCCAAATTCTGCCACAGAGATTTGAACTCCTCAAACACTCATGATTGATTTGCAGCCTGGCAATTTGAACTTGAAGGGTTGCTACCTTTCAGGTGCAAGTTGAAAATTAAAAGTACAGTTTGAGAAAGAGAAGGTGTGTTTATAGTAAACAGGTGGCTTCTGTTCAAAAGAGAATTGCTGTGGACTCTTTTATGACCACGCTGATGCTGTGGCATATTAAGTGGAGCTTGTCACTTTCCCATCTGGTCTCGACAACTGCTGGAGGCGGAACCCATTTAGAGCACCATGCAGCTGCTCTTCAATGTCTCATAAATAATCCAATCATGGCTTATTCTGCTTTTTATTAAACACAATTTATGAGGATTGGGTCATTGTTCTTCTAGGCAATTGTCCACAGAGTGTGGCTTTTAAGGAAATTGTTACTCAATGTGATCTTTAAAGATTAAAACCCAGTGTTAATAGAAAAATTGTGCAGTGCATATCCAGTTTATATTTGTTGATTGTACTTTATCTAAACAACTATGCTTGATAAAAAGCCCTTTCTTGTGAAGTGTAATACCTATTTGTCTCAGAGCAACTCTGTGGACTTGCTTTAATCTCCCCTTGGACACATTAATCCATGAGTTTTTCTCTCTCAAAGAAGCAGTTTTGGAAGAATGCTCTGTTTTCTGCACACACCACTCAACTCATTTAATTATTGCTGCATTACTTTCGTGATTCACAGATAAAAGAACATTAAAAGCAACATAGTATTTACTAGGGTTTTTTTTCTGTTTTCCCAGTGAGATGTTTGATGCTTCATCAGATGAGATAGTAATAGAAAAACAAAAGAACATATTCCTGCCATATATATCAAAGGATTCTATTTAACCTTTAGTAGTTTGTAACTCCCAACAGTGTTTTCTCTGGATCAAATGTCTTGTTATAATAAGCTTGGCAGTTGAGATATTTTTTTCTCTGCTTTGGGTCTGGATTATGTTCAAATCATTGTTTAGATTAAATGACAGTTCATGTGATTTGTCTGTGAATACCTGACTGTTAGGAAATCTTGACTTTTCTTGGCAGAACATTCTCATCTGTCATGATGTCACTGGCTGATAAAACACATAAAACCACGAAGTATAATCACGTCTGTGAGTTTCCAATATGTTTGGTAGCAAAAGGATTCCAGTCCCTGTGCATTTTCAAAACTCACGATACATAGAAGGCAGAGAGAGGTACATCCGTCAACAGGAAGAGACTGAGGGACTCGAGGCATGCTGGTCTCTAACTTGCTCAGAAATTAAATACTGTAAGTTATTCCGAGTAGCCTCTCAAGGTCACCCAGGAGTCCTTTTCCCTCAGTCCCTTTATATATAACTGTCAAGATTCAAGATGTATTTAGGAGAAACGTACATTTTGTTGGGTACACAAATGTCTTTGATTGTTTCCAGAAGCTATGAGTCTATACAATTTATTATCAAACTAATCAAACTAGTATGTTCAATTTAATAAAGCAGAATGAAATGTTTAACATCCTTATAGCTTACTAAATTCTGAATAGAAAGAAGTCAGCAATGTGTTTGAGTCACTAGATTTGAAACTTGGAAGGTCTGTGAGTGTTGAGGTGACCTCGGGGAGGTAGAACTGAGTCAGTCTGCCATTTCATCATTTACTCTCTAGCAAGCAAGAAACTCAAGCATGTCTGTAACAGGCTGCTTTTATGAATGATGATCTTTGCTTCATTATTCTTCAACACAAAATTGTTTAAGTAGTGGCATTATGCCCCACCTCCCAGAATTAGTTTCTTCCTATGTGTGATAGATGAACTATGATTCGGTCTAAGTAGCATGTAAATTTCTAAAAGCTTTTTCAGACTCTGAGTAATTTCATTAGCATAACTACTACATTTATATTTTTTAATAGTTGTTTTTGAGAAATTACTACAATTATCATATTTATGTCTTTTCATTTTTAAAGTGCATTTATACTGGCTTTTCTTCTTTGATAATTTTTCTCCACAATTTTTATGTTTTGAAATGAGTACTGAAGAAGTTGGAGGAAAGATTGTATTTTAATTTCTTTTCAAGTTTAAGTTTGTAATAGTGAAATGATAAAGAAAAGACTGAAATTAAACAACAGTTTACATGGAAGATGTCAAACAACAAAATTTGTCTATCTGGACATGGATTTTGATTTTTTAAACAAAATGATAGATTCATGGCTAGAGACATTTTATTGTGAAATTCTCTTTGAAGAAATGCATATCTGCTATACTGAAAGAGGAACAATTGGTAGGACAGCACCTAGTGACTCTCAGGAGGACATTGCCTGTGAGAATCTAGTCTCAGAGTATGTGAAGAGTCCTTAAATTTTAACAAAAGGAAATTAACATGATATATCAGGTAACACCAATATGTATTGAGATGAAAGTCGTGATGCGGATTTGTCTGCGGAACTATGTGATCTTGTTTCTAAAGAATCTGGTGTCGGCCAGGCGCCGTGGCTCACGCCTGTAATCCCAGCACTTTGGGAGGCCAAGGCGGGCGGATCACGAGGTCAGGAGATCGAGACCATCCTGGCTAACACGGTGAAACCCCGCCTCTACTAAAGATACAACAAAAATTAGCCGAAATTAGCCGGGTGTGGTGGTGGGTGCCTGTAGTCCCAGCTGGTGGGGAGGCTGAGGCAGGAGAATGGCGTGAACCCGGGAGGCGGAGCTTGCAGTGAGCCCAGATGGCGCCACCGCACTCCAGCCTGGGCGACAGAGCGAGACTCCGTCTCAAAAAAAAAAAAAAAAAAAAAAGAAAAGAAAAAGAATCTGGTGTCACAGGAGCACAGGGTGGCAGATGCAAATCCAGGCAGGACCCCTATGAGCAGGTTCTGAATGGGAGACGTGGTGGGAGAAAGCCAAGGTGCATTGTCCTGAGATGGCCTAGTTTGGTGGATGAGAAGCTTCATGCTTGTCTCACGTAATTCGTAACACAGAGAAAACGTGCTTGTCGTTGACCTCAGATATTCAGACATCTGGAAATCTTACCCTGCTAAAGCTGAATGCCCGAGGGATGTTCGCCCTGCCTGTGTGCCAACATCATTCCTTTATTTGTGAAAACAATAGGGGTACTTCCTGTTAAAGTATCAACCTTCAATACTTGCAGTCTTTGGAATCTGCCTAAGTGAGGAAGGATATGTTTAGACACATCACTTAGACCGGGAGGTTGTCTTTATAAATTAAGAGTCCCGTAGTCACTCAGCTACAGGGAAATAAGAAACATTTCAAAAGCATGATATTGACAGTGCAGTTGAAGATAATGCCAGTGAGGAAGAAACAGATAAAATCAGGTAAAGACACCAAAAGTGACTGCATTGATCATTTCCTATTAAATTAGATTTAACTTATATATAGATGAATGTAAACAAAAAAATGTAAAGACATAAAACAATGATCAGAATTTAAAAGGGTGTCTGGAGACCAAAAGCTCTAAAAACAGCTGAAGATCGATTGTGAAATTTGTTAATAATATCAGGGCTTATTCAGATCTGTTCCCACGAAAACTGCTGGTCTAATGTAACTTACAGTCTTGTTTATGGGAGAAAGACAATGTGCAATAATATTATAAAAACAAGTCTATTATAGAATGTGTTAGGAGCGACAAGTGATATGGCTAAAACTAGACCAAGATCGGGGTGGAGGGGGGCAGGAACAGAGATTGTGCCTGGAAACTAAAAACTCTGAAAAGAATTGAAGATTGTGAAATATGTTAAGAATAATAACAAGGCTTATTCAGATCTGTTCCAACAGAAATCTCCAATCTAATGTAACTTACAGTCTTGTTTATGGGAGAAAGACAGTACGCAATAATAAAAACAAGTCTATTATAGAATATGTTAGAAGCGACAAGTGCTATGGAGAAAACTAGACCAAGATCAGCGATAGAGGTGGGCAGGTGCAGGCAGGCAGGGTGGCCTCATGAGAGGTGATGTTTAAGCCAGGACCGAAAGTGGGTGAGGAAATCAGCCACGCGCATGGTGAGAGGAAGCGCATTCTAGGCAGAGGGAGCCATGAGCACAAAGGCCTCACGTGGGAGCCCGCTGTGTGTCTGAGGTGCGGTGGGGAAGCCCATGTGCTGGCTGGGGAGGGACAATGGGGACGAGGCTTGCTGGGAAAAGGGGGTGTGGTGGGGAGGTGATGGTGTGCAGAGGAGAGAAACTGTGTTAGGTCCTTCTCTCATTCTCAGTGAAGTGGGGAGCCCTGACCACAGGGGTGATGTCAATTTGCTTAAGTTTCAAAAGGATAATTATGGATGCTGTATTGAAAGTAGATTTTAGGGCAGTTAGGATGAATTAGAAAAACGGCTTAAAGGCCTGGGGAAGCCCAGTGAGGGTGGTGGTTACTCAGGCCAGGTGTTGCAGCAGTGGAGACAATTGCCAGTGTTACAGCAGTCCTTGTATTTTGAAGGTAAAACTAAACGGTCTACACAAGGGCTGACAGGGTTCAGACCTGACTTTGCAAGTCGTGTTCTTAGTGACCAGAGTCTCCTGAAAAGCTGACCACCTCCACACAGGCCTCTCTCTCTGCGACTCCTCTCATCACTACATCATCATTGCAAAGAAGTCCTTTTTTCTTACTAAATCTTGTCCTTCAGTCTTTTCGTTATCTTCTTCCAATAAATCATTTCTGTGGGGGCTGCCCCTTCATGAAGTCCATTCCCTAATCTCCCCCTGGCCTGCCTTGCTTCAGATCCTGTCTCCTCGGGAGTCTGTGTCTCTCACCGCAGGGCTGCGGATCAGATTCCTATGAAGACCCTGTCTCTCCTGGCTGGCCATGCTGAGAGCGAGTATGACCTTGAATTTATCTAAGATAGAAAACACCAAGATTTCTACAGAGAGATTTTAAGTTGCTGGAGTTAGAGAAGAGATACAGTTGTCACTAGGGTGTTAATAAAGAACCACAAGAAGGGACTACGTGACAAATATCTCAGTAAGTTTAGAACATGGCTGACTGCAACTGTAAACTGTAGAAATTCAAGTCTCACACATTTACCTTGTTCAATATTAAATATTTATAAATTAGAATATCTACCTGTTGTATTTACTTATAATGGAATGGGCCCATAACTCAACCTGTTCCATTTTTTTAGAAGGAAATCTCTATAATTTATTGTTTCTAAAATCACAAAACAGTTTTACTTTCTTAGTTATTTACCTGGCTTTAAATACCATTCTTGGTGTAAGAGACTCTCACACTAATCTAAGTTGCCAGTGTTGTCAGCAATAATAAACTGTCAACTACTATTTTTTTTCAAAATTATCTCATTAGACTACCACAGTGTTTTATAATGAGTTCCTTCATACTAAATATACATTATTTTATGTGACTCCATCCAAATAAAGCCCACAAATTTATCATGAATGGAAATAGAGCCATTTTTGAAACTGCAGGAATACTGGCTCTGAATTTAGTATACACATTGACAATCATAAACAAGAAGAGACGTGTGTACCCATTGCTTGCTTAACAGGTATACAAGCCTATTGACTTGTTGCTTCCTGTTGGACACTCGAACTGTCAAACATTTCAAAGAAAATGTATTGAATCTAATCATAATGTTTGTCTATTGGTGTTAGTAATGCCAGTGTTTGGAATCTTGAGTTTCATACCTTCTCTTCTCAAAGCCAACTTTCGTGGTCATTTTCAATAGCTATTCTCATCCTTTGCCTATTGTTCTTAGTTAGGACTCCAGAAGAGATAAACATAGAAGACACATGAAGGTAAATGTATTAATTCAATATATATTTATTGGAGGCCCACCATGTTAGGGATATAGTAGAGAAGAACAATCTTCAACTTGGATGGAGTTTAAATTTTACTTGGAGAGGAGGCAGACAATGAAAACAAATAATTATATACTGTATAAAATGGAAATAAGTGCCATGAAGGAAGAATAAATCAGGAAAGAGAGTAGAGATAAACGGGTGAGTCGGTGCTATTTTACGTAGAGCAGTCAATGTGTTCTCTTTAACGCTAAGTACTGTGACAGTGCATTCCTTTGTAGGTTCATAGCCCTGGTGAGCTCTGCTGACTTCTGTTGAGCCACAGGAAGCCCTTGTGTTTAACTGAGAAGCCGGCCCACATAGACTTCCTTTCCTTCAGGCCTGACTCTGGAATTTGTTTGGCTTCTCAATGTTGTATGAGACTAAGGGTAGAGCCCACACTCCTTTCATCATATCAACAGATAAGACAGATGTTCCAAAATAGTGTGGACTCAGAAGAAAAACCAAAGAGTCATCATATAAAAGGAGAGTCCCATGGAAATAATCCAGGGGACATACTAAATAAAGAGTTTCCAATGCCTTTCACACTGAACGCTCACTCCAGCAGCATTGCCCAGCATACTTGGCTTTGACTAACGTCTTGTGTACTCCTCAGGATGAGATGAGATAATCTCGGGGTTGGGGTAAGCCTTGAGTTCCATTACAGCAGAGGGTCTCACCTGTGTGCTTAAGATTCATTTAAGGAGCTTATTATAAGGCAAGTTTCCAAGTGTCACCACCAGATAGCCTGCTTTAGCAATTCGGGAATGGATTTAAAAAGTATATTTAAAAAGAAAAAAAAAAACCTTCAGGTGATTCTGCTGCAGAAGGTTTATCCAGTACAAACTGAGCCACCTCTGGCCCTGTGATTAGACTCCTTCAATTTACCTAGGTTTATAAGATTGGAATTGAAATTCCCAGCCTAGTTGATTATAAGAATCACCTTGAGGATTGTTTTAAAAGCTAGACTTTCAGTCGAATATTTAAGCCACATGAATTTGAATATTTAAAGGTTAAGTTTTAGAAAAGTTTATTTTTGAAATGCTCTCCAATTTTATTCCTCAGAGGAAAGCTTCACTATTATAGTGTATATAAGGGATGGCCAGGGGAATACAATACCTGCCTTTCTACCTGATAACCCTAAACTAATTGATGAACCATAGCCACATAACAAAAATAATTTAGATAGCTCAACTTCCACAAAACAGAAATATCTCAATTTGGTGTCCTCAGAAATGTTTAAATATATTTTACACTTATATAAGATCATTTTATATAGAAAATATTAAAGAAACACAGGGCTGAAGAGAAGTCTTGGAAGTAGACATTTAATTGCCAGTGAAAGGGTTGCAATTTTCAGTTGAAAATTTCCTAGTGCATAAAAATGAAAGAGGAAAAAATGAAAAAGGAAAAACAAGGAGAAAGAGAATCTATTTAGATGATTCAACATTTAATTCGTAGCAATTTTGGAAAGAAAATGGCAGAGAAAAGGGAGGAAAGAACATAGAAAAAAATAAAAGGAAGAGAAAATTTTCTAGTGTTCAAAAGAAAACTGAGACTTTAAAATAAGGAGTAAGAATGATTGAAAAAGATCGAACCCTCTTTTCCTAATTGAATACCCTTTATTTCCTTCTCCTGCCTAATTGCCCTGGCCAGAACTTCCAACACTATGTTGAATAGGAGTGGTGAGAGAGGGCATCCCTGTCTTGTGCCAGTTTTCAAAGGGAATGCTTCCAGTTTTTTCCCATTCAGTATGATATTCGCTGTGGGTTTGTCATAGATAGCTCTTATTATTTTGAGATACATCCCATCAATACCTAATTTATTGAGAGTTTTTAGCATGAAGGGTTGTTGAATTTTTTCAAAGGCCTTTTCTGCATCTATTGAGATAATCATGTGTTTTTTGTCTTTGGTTCTGTTTATATGCTGGATTACATTTATTCAATTAGGAAAAGAGGAAGTCAAATTGTCCCTGTTTGCAGATGACATGATTGTATATCTAGAAAACCCCATTGTCTCAGCCCAAAATCTCCTTAAGCTGATAAGCAACTTCAGCAAAGTCTCAGGATACAAAATCAATGTACAAAAATCACAAGCATTCTTATACACCAATAACAGACAAACAGAGAGCCAAATCATGAGTGAACTCCCATTCATAATTGCTTCAAAGAGAATAAAATACCTAGGAATCCAACTTACAAGGGACATGAAGGACCTCTTCAAGGAGAACTACAAGCCACTGCTCAATGAAGTAAAAGAGGATACAAGGAAATGGAAGAACATTCCATGCTCATTGGTAGGAAGAATCAATATCGTGAAAATGGCCATACTGCCCAAGGGAATTTATAGATTCAATGCCATCCCCATCAAGCTACCAATGACTTTCTTCACGGAATTGGAAAAAACTACCTTAAAGTTCATATGGAACCAAAAAAGAGCCCACATCACCAAGTCAATCCTAAGCCAAAAGAACAAAGCTGGAGGCATCATGCTACCTGACTTCAAACTATACTACAAGGCTACAGTAACCAAAACAGCATGGTACTGGTACCAAAACAGAGATATAGACCAATGGAACAGAACAGAGCCCTCAGAAATAATGCCGCATATCTACAACTATCTGATCTTTGACAAACCTGACAAAAACAAGCAATGGGGAAAGGATTCCCTATTTAATAAATGGTGCTGGGAAAACTGGCTAGCCATATGTAGAAAGCTGAAACTGGATCTCTTCCTTACACCTTATACACAAATTAATTCAAGATGGATTAAAGACTTAAACGTTAGACCTAAAACCGTAAAAACCCTAGAAGAAAACCTAGGCAATACCATTCAGGACATAGGCATGGGGAAGGACTTCATGTCTAAAACACCAAAAGAAATGGCAACAAAAGACAAAATTGACAAATGGGATCTAATTAAACTAAAGAGCTTCTGCACAGCAAAAGAAACTACCATCAGAGTGAACAGGCAACCTACAAAATGGGAGAAAATTTTCGCAACCTACTCATCTGACAAAGGGCTAATATCCAGAATCTACAATGAACTCAAACAAATTTACAAGAATAAAACAAACAACCCCATCAAAAAGTGGGCGAAGGACATGAACAGACACTTCTCAGAAGAAGACATTTATGCAGCCAAAAACACATGAAAAAATGCTCATCATCACTGGCCATCAGAGAAATGCAAATCAAAACCACAATGAGATACCATCTCACACCAGTTAGAGTGGTGATCATTAAAAAGTCAGGAAACAACAGGTGTTGGAGAGGATGTGGAGAAATAGGAACACTTTTACACTGTTGGTGGGACTGTAAACTAGTTCAACCATTGTGGAAGTCAGTGTGGCGATTCCTCAGGGATCTAGAACTAGAAATACCATTTGACCCAGCCATCCCATTACTGGGTATATACCCAAAGGACTATAAATCATGCTGCTATAAAGACACATGCACACATATGTTTATTGCAGCACTATTCACAATAGCAAAGACTTGGAACCAACCCAAATGTCCAACAATGATAGACTGGATTAAGAAAATGTGGCACATATACACCATGGAATACTATGCAGCCATAAAAAATGATGAGTTCATGTACTTTGCAGGGACATGAATGAAATTGGAAATCATCATTCTCAGTAAACTATCGCAAGGACAAAAAACCAAACACCGCGTGTTCTCACTCATAGGTGGGAATTGAACAATGAGAACATATGGACACAGGAAGGGGAACATCACACTCTGGGGACTGTTGTGAGGTGGGGGGAGGGGGGAGGGATAGCATTAGGAGATATACCTAATGCTAAATGATGAGTTAATGGGTGCAGCACACCAGCATGGCACATGTATACATATGTAACTAACCTGCACATTGTGCACATGTACCCTAAAACTTAAAGTATAATAATAATAAAATAACAAAGATCGAACCCATTCAGCAATGTTAAGTAGAAGATTCTGAATGATTTCAGAAAGGAGAGAAAAAGCCAAGTGAAACAAAAAAATAACAAGATTGGCCACTTATAAAGAAATGAGAATTTGATTGGCATCAGGCTCCTCATCAATAGATGCTCGTGCCAGCAGAGCAAGTCCAAAGATTGAGTGAAAACAATTCATAAGATATACTTGTCATAAACCCATTCTTGGGAATGAGTACCAGGCAAATGATCATGATATCCAAAGAAGACAAAGATGAGGGATAAAGGGAAAGGTTGACCAAAACCAAAATTTCAGCGATAAGAACTTTCACGAAGAGACCTGAGCAGTAG
The DNA here is from genome assembly GCF_000001405.40 of Homo sapiens. Lineage (NCBI taxonomy): Eukaryota > Metazoa > Chordata > Mammalia > Primates > Hominidae > Homo > Homo sapiens. The sequence continues at coordinate 189,295,933 of NC_000004.12, read as the reverse complement.
GCCTAGAAATCTTTCTACTATTAGATATATTTAATATCTTGCTACTAGATTTGTCATATGCAAGAAATAACCCCTTCCTTCCAACTGTTAGAAGAAAATCTTTAGACACATTAAATTTAGCACAATTTATTTGAGCAAAGAATGATTCATGGATGAGGCAGCACTCGGAACCAGGAGATATTCAGAGATTTCTGCCCAGCAGCATGAGCAGTGACCTCTCATGTGATGAGCATAGAAGCAAAGCAGAGAAATCACCTGCTTGGCTATAACTAGGCATTTGCTTATTTGGGTATCCTGTGATGTGTGGGCTACCTGTGACTGGCTGATATGTGGCTGCTTATTATTGGCTGAAACTTGCCTGTGTGTTACACTTATAAGTTAAATTTGGGTTTGTTTACATACTAAGTTAGGTTGATATTCATTATGTAGGAATTAAAATATGCAGACAGCCTCAGGTGAATGACCGCCTCCTTATGTAATTCAACACAGCTAACCCCTATAAGGCAATTTGTGAACTTATTTTAGTTCTATTTCCTCTTCTCCTTCTATATTTTGATAATTTTATTTCTAAAGTAATAAAGCTTTTAAAAATTACTATTGAAAAAACTATTGTGATAAATTCATATTTAAAATTTTTCATTGAGTTTTAAGTGTACAATTCAGTGACATCAAGTGCATTCACAGTGTCATGCAACCATCACCACGATCTACTTTCAAAACTTCTTTACAGTCTCAAACAGAAACACTGTCATTCTTAAACAAGAGTTTCATGATTGCCTCATTTCTTTCTGTCTCTATGAATTTATCTGTCTCTATGAATTTATCTGTTTCATATACGTGGAACCATAGAGTATTTTTCCTTTGCGGCTGGCTTGTTTTCACCTAGCTTCGGGTTTTCAGGTTTTATCCTTATTGTAGCAAGTGCAGCACTTCATTCCTCTTTAGAGATTTAATAATACTGCACTGTATATATATATACCAGGTTTAGTTTTAATAATACTGCACTGTATGTATAGACCAGGTTTAGTTTTTATAGTCCATTCATCCATTGATGGGTTCTTAGGTTGTTTCCACCATTTGGCTATTATAAATAACGCTGCATTGAGCAATGTCCTACAAATATCTGTCTGAGTCACTGTTTTTCATTCTTTTGCGTATCTACCTGGGAGCATAATTGCTGGGTCATGTGGAAACTCTGTAACTTGAGGAACTACCAAATTGTTTTCCATAGCAGTTGCACCATTTTACATTCCCACCAGCAACGAGTGAGGGTTCCAATTTCTCTACATTCCTGTCAATAATTGTTATTTTGGGGTTGCTGTTTGTTTGTTTCATTAGAGTCATACTAGAAGTCCTGCTAGTGATGTGAAATTGTGAAGTGGTATCTCATTGTGGTTTTCATTTATGTTCCCTAATAACTAATAATATTGAATATCTTTTTATGTGTGTACGGGCTGTTTGCATATCTTTTTTGGAGAAATATCTAAGTCCAAGTCTTTTGCTCATTTTATATTGTCTTTCTGTTGTTGAGTTGTAGGGACCCATTATCTTGCTACTCTTATATACTTTTTAAAGTATTAATTATATAATTAATACATTCAGTGCTTATAGCAGACTTCAGTACTTAAACATTTCTAATAATTTCACGGTATACAAGGCATGTTGGTTAAATAGATTTATCAGAAAGAGCTGATGAATACAATATTTCCTGAGTTCTAACATGATATTAACATATTTCTCTGCAGCAAAACTTCATGAGCTGTTAGGTTACATACAAAAATGCCTGGCTTACATTTTCTTTCCTTAATAATATTAAAATGTTGCTTCATTGTTTCTTAGCATACAATGTTGTTGTAAAAAATCTGATACTAATTTGATTTTCTCTCCCTTGTAAGTGGTGTGGATTTGGTTTTTTGGGCCTGCCTGGATACACAAAGCATCCTTTTTCTTAACTTTAAAATCACATAGTTATATTAGGATACTGTCTTAGTCCATTCTCACATTGTTATAAAGAATTACCTGAGATTGGGTAATAAGAAAAGAGGTTTAATTGACTCACAATTTCACAGGCTTAACAGGAAGCATGGCTAAGAGGCCTCAGAAAACGTATAATCATGGCAGAAGGTGAAGGGGAAGTGAGGTACATGTTATATGGCAGCAGGGAAGTGAGAGAGAGAGAGAAAGTTCCACACTTTTAAACCATTAGATCTCATGAAAACTCACTCACCATCATGAAAACAGCATGGGGAAACTGCCTGTATTATCCAATCACCTCCTACCAGTTTCCTCCCTTGACACATGGGGATTACGATTTGAAATGAGATTTGGCTGGTGTGATGATTAACACTGAGTGTCAACTTGATTGGATTGAAGGACAAAAAGTATCAATCCTGGGTGTGTCTGTGAGGGTGCTGCCAAAGGAGATTAACGTGTGAGTCAGTGGGCTGGGAAAGGCAGACCCACCCTTAAACTGGCTGGGCACCATCTAATCAGTTTCCAGAGCAGGCAACAATGAAGCAGGCAAAAAAATGTGAAAAGAGAGACTGGCCTAGCCTCCCAGCCTACATCTTTCTCCTCTGCTGGATGCTTCCTGCCCTCGAAGATCAAACTTCACATTCTTCAGTTTTGGAACCTGGACTGGCTCTCCTTGTTCCTCAGCCTGCATATGGCCTACTGTGGGACCTTGTGATCGTGTGAGTTAATACCTAACATATATATATACACACATATATATACACACACACATATATATACCTAACATATATATATACACACACATATACATATATATACAGATACATATATATACACATACATATATGTACATATATACACATATATACACACATATATTACATATATACACATACATATATACACATATATATACACACATACATATATATGTACATATATACACATATATGTGTGTATATATATATGTAGCATTAACTTAAAAGTCCAAGTGCAAAGTCTCATCTGAGACAAGGCAAGTTCCTTCTGCCTATGATCCTGTAGAATCAAAAGCAAGTTAATTACTTCCAGATATAATGGAGGTACAGACACTGAGTAGATGCTCCCATTACAAATCGGGGAAATAGGCCAAAACAAAGGGGCCACAGGCCCCATGCAAGTCCAAAACCAATCAGGGCAACCATTAAATCTTAAAGCTCCAACATAATCTCCAGTGACTTCATGTCTCACATCCAGGCCACACTGATGCAAGAGGGGGGTTCCCAAGGCCAGGGGCAGCTCCATCTCTGTGGCTGTGCAGGATACAGCAGCTGCTTTCACGAGCTGGTGTTGAGTGCCTGTGGCTTTTCCAGGCTCATGGTGTGAGCTGTTGGTGGATCTACCATTCTGGGGTCTGGAGGATGGTGGCCCTCTTTTCACAGCTCCACTAGGTAGTACTCAAATGGGGACTCTGAGTGGGGGCTGCAAACCCTCATTTTTCTTCTGCATTGCCTTAGTAGAGGTTCTCTATGACGGCTCCATCCCTGCAGCAGACTTTTGTTTTCCATACATCCTTTGAAATCTAGGTTGAGGCTCTTAAAGCTCAACCCTTTTATTCTGCACACCCACAGGTCTAACACTACATGGAAGTGACCAAGGCTTGGAGAGTGCACCTTCTGAAGCTGTACCTGGGCCCCTTTTATTCATAGCTAGAGCTGGAGCTGCTAAAACACAGGGTGCCATGTCCTGAGGCTTCACAGAACACCAGAGCCCTAGGCCTGGCACATGAAACTGTTTTTCCTTCCTAGGCCTCCAGGCCTGTGATGGGAGGGGCTGCTCTGAAGATCTCTGAAATGCCCTGGAGACATTTTCCCCACTGTCTTGGCTATTAGCATCTGGCTTCTCTTTATTTATGCAAAATTCTGCAGCCTGCAGTTTGAATTTCTCCCCAGTAAATAGGTTTTTCTGTTCTACCACATGGTTAGGCTGCAAATTTTCCAAACTTTTATGCTCTGCTTCCCTTTCAAATATAAGTTCCAATTTCAGACCATCTCTTTGTGAATGCTTAAAACTGTATGCTTTCAGAAAAAGCCAGGTCACATCTCGAATGCTTTGCTGCTTAGAAATGTCTTCTGCCAGACACATTAAATCATCTCTCTCAAGTTCAAAGTTCCAGAGATCTCTAGGGCAGGGGCAAAATGCCACCGTTCTCTTTGCTAAAGCATACCAAGAGTGACCTTTATGCCAGTTCCCAACAAGTTCCTCATCTCCATCTGAGACCACCTCAGCCTGGACTTCATTGTCCACATCACTATCAGCATTTTGGTCAAAACCATTCAGCAAGTCTCTAGGAAGTTCCAAACCTTCCCACATTTTCCTGTCTTCTTCTGAGTCCTCCAAACTGTACCAGCCTCTGCCCATTAACCTGCTCCAAAGTCATTTCCACATTTTCAGGTACCTTTATAGCAGTATCCCACTTCTCTCAGTACCAACTTTCTGTATTAGTTCATTCTCACACTGCTATAAAGAACTATCTGAGACTTGGTAATTAATAAAGAAAAGAAGTGTAATTGACTCACAGTTCTGTAGGCTTAACAGGAAGCCTAGCTAGGAGGCCTCAGGAAACTTAAAATTACGGTGGAAGGCAAAGGGGAAGCAAGGCAGGCCTTACATGGGAGCAGAAGAGAGAGAGAGAGAGGGGAAGAGCCACACTTTTAAACCATCACATCTCATGATAATTCAATCACAATCACAAAAACAGCATGGGGAAAACGCCTCTGTTATCCAATCACCTCCTATCAGGTCCCTCCCTCAACATGTGGAGATTACAATTTGGGATGATATTTGGGTGGGGATACAGAACCAGACCATATCATCTACAAATCATAACTTATGTGATGAGTCAAATTTTCCAACTATTTGATGTATATATGTGTAGATTCACAACATCGTTTATTTCAAGACAGCTTTTCATCTACTTTTTCTGTGTGTCTGTGTGTGTGTGTGTGTGTGTGTGTGTGTGTTTTGCTTTTGTTTTGATGCTCCAAATACATTTGTCTTTATTTTGTCCATCTTTATCTTTTTCTTATTTCTTTTTTCACTGAGGTTTTCATTATGTTTATTCATGATTGTGTACTTTAAAATTTAGTCTCTCTAAATTTGACTCTGTTTTCATTATTTCCTAAGAGCTGTCATTTTCATTTTGTATCTTCCTTTGTCTAGTTTTTTATATTTCTGAGCTTATTTATTTCTGATCATCTTAATTTGGCTTATTTTACAATATTAGAGTTATTCATTTGCTTGTTGCCACGTTTTCTTGGTTTTTTTTTTTTCTGTTAAAAGGTAGGTTCATTTTCCTATTTCTTTTCATAATACATTTGTCTAGTTTCAGACCATATCAGTTTTCTCCCTGAGATCTAATGGGATGAGCTTCCCTGGGCTATTTAAAGTGGTTCTTGTGTAGGTGAGGGAGTGAAGTGGGGGACTGTCTCAGCTTTCCAGCTTCGGGCTCCTTTCTTTCTTGTGGCCGTGAATACAATACGTGAAACATGGTCTTTGTGTACAGTTCTTCTTTATCTCTCAGAGCTAAATCTGGTTCAGGACAATTTCCCGGTCAACTCTAGGGCTCCATGGACCTCGTCTTTCAAGGCAGATTCCTCTGGTTTAGACGTGGTATTTTTTTATTTCAATGCTTCCTTGATTTGCTTTTTGCGAGCCCCTCTCACCAACCATTCTTTAAACATTCTTGCTTCTTAGTGCTCTGACCTGCTCAGCTGGGTTTTTACTCCTAGTAATTTTCCCTGAAGGTGAGGCTTTATTCTTAAGGTCATTTTTATTAGTATTTATTTGATATTTCTGAAATTCTCAAATTCCACAGCTTGTTCCTCACAAATTTGAGTATAGATTTCTGCATTCATTGGCAAATTAAGGAGTATTTGTCCCCATTTTGTTGGCCATTCTCAGACTCAGGAAAGGGTCCTCTCTTATTTGAGTGAATTTTTGTTGGTGCCTTTTTCCTGGGGTTTTTAAGGTATCATGAGTAGTGCAAGGTCAGAGATAGCCAGGTCCAGGCACGTGTGTGTCTTTCCACAAGTTCAGACTTTTTTTTTTGAGACGGAGTCTCGCTCTGTCGCCCAGGCTAGAGTACAGTGGTGCGATCTCGCCTCACGGTAAGCTCCGCCTCCCGGGTTCACGCCATTCTACTGCCTCAGCCTCCTGAGTAGCTGGGACTACAGGTGCCGCCGCCACCACGCCCAGCTAATTTTTGTATTTTTAGTAGAGAGGGGGTTTCACCATGTTAGCCAGGATGGTCTCAATCTCCTGACCTCGTGATCTGCCCGCCTTGGCCTCCCAAAGTGCTGGGATTACAGGCGTGAGCCACTGCACCCGGCCGGTGAGACTGTGATTTGCTATTTCAGTCATAAAAGCCGTTGCTACATGGAGTTCCCTGGGGGCGAGTCCCCGCAGCACTTCCGGTTCCGCACTCGTCAGTAAGAACCTCGGGCACAAGCTCAAGCCACTCCACAAGTCAGTCATCCATGATAATATGACTGTATATCTTGTATATGTTATATACAAGATATATAAATATATATTATATACGAGATATAACATATAAATATATATTAAATATTTTACAACAAACAAAGTAACATTAAACATCAAAAGAAATAGGAAAAATCGTTAATGAACAGAGAGAGTGACATGGACAAAACAAATGTCCCGCCTGGCCCCGGGGGCCCTTCAGAGTCAGGATCTTGCAAAGCAGGGTCCTGGATGTGGGCAGAGCCTTTGGTGGCGGATGCTGAGTGCTTATCACAAGTGATGGTGAGATGCTAAGATGGCCACTTTCAGCTGGTGAAACCCTGCTCTTTTCTGGCCACAGAATCCTCTGGTAAGGGCCGATAGTGGAAGAGTGTGCCTAGTTATGTCCTTGTCTGTTTGGATGCAGTCTGTATGGATTCTGCCAAAGATAAGCTCCTTGTTGGGAAAGTGCCTCATGAAATGGAAGATGGAGTCTTTTTCTAAGAAGGAGTTACTTCCGTCAGGGGTGCTCCATACATAAGGCAAGTCAGTAGGGAACTTGTCTCTTCCCCTCCCACCAGCCATCTGACCTCACACAGTCCTGACACTAGAGCTGAGTTAACCACAGCCACCAGAAGTTGGGGACAGGGACTATGTTGGCTAAATAACTCATTTGTGCTCTTTTGCGTTTTTTTGATGGTGTTGTATATAAAATTATATTTTTTTGTTCATGGTTTTTGGGAGGAATTTTGAAGAGATTAAAAACTTCACTATCATGATGATCTTACTGCTACTACAACTGACCCTGGCCACACACTTTTTAATTGCCCAAGTCCTCTTACATACTCAGATTTTTTTCCACCTCTGCCACCCCTGAGACAGCAACACCAACTCCTCCTCTTCCTCCTTCTCCTCAGCCTGCTCGATATGAAGACGATGAGGATGAAAACTTTTATGATGATCCACTTCCCCTTAATGGATAGTAAATATATTTTCTCTTCCTAATTTTGTCTTAATCACATTTTTTCTCTTTGACTTTACTGTAGGAATATAGTATCTAATGTGTATAACATAGAAAATATGTGTTAGTAGGCTGTTAATGTCATCAGTAAGCCTTCTGTTGGTAAGCATGTGGAGCATCAGTAGTTATGTCAGTAGGCTATTAGCAGTTAAGCTTTTGGGGGTCAGAAGTTATATGTAAACTTTTAACTGTGCTAATCATGTGTTTTTTCAAGGGTCAATTGTACTTAAACTCTTCTGTGAGGCATAGAAAGTAGTTATTTTAGTCAAATGTCTTTGCAGCTGCTGTTTGAATGCATGCTCTATGTTCTGAGCTACATATGATCTTTTCAAGTGAAAACGGCATTTCCTACTTTTTGGTGCTCTTCAAATCACAGGTCATTCAGGAACCTGGATATATTTAGTTGTCTTCAAGGACTCAAGCCATACTGTCTCTTCTAATTGATCATTTTGAAATCTTGTTGTCATTTGTGTTTAAACTCTCTAAGTCAGATCTCTATGTTTTTAAGCTTGGGATTTTCTATTAAATTTTTTTATCAAGACATAAGAAAACAGTTTAGATAGTAGACAATAACTTTTAGTTGGTTTTTGTATTCCTTGATATTTTTTAAATTTGTTTGGCATTACTCCAAGTTGTAGTTGCTTGGAGGTATATAAATTTATTGCTATTTAGTAAAAGCTACAGAGTTAAATTAGCAAAATCCTCTGAGTTCGTTAGGATACTCAATGTTGTACTGCTAAGGTAAAACATACATCACATTTCACTGAAATAAGACAGAATACAATATGGGAATTGAATTCTGCATGGCTAAAAGGCCTCCGTAGAATTCTGCTAGGGGAAGAATTTTTTTCTAACCAATATCTGTTTAAAATGCATTTAAATTTTAATTTTTTTATGGTTTCATTAGGACATTTGAGCTATATTTTACCTAAAATATGTAGATATTAAATTGGCCTTTTTGCTTTTGACCTTTGAAGCTGAGTGAGTGCTAATTCTTGTTACTAAAGTTTTAGTTTATAATATTATTAGTCAATTAACTAACATAGTCTCAGGTCATCCCATTCCTATGGTCATGTGTTATAGGTGATCTCTTAGTCTTATTGCTATCTCTTTATATGTTGTATAATATGCTGCCTTTTAGGTCAGTTCAAAGCTCTCTTCCCTTCCAGCATTTGTTTGCCTTGTTTCCAGAGTCTCCTAAGAAAAGCTGCTTTGATTTGATTGGGTCTAGTCTTCAGAGGAAACTGAAACATATTTTCAATTACATGAACATTATAAATGTATTTGGCTTATTAAATGTAATTGGCTTAATAGCTCCTTCTTCTCCTTTCTATTCTACCTTTTTTTTCCTTTTTCTCTCCTTTAGAATAGACAATCTAGAGCCACACTGTCCAGTAAGGGAGGCAATAGCACCCTTTGGTGTGAGCGCTTGAAACCTGAGGAGCCTGAGTTAGGATGGGCTGTAGCTGTAAAATACACACCGGATTCCAGAGGCAGCAAAGAATATTGAACTGCTCACTGCAGATTGTTGTATGCATTGGCAGTTGAAAGGTCATTGTGAGTAAATGTTGGGTTAAATAAAACATATTATTTCATTAATTTCACATATTCTTATTTTTTAATGGAGCTACTAAAAATTTAAATTGCATTTGAGATCTCACGATATATTTTTTGGACAGTGCCGATCTTGAGGGAAAAGATATAGCTGCTAAGACTTGAACCTAACAAATATGCCCTCATTGTTCTAGTTCCCTCAGCATCATGGTTCATTGTGAGATAATAAAGAATTATACACCAAGTGAGTTATTCCAAGGTACCTCCTTTCCACGTGGATATTGAAAACCTGTGTCATGATTTGACAATTTGTAGAAGATTGTGAGATCTAGAATCCTAGCCAAATATGATCTCATCATGTTATCATAAATCCACAAAAAGTTTGTGACAATTCTTACAAGTTTTCTACTTAATGCACGGAAGTTGAAATAAATAGAACTAATAATTTCTGGGAAACCAAACACATTCAGTGCATTATTTAAACTTTTATTCAGTGTCAATAGCTCTGACACTATTAAAGACTCTATTAAAAGTACAATATGTCTTCTGTAATCATGTAAGTCTCAATGGTCTCTCACAATTTCAATCATAGAGCTTTTCCAATCTAATAATGGTGGCACATAAAAATAATTCTCTGTAATTATGGATTTATGCCTTATCAGTAAAAATAAGCAGCTAATTACCCAATACTGATATCAGCCCTAGCTTCCTACAAGACTGCGAATTAGATTACTTGCTAGGAAATAAACCAGAAACTAGAAGGACACGGTTATCTTTCCCTGTATTTATAGAAATATCAGTCATAGAGACCAAACGAAGGTTGTCTTCCTTTTCGTCCTTTCTTAGAAGTGCATGGAGGCAGAAGGTGTCTCCTTTTCTTACATTCCCATCTAGAATCTTGGCATAAATTCTGTTTCTAGTGTTGTTTGCTAACGTTCCCAGCTTCACAATTTTCCTAGAACTCTACTGAGAAGATGTATTATAAGTTCAATTAGTGCTTTGACATCTTTGAGCCTCACAGGTTCCCAAAAGCCTAACAGTTTCCCTGCTGTTGCCTGCTATAGCCCCCAGCACCCAGCAGGAAAGCTGCCTCAACAGGCTGCCACCTTCAGCTTGGCCAGCTGCACCCTACCCAGCCCTCAACCTAATGGGCTGCAGCTCCCTGTGAATCTGAGGCATTTTTCAAACAAATGTCCTCTTGGGGGAACACAAGCATCTCATCCTTCTATTACTGTAAATCCTGCCTCCCCAGTCAGTCCCTGCTAGTTCACTCTCTTCCTGAGTGAAACCTCCACGTGGCCCTGTGTGGCGTGTGGCGCCCCCTCACGGGGTTGTGAGTCTTTGTGCCTCATCACTGCAGTCCATCTCCTCTGTCCAACATGGGCATCATGTGTTTGGCCGTCTTCAGAACCTAGAATGGGACTCTCTCCCTCACCAAGGGGTAAAGAGGAGACGAGCAAAACAACCGCCGGCACTAACAGAGGGGCCTGGCCATGGTGGAGGACACTTAACAGCTTTAATTGACTGTTCCTTTGCTCACTAACTGGTTCCCGCTTTGGGGAGACCCCTGAGACTGAGCTGCCCATTGCTGGCTGGCTCCCACGGCAGTTCTTGTCTCTCTTGGAGGCTGCCATCTCTTTCCTTTCTGAAATGCTCCTCTTGCCTCCTTCGAAATGAGAACTATTATTAACTGGCTATCTCCTGGCATGAGGTTCTGTTAGCTGGGACCTATGTCTGCCAGGTTGTCGCTGAGACCCTTGCCACCAAGTCTGAGATGGGGGGATTTAAAAAGCCCCCTGAAGGGATGATGGGAGGCTGCTCCAGTAGAGGACGGGGGTGGTGACGACATAGTGTCTGAACTGGTGGGCACTTGCGAGTGGTCAGGCTGGAGCCCTGGCGGATACTGACTTCCGTGTATTACACTCAGCCTGGTGACTGGAGACGGATTTCTTGGGCGATCACCGGGTCATCTTTCCAGTAAGAACTTAGGAAAGGAGGAGTCCCAGGCTGTCAACATGGGAAGTATTAAGACTGACACCCCAGCTGCCTGGCAGGAGTCAGTGCTTCTCAGGTGAGGGTAGTGGCCTTTCCCTTCCCCTGGGCCGCTGCTTCCCTTGCTGCTGTCATGTGCTCTCCTCAACCCCAGGGATGTCAAATTCCACATGCATGGTGGCCGACGGCTCCAGCACTGATGAGGAAAAGTAGGGAGCCTTTGGAACTCTCCTGGCCTCCTCATGCAGAAGTCCCAGCCCATGTGCCTGTGCTTTGCTTGTGCTGCTGCTTACCAGCTGCCTAAGGACTCAACTGCTGATCATGGGGCTTGAATGCCTCCGCCTGGGACACAGACAAAATGACTGTGGGATAGGGACTCCATCCCAGAAAAGCTGACTGGCATTCCCCAGAGGCTGCGGAAGATCACCACCCCCCCCTCCTTTCCCCATAACCATTCAGAAGGTCCACACTATGAATAATCTCATGGAAATGAAACCCCAAAACCACAACTATATGGCTAGAAACCCTAAAAGGAAAAAAAAGGTAGGGGAGGCCCTCCTGGAAGAACAAGATGGGGCCGTAGCAGAGGACAGTTTCAGTCCACTGACCTCTGAACTGTGGGCTGATTGCGCCGCATCACTCTGCAACTTATGGTTCCACTTCAACAAAAACCTGATCCCAGGGTTATAGGGAAAGATACCTGCGGTACCCCTGAGGCACAGAGAAGGGAGAAATCCAAACCTGACTTGAGTCCAGGGTTCTTAAACCACACAACTACTCTGAAGGAAGACCTTAACTCTGATGATACCAATTTTGGGTTGTTTGAAAGAAAAAAATGTACAAACATGAGTGGGTAAAAAGAACAACCTTCCCTAAGTATATCCAGTTACAAAAATAATGGAGGAAAGGGAAGAAAGAAAGAAGGAAGGAAGGAAGGAAGGAAGGAAGGAAGGAAAGAGAGAACTACAAAACAGGAAAAAGGGATGAAAGAAAGAATAAACCCAGACATGGACAAAATCAAAATTCATACTAAAACAGAGGTCTTATAATCTGACCTAATTGGAAATTCACTACTTACTAAAATAATGTATACCACCACAAGATAAAAAGGTACTGATTGGTGTTTGCACCTCTACAGCATATATTCTGAACTAACCTTAACATCTGCTGAAATGTGCCAATTAGCATCCCTTCACAGACTATCAGTAGCAGGGATCAGACTTTGTTATACCCGGGATCCACTAAATTTAAACATTGCACTCTCTATAATCCTTGCAGAGTAACTGCATTTAGAATAGAGGACTCATAGTTATGCCTCACCTTTATTACCTTGCCTAAATTTCCCTTAGTCATAGAAACCTCTGTCCATAGTGGACCTGGATGCTCTGGCCTAATGAGCAATAAATTGAAATTAAACCATTTGCACTTACATATTGACCTCATAAAATGTGATCTTGTGGAACTCCTCTTCTGTTTATTGTTTTAAAACTTTATTTATTTTTAAATTTTTTCTTTTTAGGAATGGTGTCTTGCTCCACCGCCCAGGTCTAAGTTAAGTGGCATAATCATAGCTCACTGATGCCTCAAACTCCTGAGCTCAAGCAGTCCTTCCATCTTAACCTCCCAAGTAGCTAAGATTGCAGCCATGTGCCACCACACTTAGCTAATTTATTAAAAAAATTACAGAGATGGGGTCTTGTTATGTTTTCCAGGCTGGTCTCTAATTCCTAGCCTCAAGCAATCCTCCCACCTCAGCCTCCCAAAGTGCTGGGATTACAGGCATGAGCCACTGTGCTCGCCCTCCCCTTCCTGTTAAATTAGCAAATATTGCCCAACATAAATTACAACATGACTTCGAAGGATCCAAACTTATCCTAAAAGACCTAATTACTTAGTGAAGGGGTGATTATCCTCACTGCTTCAACATTTAGCAGTGCAGTTTGGCCTGTTCTTAAACCTGGAAATAATAAATAGTGTTTCACAGTGAATTGCAGCAACCTTATTGCTGTCCTCCTGCCCATTAAGGCCCCATACCCAATCCCTGACAGTATTGAAATTACTGACACCATCTATGATGGTTAATTTTATTTGTCAACTTGAGTTGCCCAGGTATTTGGTTAAACATGATTCCGGATGTGTCTGTGAGGGTGTTTCTTGATGAGATTAACATTTGAAAAGGTAGATTAAATAAAGCAGTCACCCTCCCTAATGTGAGTGGGATGCATCCGATACACTGAAAACCCAAATAGAACACAAAGGTGGAGGAAGAGAGAATTCACTCCGTCTGATGATCTTTGAGCTGAGACATAGATCTTGTCATGCCTCTGAAGTCTGACTTGGACTGTAATGGAAGCCATCATCTCTCCTGGTTCTCAGGACTTTAGACTTTGACTGGAACTCCACTGTTGGAAGTCCTGGGTCTCTAGCTTGCTGACTGCAGATCCTGGAACTTCTCAGCCTTCATAGCCTCTGTATTAGTCATGGTTCTCCAGAGGGACAGAACTAATAGGATAGATGTATATATGAAGGGGAGTTTATTAGGAGTATTGACTCACGATCACAAGTTGAAGTCCCACAATAGGCCATCTGCAACCTGAGGAGCCCAGAAGCCAGTCCAAATCCTCAGAACCTCAAAAGTAGGGAAGCTGATAATTCAGTCTTCAGTCTGTGGCCAAAGGCTTGAGAGCCCCTGGCAAATCACTGGTGCAGGTCCAAGAGTCCAAAAGCTGAAGAACTTGGAGTCTTATGTTCGGGGGCAGGAGGCATCCAGCATGGGAGAAAGATGGAGGCCAGAAGACTCAGCAAGTCTGCTGTTTCCATGCCTGCTTTTTATGCTGGCAGCTGATTAGATGGTGCCCACCCAGATTGAGGGTGAGTCTGCCTCTCCCAGTCCACTAACTCAAATATTAATCTCCTTTAGCAACACCCTCACAGACACACGCAAGAACAATACTTTGCATCCTTCAACCCAATCAAGTTGACACTCAATATTCACCATCACAACCACATGAGCCAATTCCTTACAATAAACATATATATTCATGCAACTGGTAAATATTTTCTTGTTACAGATTTGGCTACCATGTTCTTTTTGGGCCTATTTTAACAGAGTCTCAGTCACAGCCTGCCTTCGTCTCTGAAGGGACCGGGCGACCCACGGAGTGTCTCGGCAGCCTCGTCACTGCACACAATCTTCACAGACAAGATCTCACTGCAGCCACCTTTCTACAGGAGCACAGGTGTGACATTATACTGATGACATCATTCTCAGAGAAAATTCATTTTACACACTAAGGACACACAGATACAAGGAGGCTTACACAAAGGGAATGGACCTTTCCCCAACACAGTAGTGCAAGGCCCTGCCACTTTGGCTAAATTCCTGAAAATTCTTTGGTAAACTGAGGGCTGATGTATCCCTGACACTTTCAAGAAGTGGTTATTGACCCTTTCAGTATCCACAATGTTAATACAAGTCCAATATTCTTTATTTATGTATGTATTTTTTGAGACACAGTCTTGCTCTGTCACCCAGGCAGGAATACAGTGTCTCAATCTCAGCTTACTGCATCCTTGACTTCCTGAGCTCAAGCAATCCTCCCACCTCAGCTTCCCACATAGCTGGGACTACAGGTGTGTGCTACCATACCCAGCTAATTTTATTTATTGTAGAGACGAGGTCTGGCTACATTGCCCAAGCTGGTATCAAACTCCTTGGCTCAACCAATCCTCCTGCCTCAGCTTCCCAAAGTGCTAGGATTACAGATGTGAGCCACTGTGCCCAGCCCTTTAATTATTTATTTGGGGTACAGGTGACAACATATTCCTCATTTACAAATTTTACTTAATCTCACTGATGCTGTCGCTTGAAAGCTGACCCACCTTGAATGAAGCCTCCTCCAACAAGTCTGGAATCTGTCCAAATTTAAATTAACAGGTGCTCCTATGAATTCCATCAGAGATCACACTGTAGTTGCTTGAGCAACCTCTTCCTGTGCCTCCTGAAGTATCTGGGTTGCATATGGTGGCCATAAGCTGTCCATGGGCTTCTGATGTGAAAAACAAACCTGCCCCCCTTTTGACCCTGTGCTGTACAGCATCAGGGCAGTGATTGCTGACCACATAGTGGACCCTCTGGAAACAGAGGGCTCCGCGTCCATGTCCATGAGCCTTCATGCCCATCTGGCCATCAGGCCTTGGGAAGCAGCACCCCATAGCCTTGACACAGTTACAGAGATGTCCTTGCCTTAGAATGGAGTCAAATATGTACCCCCTGCAAGTCTCATCTGCTGGAAGCACTGGCCTTGTTCATCCTCAGGCTGTGGTGCTGGCACTGCCCTCCTTCATCCTCAGGCTGTGGTGCTGGTACTGGCCTCCTTCATCCTCAGGCTGTGGTGCTGGTACTGGCCTCCTTCATCCTCAGGCTGTGGTGCTGGTACTGGTCTCCTTCATCCTCAGGCTGTGGTGCTGGTACTGGCCTCCTTCATCCTCAGGCTGTGGTGCTAGAAGTCATCCCTCTCCCAGGCCCCTTGGGATCGACTGAGTGACGAGCAGTGAAGTTTGTCCTCCGTCTGAATGGATGCCATCATTGGACGTGATGGAGCTCAGTGGAATGCTGCTGCCTTCCCTCCCTTAGCTAGGCTGTCCCTGATAAAGGATGACATCCAAGCCTCAGCACGACCGGCCAAACTTGAGATGGTCGTCTCAGCACTGATGCTGGGCCAACAATTAGCCCCATTTGTACATTTTTACAAACCTTTTGGCAATTTCCAAGAATTGTCCACCTCCCCTCCCCATTGAACTAAAGAAACTTCTTGTCTCATGGATACTCAGAATACCAATCAAGGCAACAGATGCTTTTATTTTAACTAAGTACACAGTACGGATCTCACAGGGACACTCCTTATCCCCTGCAGAGTTCCAGACACTACTGATGGTGACCAAGGCAACATTTCATCAGAAAACACAGTGCTGGGCTTGTGAAGAAGGTGTCCAGTAGAGCTTCCACTGCCCCTATAGGCTGCAGGCAGCTGCTTTAGTTGAGAGACTGAGCTCCTCAAAGAATTCCTATTTAAGTTACAAAGCAGCGAGTGGATGCCCTGCTGGGTTCCACTGTTGCCACAGCCTTTGATTACTCTAAGTTCATGCTCCTTAGGAAAGTGCACTTTTTACACCAATGCTACACAGTTCTCTCAGTTGCCTTTACTGGTCATCAAGGAGTTCACATTTTTGACAACCATTCAGTCCTGGACTGTCCAAGGGGTGGAGGTAGCTCTGTACAGGAAGCTGCCTGCTGCCTGTGGATCACTAATATCAGACTTGCCCAAAAACTCACTGAAACCACTCATGAAAACCAATGCATGGGGAATGTGTGACGTTACCCAGATATTTACGAACACGCTTGTGCTGCCAGAGACCCCAGATCTCTAAACCAATGCATGGGGAATGCATGACGTCACCCAGATATTTACGAACACGCTTGTGCTGCCAGAACCAATACATGGAGAATGCATGACATCACCCAAATATTTACGAACACGCTTGTACTGTCAGAGGCCTCCTATCTTGCCTTCTGCTAAACAAATGGGGGCAGTAGCTTTGCATCGGCTTCCGCATTTCATTACTCGTAACTGTGGTCTTCCTAATTTCTCATGCCCAAGCACTTATTACAGTGTCTCTACAGCCTTCTCTCAGCCTCTTAAAATATTAGTCATCATTAAAATAAATACCCAATGTTAAAGCATCAGATGTCAATTTGTATTGTGACACCTAAAATTTCATGCTGCACCCCACCAGTTCCTCAGCCTAATGGCTTTCACCCCCTGCCCGACTGCAAAACTCTTCAAATAAGTCAAGCACTTTCCCCCAAGGGACTAGGGGCCACCCACCCTCTGATGACTCCCAAGCCTGCCTCCCACACCCTCTGCTTGTTCTTTCTGTTCCTGAGTGCAACCCCCACATAGATCTGGAGAGATGCAGCAGCATCCTCCCCTGGGCTGAGTATGAGTAACTAATCAATTACTGTCAGTTTCATCGTCTCAGTGTTTGTTGTGTCTGTAGCCACCCCCAGAACTCTAGGGCAAGACCAGCTTCTTCACCAACTAGGAATTCACAGGAAGGAACCCAACTAGGAATTGCCTTTTTTAAAAAAATCCCTTCCCACCCTCTTAATTACGTAATGCATGCATTTTTATAGCTCTTTTGCTCATTCCATTATCTGAGGTCAGCCACTGATATTTAACCCATCCTTAGCCTTGGAGGAGGGCAGAGGAACACTGGTCATATTGATTTCCCTAGCAGCAACGACATGGTTTCCTCCTGTGCCACTCAAGTTCTCTTCTTCTTCAACTTGATGGTCAGTAGGTTGTGTTTCACTTATCTTTGCAGATTGTTAGGAAGATGAGAATCAGTCTTCATTTTTGATGGTGCCATAGAGAAGACTCTATGGTAATGTTTATTTGCACAAACAACTTTCTCTTCTTTTCCCCCAGAAATTACAAACTCTTATGTGAGAAACAGCTTTCTGGATTCTGCAAACATAGTTTATCCTCCCTCTTTTGAAGGCAAATTTCATATATTCCCACAACAATAATACACTCACATATAATTGTGGCATGTCATATTTACTGGCCACTATAATGAGAAAATTCTCCAATTTTAAATCCAGGTTAATTGTGAAACTTTGGGTAGTCACAGAAAAAAATCTCTGTGTACAAATTTATAGACCTCTTATTAGGATTAAGTGAGGTATGAATAACTAATATTTATATTAGTTAGCGTATGGCAGAAGCTTCTTGTGTATTATTTTATTTCATACTTAAAACAATATTCTATGCAAAATGCTATAATTTCCCCTTGCCTCCAATTTACACATGATAAAACTGAGCCTAGTAAAATTAAGTATCATGCCCCAAAGTTCTCTGCTTAGTAAGAAGTAGAGGCAAGCCCAAACCTAAGTCATCTGATTTCAGAGCCCATACAGTTAAATGCTCTAAATGCAGCTTCCCGTGATGATGGTGACTATGAGAGCCTGTCACATATGATGTAGGACAGTGCTTCCCTGTAACATGCACAAGATTCCCACGATGATGGTGACTCTGAGACCCTGTCGCATACGATGTAGGACAGTGCTTCCCTGCAACATGCACAAGATTCCCGTGATGATGGTGATTATGAGAGCCTGTCACCTACGATGTAGGACAGTCCTTCCCTGTAACATGCACAAGATTCCTGTGATGATGGTGACTATGAGAGCCTGTCACATATGATGTAGGACAGTGCTTCCCTGTAACATGCACAAGATTCCCTTGATGATGGTGACTATGAGAGTCTGTCACATACGATGTAGGACGGTGCTTCCCTGTAACATGTGCAAGATTCCCGTGATGACGGTGACTATGAGAGCCTGTCAGATACGATGTAGGACTGTGCTTCCCTGTAACATGCACAAGATTCCCGTGATGATGGTGACTCTGAGACCCTGTCACCTACGATGTAGGACAGTGCTTCCCTGTAACATGTGCAAGATCCCATGATGATGGTGATTATGAGAGCCTGTCACCTACGATGTAGGACAGTCCTTCCCTGTAACATGCACAAGATTCCTGTGATGATGGTGACTATGAGAGCCTGTCACATATGATGTAGGACAGTGCTTCCCTGTAACGTGCAAGATTCCCTTGATGATGGTGACTATGAGAGTCTGTCACATACGATGTAGGACAGTGGTTCCCTGTAACATGCACAAGATTCCCGTGATGACGGTGACTATGAGAGCCTGTCAGATACGATGTAGGACAGTGCTTCCCTGTAACATGCACAATATTCCCGTGATGATAGTGACTATGAGACCCTGTCACCTACGATGTAGAACAGTGCTTCCCTGTAACATGCACAAGATCACATGATGATGGTGATTATGAGAGCCTGTCACATACGATGTAGGACAGTGCTTCCCTGTAACATGTGCAAGATTCCCGTGATGATGGTGACTATGAGAGCCTGTCACATATGATGTAGGACAGTGCTTCCCTGTAACATGTGCAAGATTCCCATGATGATGGTGACTATGAGAGCCTGTCACATAGGATGTAGGACAGTGCTTCCCTGTAACATGCACAAGATTCACCCAGGGATCTCTTTAAAATGCAAAACCATAGACCACACTTTGACTGGCTTGGATAAGGGGTCAGAGCATCGAAATGAGTGTGTAGGTGACTGTGCTAAAATTCTCCTGCTCATGTGGGCACTGGCTCATGATATTAACAAAGCTTAGGACCTCTAGTCCTTTCTGGAAAGAAAATACACATACATAGCATGTGACTGTGCATATGGAATATCTGTTGTGTTCTGGACATTGTGCTGGACAACAGAGATAAGAAGTCAAATATCCCTTGTCTCTATCTGAAAGGAGCTTCCTACATAGTGGCTTCTAACTGCAGTGCATATTTTCTCTTCTGTCCCGGGTGGGTGAGCTCTACCTCAGTGTTGGTAACTGAACACTGCCCAATGGGTTTGACAGGGGAGACCATAGCTAGCTGCGCTCCCACATAGCTATGACCATACTATATCTCGTGAAGCCATTTCCCCCTTGTCAGAAGGCTCCCTCCAGTATCATACACGCTCCCCATGGTTATACCTTCTTCCTCCTTCCACCCAAGTGCTCCTAAGTTTTGCTCAGATAAAAACATAAGCCGCATTCTTGACATTAATTGTATATTAATAATGAACTTGTCTTACTTTTCACATATTTAAAATTTTCTCCATTTATAGAATATATAGATTAAAATAGCGAATTTTAACCATGCATATCTATTACAATCTTCATGGTATACTTTGCTGTTTTTAAATTTCTTATGCTCTTATAAAATGCGTGTTCTGGACTCACATTGGCTTCTACTTCTTCCCCCTGGCTTCTATTAGTTTAGGCTATGAGCAGAGATGGATGAGGTGGCCTACAGTAGGATGTAGTGAAGTAGGAAGTAGGATGGTAAATCTGTAAATATCAGAATGAATCCAAATTTATAGATTCAAAACCAGATTATAAAACAGCTCAAAATGAACTAAAAGCAAGGCTGTGCACTTTGGGAGATCAAGATGGGTAGATCGCTTGAGCTTAAGAGTTTGAGACCAGCCTGGGCAACATGGAAAAAACCCGTCTCTACAAAGCAGTTTTTAAAAATTATCCAATCATGATGGCCTGTGCCTGTGGTCCCAGCTCCTCAGGAGGCTGAGGTGGGAGAATCACTTGATCCTAGAAGTTTGAAGCTGCCAAGATCACACCACACTACATTCCAGCATAGGGACAGGGTGAAGCCCTGTCTCAAAAACAAAACAGCTCTAAAGAAAGACAGCTAAAAAAATAGTTCAAGTTCTTCCTATCTGGTTTTACTTTCCCCCCAAGTAGCTCCATAATGCTGAGAGCAAAGTCAATTGTTCTAGCAGGTTCTGACAAAAACTATCATATCATGGGGTTCAATGAAAATATCAAATCATAAATATAATGATCAAATCTGAAAGTGAATCCGGTTTCAGAGACCTCCAGAAGCCTCTGTGTAGGAAGCTCCTTTAAGATAGAGACAAGGGATTATTTGACCTTTTATCTCTAGTGTCTAGTACAAAGTCCAGAACACAGCAGATATTCCATATCCATAGTCACATCCTATGCATGTGTATTTCCTTTCCAGCAAGGACTGGAGGTCCTAAGCTTTGTTAATATTGTCAGCCAGTGCCCAGATGAGCAGAAGAATCTTAGCACAGTCACCTACACACTCATTTCAATCCTCTAACCCCTTATCCAAGCTAGTCAAAGTGTGGTCTATGGTTTTGTATTTTAAGGAGATCCGTAGGTGAATCTTGTGGCTGTCAAAGCAGGAGAAGCACTGCCCTGCAAATATAGAGCAGGTGAACTAAATTAATTATTAATTCATAGAGGTGGGCTGGCTATTTATCTTGTTAATGGGAATTTTCAAATTGACACACACAATCACCCCCATAAGGATTTTGGATTAAAAAACAAAGGTTTAGATATTAGATGTGTTTTACAATTGCCACACCACTCTTTTTGCTACAGTATCGAGGAGCACATTTCCCAGAGTTTTAGATGGAAATTTCTATCTCATGAGCCTTCTGTTAGTATTTTCAAAATTGGATACTCAATAAATAGTGGCCAAATTGAATCTCTTACAGGTATCTCACTCAAACTGCAGTCATACTTTCCAATAGGCCCCATAAAAATCATTGTTCTGGAGAAGCCTAATATAATTATCCACCTCTTTAAACACTTAGGTAAGTATAATAATGCAAGCTTGCATGTGTGTGTGTGTGTGTGTGTGTGTGTATTGTGTACTTTGTGGCCTCTTGCCCAGTTTCTGCTGCACTCGATGGTGGTTCAAGTTTAATGAAAGTAACATCCAGCCATGTGAGAAATCGTGACTTTTGTGTGCCCAGCAGGTAAAGAAGATAGATGTTATTGTAGAGAAGATTTGCATTATGGATAAATGCATACTGTTTGACTGTTGATTTCATGCTTTTCATAGATATTATAACCAGATATTATATTCCAAGGGTTATATTTCAAAATCATAAAAAATAGAGAATACATTTTATATTTCTATCTGGAAATAAAAACGGTAAGTAGCCTACCTTTGGGGAAATGTGATAAAAATATTAATGACCATCACAACTCATTAAAAGCATAAAATTTGCAGTGCTTTAAACTACATGTTCTTCATATGAATCTGTGTAGGTATATACACACATTTGATAAATGCTAAAGTCTAAGTGCATTGGTAAATCATTCAGACTTCTGTAGGTTGAAGGGATTACTTTTATCTGCCTTTATAGTGAGAATTAGATTTCTGTTCTTTATAAAGCAGGTAATATAGATTTTGCATGGAGTAAAAGCATTCAATTGTTATTAATGATGGCAGCTGCGCTGCAGAGGAGAAAGCCTGTCAGAGTAACGTGTTCAGTTTTACATCATAATCAGAGGTATGTCAATCTCTGTTGAAGGCAGAATTAAAAACCCCTTCAACATTTTTAAAATAATAGATGAAAAACATCTCAAAGTCTCCTTTAAAATTTGAATTGACGATTCCACATAACAGGAAAGGGACCAAGAACATCTTAAAGAAATACTTCACGATGGAAGTGATGTTTTAAGTGCAATTTCATCAAGGAGAAGTTTTTCCAAAAAGTCTTGACCTCAGTAAGACTCTCATTAGTTTACTCTGGTAAATAGTTTCTAGTAAAATAAGAAAGACTCGTTTTTTTAAAACGACAAACAATTTACAGGGTTTAATCTAATGTTGTGATTTCCACAGTGGTACTTGTGCCCTTGTGGTTACACATGTGTATTTATCTGCATTTTCTTGGCTTATTCAAACGCCAGTAAAATATTTTACTATCCAGGCTCTGTAAAAACCGAATTAATTTCCAAAAAGTGAGGATTGTATGTATGCTGTGGAGTATGTGGGGGTGTAGGCGTGTGACTTGTGTGCAGGGTGTGTGTGTGGTGTGTGTGTTTGGTGTGCTGTATGTACTGTGTGTTGTGTGTGGTGTGTGTGCATTGTGTTGTGGGTGTGTAGTTTGTGTGTATTGTGTGTGGTGTCTCTGTGTGTAGTGTATGTGTATGTGTGTATGTGTGTGGTATGTGTGATGTGTGTGTGGTGTGTGATGCTGTGTGTGTGTTATGTTCATGTGTGTGTCGTGTGGTGTGGTGTGTGCTGTTTGTGTGGTGTGTGTGTGGGGTGTGTGTGTGTGTGCACATGGTGTGGTGTGTGTGCAGTGTGTGTATGAGTGACTGCTTCTCTTAGCGTGTGGACATCAGTCTTCCAGATCAGTTTCTCCATGTGTCTGGGGACAAGAAACAAGTTTCCGCAATAATTGCTACACAATTTTTTGAGAGAGGGACCAAATCTCTGTCGTGAGTGGGTATCTGCATCATTGCAGGAGGGAATGTGATGTCCCAGCTTGGCTCACACCCTCTGTGGGTTTAGGCAGGGTTCCTGCTGGATCCCTCAACTGTGGCCAGAGAGGGAGGGCTCTGTTTCACCACAGGGCACCGGAAGAGGACAGGTGTGTGGGAAGACCAGGTAATCATAATGGTAGTACTAATAGCAATAATTATAATGTTTTATGCATTGTATATGTCATAAGGATTTTAACTTTTATGTAACGTAATTGTTGTAAAAATGTCCCCAGTTGTTTGTCTTGTGCTTTTTACATAGTGTTGAAATGTGTAAGAACTTCACATTTTAGGCAGTTTTGTTTATTACTCCAATAATACCACCAATGGGATAATTATTCTTGATTTGTAGATTTGAAATGTTACTCTGTTACCACACAAAATTACACAAAATTTCTGTGTTTTTAATTCTCTTTCATTTACGTGTTTATTTTTGTGCCATATCAAATGTTTAATTTTGAAAAGTTATAATGATCTTAAATATCTTGCAGATTTATTTGGTAATATTGGCTCTCAGTGTGTGTTTGTTCATCAGATGAATTTAAAATCACGTTTTCTTGTTCCAAAATATTCTTCATGGAATTTGTATTGGAATGTGAGCATATTTTAAAATAATTTACAGCCAATGAAAGAGTTCATATTATTGAGTCCTCTCATCCAGAAGGTGACAAGCAAATTCCTCAAACCTCCTTTAATGCCGTTTAGTCAAAATTAATTTGTTAAATCAATATAAGTTAGCATAAATGAATATAACTAATAATTACATAAATTAATGTGTTTGGCTCCGCTTTTCTGTCTTCTGCCTTCTATCACTGATGTTTTATTCCTATGTTTGTTGTTTTCTACATTTTGTTTTATTATGTCTTTGTCTCTGTCTTGTGATTTGGAAAGTATATGACATATTGTAATTTTTAATTTTTTAATATTTTGTTTTTTAGTTTTAATAAATAAATTTTATTTTTTAGAGAAGTGCAGGTTCACAGCTAAATGGAGCAGAGGGTACAGGCTTCCCATATGTCCCTCTCCCCACACACAGCCTCCCCACTACAGCTTCCTGCCTCACAGGAGCACACCTGTGACAACCAGGAACCTGCCTTGACCCTTCAGTATCACTCAAAGCTTACAGTGCACATTCAGGTTTACTCTTCATGTTGCACGTTCTGAGTCTTGACAAAAGTTTAATGGCAATGGGATATTATTCACTGCTAACGGGAGATGATCTATCAAGCCACAAAAAAATACATGGAGGAAACTTAAATACATATTGCTAAGAGAAGAAGCCAATCCAAAAAGGCTACATACTGTTCGATTCCAATTATATGACGTTCTGGAAACGGTGAAACTATGGGAACAGTAGAAAAATCAGTG
Source organism: Homo sapiens (assembly GCF_000001405.40). Classification (NCBI taxonomy): domain Eukaryota; kingdom Metazoa; phylum Chordata; class Mammalia; order Primates; family Hominidae; genus Homo; species Homo sapiens. Next base: position 189,271,553 of record NC_000004.12, on the reverse strand, counting down.
GTTGCCATGAACCAAGGGGAAGGAAGAGATGGATACACAGAACACAGATTATTTTTAGGGCAGTGAAACTATTCTCCATTATGCTATAATGGTAGATATATATATTTGTGAAAATCTATTTTAACTTTTAATCTTTTAAATTATATTTTTGTTTTAAAAAACTACAGACAACCTGGATGTGGTGGCTCATGCTTGTAATCTCAGCACTTTGGGAGGCCAAGGTGGGAGGATTGCTTGAGCCCTGGAGTTCAAGACCAGCCTGAGCAACAGTGCAATCCTATCTCTACAAATAAATTAAAAATTAGCGAGGTGTAGTGTTGCATGCCTGTAGTCCCAGCTACTCAGGAGGCTGTGGTGGGAGGATCACTTGGCCCCAGGAGTTCGAGACTGCAGTGAGCTATGATCATGCCACTGTACTCTAGCCTTGGTGACAGAGTGAGACCTCATCTCAAAACATAAAACAACAAACCTACAAGCACACCTCAGAGGTATTGTGGATTTGGTTCCAGACCACTGCAATAAGACAAATGTTGCAACAAAGTTAGTCATACAAATTTTTTTGGTTTCCCAGTGCATATAAAAGTTATGTTTATACTGTAGTCTAATGAGTATGTTAATAGCCTTATGCTTAAAAACAGTACGTGCATACCTTAATTAAAAACACTTTATTGCTAAAAAAAATACCAACGAATGTTGAGCCTTGAACAGGTCATAATCTTTTCCTTGGTGCGGATCTTGCCTCTATATTGATGGCTGCTGACTGCTCAGGGTGGGGGCTGCTGACTGCTCAGGGTGGGGGCTGCTGAAGGTTGGGTGCCTGTGGCAATTTCTTAAAAATAAGAGAATGGGGTTTGTTGCATTGATACACTGTTTCTTTCACAAAAGATTTCCCTGTAGCATATGATGCTATTTGATAGCATTTTATCCACAGAAGAACTTCCTTCAAAATTGGAGTAAACCCTCTCTAACCCTGCTGCTGCTTTATCAACTAGGTTTATGGAATTTTCTAAATCCTTTGTTGTCATTTCAACAATGTTCATAGCATCTCCACCTGGATTAGATTCCATCTCAAGAAAATATTTTCTTTGTTCATCCATAAGAAGCAACTCCCCATTTGTTCAAGTTGCATCATGAGTTTACAGCAATTTCATCTCATCTTAAGGCTCTAATTCTAATTCTAGTTGTCTTGCGATTTCTACCACATCTGCAGGGACTTCCTCCACTGACATCCTGAGCCCTCAAAGTCATCCATGAGGGCTGGAATCAACTTCTTCCAAACTCCTGTTAATGTTGATATTTCAACCTCCCCGCATGAATCACAAATGTCCTAATGGTGAATCCTTTCCAAAAGGTTTTCAATTCACTTTTTTCAGATCCATCAAAGAAATCACTATCTACGACAGCTATACCTTTACAAAATGCATTTCTTATTTAATAATAAGACTTGAAAACTCGGAACTGCTCCTTGATCCATGGGCTGCAAAATGGATATTGTATTAGCAGACATGAAAGCAATACTAGTTTCCCTATACATCTCCATCAAAGCTCCTGAGAAACTAGGTGAATTGTCAATGAGCAGCAATATTCTTAAAGGAATCATATTTTTTCTGAGCAGTAGGTCTCAACAGTGGGCTTAGTCAGTAAAACATGCTTTTAACATACGTGCTGCCAACCAGGTTGTGATGTTCCATTTCTCGAGCACAGAAAGAGCAGATTTAGCATAATTCTTAAGGGCCCTGGGATTTTCAGAATGGTAAATGAGCATTGGCTGCAACTTGAAGTCACTAGCCACAGTGGTCCCTGAAAGAGAGTCAGCCTGTCCTTTGAAGTTTTGAAGCCAGGCGTTGACTTATCTCTGGCAATGAAAATTCTACATGGCATCTTTTTCCAATAAAAGGCTGTTTCACCTATATTGAAAATCGATTGTTTCGTGTAGCCACCCTCATCAGTGATCAAGAATCTTCTAGATAACTTGCTGCAGCTTCTCCATCAGCACTTGCTGCTTTACCTCACACTTTTAGGTTACAAAGGTGGCTTCTTTTCTTAAACCTCATGAATCAATCTGCTGTCTTTCAACTTTCTTCTACAGCATCCTCACCTGTCTCAGCCTTCATACAATGGATGAGAGTTAGGGCCCTGCTTTGGATGAGGCTCTGGTTATGGGAATTTTGTGGCTGGTTTGATTTTCCATCCAGACCACTCAAACTTTCTCCATATCAGCAATAAGGCTGTTTTGCTTTCTCATTATTTGTGTGTTCACTGCAAGAGCAGTTTTAATTTCCTGGAAGGACTTTTCCTTTACATTTACAACTTGACTGTTTGGTGCAGGGGGCCTACCTTTTGGCTTATTTTGGCTTTTGACATCATCCTCATTAAGCTTAATCATTTCTAGCTCTAGAGTTAAAGTGAAAGATATGCAATTATTTCTTTTATTTGAATATTTGGAGACCACTGTGATTATTAATTGGCTCGATTTAATATAACTGTGTCTCAGATAATAGGGAGACTCAAAGACTGAGAGACAGACAGAGAGAGAGAGAGAGAGAGGAGCAGCTGGTCAGTGGAGCAGGTAAAACCTGCAGACGCTGTATGTGAAGGCTGCCATGGATCATGGCAACCAAAACATTTATAATAATAACATCAAAGATCACCGATCACAGATCACCATCACAGAGATAACAATAATGAACAGTTTTAAATATTGTGAGAATCACCAAATGTGACACAGAGACAGAAAGTGCTATTGAAAATTTGTTGGCAGTAGACTTGCCCAAAGCAGGGTTGCCACAAACCTTCAATTGGTTAAAAAAAAAAAAAAAAAAAAAAAAAAAAAGAAACATTATCTGTGAAGCACGAGAAAGTGAAACCATAAAATGAGGTGTGCCTGTCCTTAAAATTTTCCTGGCGTGAAAGTAGCGAGTAGGCTCTTGGTAGGTTTTGTGGACTCAGCTATTGTGTGGTTTCGTTCAGTAGTTCCAGGGTGCACTCAATAAATATCCTCCTAGCAGATTCATTTTTTTTCTCTAAAAAATTAGAGAAATTTTTGGAATATTGCTGCTTCCTTCATGAAGAAATTCCAAATATGTAGTTGTCCTTTAAAAATCATATAATGCTCTAATGATTGATTCTTTTTTTAAAATTAACTCTCTCTTCATCACAGCAACTCCACAACACCCATCCCAGAGTATCTTAGTGGAATCTCATCATCCGCTCCTCTGTACAATCCCATCATCCACTCCTCTGTGCAATCTCATCATCCACTCCTCTGTACAATCCCATCATCCACTCCTCTGTGCAATCCCATCATCCACTCCTCTGTGCAATCCCATCATCCACTCCTCTGTACAATCCCATCATCCACTCCTCTGTACAATCCCATCGTCCACTCCTCAGTACAATCCCATCGTCCACTCCTCTGTACAATCCCATCATCCACTCCTCTGTGCAATCCCATCATCCACTCCTCTGTACAATCCCATCGTCCACTCCTCTGTGCAATCTCATCGTCCACTCCTCTGTACAATCTCATCATCCACTCCTCAGTACAATCCCATCATCCACTCCTCTGTACAATCCCATGGTCCACTCCTCTGTACAATCCCGTCATCCACTCCTCTGTACAATCCCTGACTTTAGGTTAGGTCAAAGATCCCTTATGACAACTGACATCAAAATGTGATTCAAGTTTCAATTAGAAGGCTCTCTACCCTTTTATAATTCAGATACACATGATTCAGAAGCCAAACCTCAATTTTTCTCCCTCTACTTTACCCTGCAGCCACAGAGACCATCTGTTTCCACCACAAGACTGACATGGCTGCGAAAGTCTCCCTTGGTGACTTCTATATCAAGCATGCCAATATATTTTTTTTTCTGAAGATTTAGGGCTCCTGGGAAGAAATCATGTGCATCAAGCATGGCTTTTGGGACAACCTGTAAAATTCCTTCTGCTTCTCTCCTTAGTCTGGGAGCCTGGCCCCACCTGCTCCTCCCCCCTCACAGCACTTCAGGCTCCTTACGTGGCCCCTGCCTCCCAGCACAGCTCTAGAGAAGGGTGGTTCATTGACTCCTCCAGCTGCTGCTACTGGGAGGGAGCAGCCCTACCAGTTTTAACTGTTTTCCAAAGACCTTCAAAGAAGGATAGTGAAGTCTTGGATTAATGTTTTCCAATTTACTTAAAGGCAATCAACTTTTAAACAAAAAATGTGTAGTTCTTTTCAGTATGGAACCAATATTTCAGTATCAGTGCATTTCATGGTCACAAAATCTACCACCAATACATTTCTGATTGGGAAGCAAAGGTGCTATAAAACTTTTACTATCAGCAACTACATGTATTGTTTTAGCCCTGAAATCAGGATAGAAGGGCTAATAATTTTCATTCTTGGTGTGGAAATCTGTTTCTATTTCCCATTGAATTATGTCAATCAAGGCAAGCAAACATTCATTTGATTCCATTTCAAAGCACTCGTCTCATGCATTTTTCGTTTTTTAAAACTTTTGCTTAATTACATATTAAAATAATAGTTGGTTTCGCAAGTATTTGTCTATACATCTGATATAACATACATCTGATACAAGATTTTAAAATATATTAGCCGGGCGCCATGGCCCATGCCTGTAATTCCAGCATTTTGGGTGGCTGAGGCATATTGATTGCCTGAGGTCAAGAATTTGAGATCAGCCCAGCCAACCTGGTGAAACCCCGTCTCTAACTAAAAATACAACAATTAGCTGGGTGTGGTGGCACATGCCTGTAATCCGGGCTACTTGGGAGGCTGAGGCAGGAGAATCGCTTGTACCTGGGAGGTGGAGGTTGCAGTGAGCCGAGATTGCGCCATTGCACTCCAGCCTGGGCAACAGAGCGAGACTCTGTCTCAACAACAACAACAACAACAGTATATATATATACACTCTCTGTCTCGTGCTCTCTCTCTCTCTATTATATATATACTGTAAAAGTCAAAATAAAATATGCTTAGGGATTCATTTTATTGAAAAATCATTTTAAATCAAATGTCATAGGGATACTCTGCAATGCACCCTTTGGCCCATTTCTAAAACAGATTTATATATTGTCAGCAGTTGTCAGCAGTTGTCAGCAGACAGGAGCTATGACTGCACTCTAAAATTTATTTTACTACAAACATAAACCCTAGAAAACTTTCATAACATATTTTTCCCAATTGGTTTCAGTATGAATTGTGCATTTTGAAAATACCATGACTAGTTTAAAATCCATAAAAGGGTGAAAAGAAAGATTTACATTTCCCAAATATGGCTTGTTACCTAGATCTACTAGTTTGCATATGGATTCTGGCATTTAGGAAAATGAATTTTGTCTAAATTATCTGCTCGTGGCTATCAACATCAGCATTGTGTTTTGCCTTTCATTGCAATATTCCGCCCAGTGAGCACCTAATGCTTCTCAGGTGCTATTCCAGGTACTACAATACAGCAAGAACAAAGCAAAGTCCAGTCTTCATGGAGTTTGCTTTCTAATGAAAAAGGCAGAGAATGAAGACAAAATCGAATAAAATAAGGTGTAATAGATGGTGTTAGGTGTATGAAGAAAAATAAAACAGGCAAAGGAACAGGGAGTACCCGGCTGGTCTGTGGGGGTGGAGAGTCCTGCTGTTTTATGTAATTACTCAGAGAAGTTTCCCAGACATGGTGATATTAAGAATAAAGTCAATAAGGAAAGAAGCTTTATAGATATCTGTGAAAATAAATTCCAAAAAGGCCCTGGGGCAGGCTCCTGCTTGCCACTTCTAGGACCAGTAAGGGCGTTGATGTGGCTGGAGCAGAGAGAGGAGGCGCCAGAGAGAAAGACCTAGAGATTAGAGCCAGGGGGAGTGCACGGTGTAGTTGGGAAGGCCTTGTGGCCCGCGGTGAGGACATCCGCTTCTCAGGTGATACAGGAAGCCTGTGAGAAGATTCTAAAAACAGGAATGATGTCTCTCCTACCACTGAAAATAATCACCCTGGTTATTGTGCAGGGCTCAGAAGCTGAAGCGGGGAAAGCAGAATGGATATTGCAATAACCCAAGACTAAATGATGTTAACGGGGGCCAGGGCTGTAGAGCTGAGAGTGAGAAAATGATCAGACTCTACATACATGGAAGCAGGGCTGCTAGAGCCAGCTGACCAATTGGATGTGGCTATGAGAAAGAAACAGAGCTCATTTTTAGCCCAGGTTCACAACTGAAAGAATGAGGGTACTATTAAAAGTAATGGCAAAAACTGCAATTACTTTTGCACCAACCTAATATTAGCACATATAAGGGCGGGTGAAGGAAGAACAATTCTAAGCATGTAAACTTGGGAGTTTAGTTTCAGATGAGCAGAAGTTAAGACACTTCTTAGATTCCAAATGGAGTTGTACAGACACATCAGGAATCCAGTAGCGATGTCTGGACCATAGATTACATTTTTTGAATCGTTGGTATGCAGTTGTTATTTAAAATTACAAATTTAATTTATTTAGACTCTAGAATGAGTATAGATAGAGATTTTTGAGGATTAACCTCTAGAGAACTTTGACACATAGAGGTGGATAAACCAAGTAAAAATATGAGAAGGTGACACCAGTTAGGTAGATTAAGGGCAAGCATATTGTTTTTAAGCGAGATTTTAAGATTTCAAAGTAAAAGAATATAAGTTAATATAAAATGTCAGCTCAGACAAAATTATAGTCAAATTTTTTTTATGTAATGCTAACGCCTTGAGAATTTAAAAAGAATTATATGGCTTCAGATAAAAAAAGAACAGCTAGAAAGTAAGAGAATTCAAGGTCGAGTTATGTCATTTCTTCTAAGTACACCACGCCGTAGAAGGCATTTAACGTGTGTAGGCCACAGTTTGAGTCAAATGTAAATAAGAGCATTGCCCTAGATCAATGTGTGTTCAGCTGACTTCAACTCTTTCTGCTACCTTGTTACATTCTCAAGTGTTACAGGAGAAGAACAGCAGGGGAGAGATGAGGATTCCAGTGGCTACTGCTTTTACTGAGGAAAGAGGATTGAAAGCAAGGGAGTCAGGTGGTGGAACTTCCAAACAGATGCTCTGTGACATTGTGTGGGGCGAGAGGATAGGCTCCAGTTTCTTGAACTTTAAATTTGTGTCAAAAGAGAATGATCTCATATGATTTTTCTTTTTACTATAAAAAAATCAATCAATCAATCTTAGAAATTATTTGACTGTGCTCCTTCTTTCTCGCACCTGGCATTGATCACAAATTTTGCTGCCTTCATCTTCAGAATATATCCAAAACCTGTGCATTTCTCATTCCCTCCACCACCACAAATCAAGTCCAAGCCACTATTCCTTTTTATTGGAATAACTGCAACAGCTTTCTAAGTAAGTCCCCTGCTTCTCTAGGCTCATCAGTAGATTCTCGTCTCACTCAGAATAAATTCCCAGCTCCTTCAGAATTGCCCTGCTACCTATGTAAGCTCATCCCCTGACTTCATCCCCATTTACTGAGCCCTTCTCTATTTTTCTAAAACATCAAGCACTGTTACACCTAGGGCTTCCGTAGTGGCTGCTCCCTCTTCCTGGAATGCTCTTCCCACAGACTTTCTCAACTTCCTCACTCCTTTTACATTGCTGTTCAAATGTCACCTGATCAGAGAGGCTCCGCATGCCCATTTATGTTGCATAATGCTTCTTCTTCGCCCTCCATAGTTTCCATGGAAGTTGTCGCCATACTACCCATTATATGCTTGCTTTTTGTTTATAGTTTGCCTTTTTTCCTTATCCTGGAATATAAGCTCTATGAGGGCAGATATTTTATTAGTTTTGTTTATGCTGTATCCTTAGTGCTGAGAATGTGCTGAGCATGCCGTGGACAGGGAAAGTTATTTACTCAATGAGTAAGTGCATAAATGAATGCATCCTCGAGTGAATGAATGTGTGAATTTGGTTCTTCCTGGGTGATAAATTGGAAGTTAAAATAAATGCAATCACTTTGATGGAGAAAATTTTAGAAGGTGGCATCTGTTAAGTTTATCTAATCACAAAACACTGAGTTAACAAAATATTTGCTTTCTCTATAGAAGGGCCATAGGTTTGGATATCAGGGGCTGAGTTCCAGGTAGTAAATTATAATGGAAGAACACTGGGCCTAGATGCCAATGTTAATTCCTCCAAGACCTAGTTACTTGGCAAATTCGTAAAGATTGTCTACTGCTTTTGCTACACTGAAAAATAATTATGTGTAAGATCCTGTCTAAATCTATAATTCCATACTCTAATTTTATATTTCATCTGCTGCTCTGTAAGCTACTATCTCTGTGAGTTTGTATCAGTCATTTAACTCATCCAGGGCTGCAAAATTGTAATCTGTAAAAATGAGTGACAATTTCCTTAATTCATTTCTTCTAAAATGCTATCATATTTCTTTCCAGTAAGGACTTTCTGACTCTTACCTTGGTATATTTTCTACTTTCCTCCACCAGGACTTCAAGTTGAAGAGGATAAGGTAGATAGGAGCTTAAATCTGAAGCATTACTCTCTGACCTTTTCCCTGTCAGGTTGTGTTCCCAGCCCCAGGCAGGGATCTCCTTTTCCTTTTCCTTTCTCTGCAACCTTCCTAAAGTTTTACTCTACTATTAACCTCTGTATTCTAATCCTGGAAGCTTTGTTACTGATATCTAAAGTCCGTATTTGAAACTTTCAAGAAAATGCTTTTTTTCTTACAATAAATCCTGGCTTCAACAAATCCAAATCATTTGCTTTGAGATTATTACCACATTGCATACTAAAAATCTCCCCTATTTTTAAACCTAGAACAAAATAAGTGAGCGCTTTGTTGTGGGCCATATAGAAGTAAAGCTTTCATGCAGCAAACAATTCAGAATTCCTAGAGATAAAGTAAATGCATTCTGGAACTAGAAAAGAAGAATAAGTTAAATTCAAAGTAAAAGATATAAACTAGTAAAAATTAGAGCAGAAATCAATAAAATTAGAAACAAGAAATCAATGGAGAAAATCAACAAAACCAAAAGCTGCCTCTATGCAAAGATCAGTAAAATTTATAAACTTGCAGCCAGTCTAAGAAAAAATAAAAGAAGATACAAATTACTAACAGAAATGAAAAAGGGACCATTCTGATCCAACGGATATTAGAAAAATAATAAAAGAATTTCGGGGAGATCTCTAAGCCCACTAATTTGATAACTTAGAGGAAAAGTTTAACTATTTGAAAAAATAATATCTATCAAAACATAAATAATCTGTTTAGGCTTATAGTGACTTAAAATTTGAATTATTAACTAATAACTTTCTAAAACTGAAAGTGCTGGGCTCAGGTGGTTTCAATGGTGGATTCTACCAAATATTTAAGGAACAAATCATACCAATAGTCTGCAATTCCTTCCAGAAAACAGAATCTGAGGAAACACTTCTTAACTTTTCCCGTGTGGCTAGCATTCATCTAATACCAAAGCTAGACAAAAATGTTACAAAAAAGGAAATTATAGACCATGATATGGTTTGTTTTTGTGTCCCTGCCCAAATCTCATGTTCAGTTGTAATCCAATGTTGGAAGAAGGGCCTGGTGGGAGGTGACTGGAAGATGGGAGCAGATTTCCCCCTTGCTGTTCTTGTTATAGTGAGTGAGTTCTCACAAGATCTGGTTGTTTGAAAGTGTGTAGCAGCTCCCACTTTGCTCTATTCCTCCTGCTCCAGCCATGTAGGAGATGCCTTCCCCACCTTCACTTTCTGTCATGATTATAAGTTTCCTGAGACCTCCCAAGTAATGCTTTCTGTACAGCCTGTGGAACCATGAGCTAATTAAACCATTTTTTAAAAATAAATTACCCAGTCTCAGGTAGTTCTTTATAACAGTGTGGGAAAATTGGTACCAGGAGTGGGGTATTGCTATAAAGCTACCTGAAAACATAGAAACAACATGCAAACTGGGTAACAGGCAGAGGTTAGAACAGTTCGGAGGGCTAAGAAGAAGACAGGAATATGAGGGAAAGTTTGGAAATTTCTAGAGACTTGTTAAATTGTTGTGACTGAAATGTTGATAGTGACATGGACAATGAAGTCCAGGCTGAGGTGGTTTCAGATGGAGGTGAGAAACTTACCGGGAACTGAAGTAAAGGTCACTCTTACTATGCTTTGGCAAAGAGACTGGCAGCATTGAGCCTTTGCTTTAGGGCTCTGTGGAACTTTAAACTTGACAGTGATGATTTAGGGTGTCTGGCAGAAGAAATTTCTAAGCAGCAAAGCATTCAAGATGTGACTACACTGTTTCCAACAGTGTATGGTCATATGTTTGAGCAAATAAAGTACCTGAAACTGGAACTTAACATTTAAAAGGAATGAAGAACATACAAGTTTAGAAAATCTGCAGCCTGTCCAAGTGGTGGAAAAGAAAAACCCATTTTCTTGAGAGGAGTTTAAGCCACCAACTGCAGAAATTCGCATAAGTAAAGAGGAGTCAAATGTGAATACCCAAAACAATGGGGAAAATGCCACAAAGGCATTTCAGAGACCTTCACAGCAGCCCCTCCCATGACAGGCCTGGAAGCCTAAGAGAAAAGAATGATTTCATGGGCTGGGCCCAGGGCCCTGCTGCCCTGTGCAACCTTGGGACACTGCTCCCTGCATCCCAGCCACTCCAGCTCCAACTGTGGCCAAAAGGGCCCCAGAAATATCTTAGGCCACTGCTCCAGAGGGTGCAAGCTGTTAGCCTTGGTAGCTTCCATGTGGTATTGAGCCTGTGGGTGCACAGAGGGCAAGAGTTGAGGCTTAACATCTACCTAGATTTCAGAGGATGTATGGAAATATCTGGATGTCTGGCAGAAGTTTGCTGCAAGGATGGAGCTCTCATGGAGAACCTCTCCTAGGGCAGTGCAAAAGGGAAATGTGTGGTTGGAGCCCCCACACAGAGTCACCACTGGGGCACTGCCTAGTAGAGCTGTGAGAAGAGGGCAACCATTCTCCAGAGCCCAGAATAGTAGATTGACTGACAGGTTGCACCGTGTACCTGGAAAAGCTGCAGTCATTCAATGCCAGCCTGTGAAAGCAGCTGCAGGGGTTGCACCCTGCAGAGCCAAAGGGGCAGAGTTGCCCAAAGCCCTGGGAACCCACCCCTTGCATCAGCATGCCCTGGATGTGAGACATAGAGTCAAAGAACATATTTTGGAGCTTCCAGACTTAATGAGTGAGCTGCTGGGTTTCAGACTATCATGGAGTCTTTCATCCTTTTTTTTTTTTTTTTGGCCAATTTCTCCCATTTGGAATGGGAACATGTATGCAATGCCTGAACCCCCATTGTATATTAGAAGTAACGAACTTCTTTTTGATTTTACAGGCTTATAGAAAGAAGGGACTAGACTTGTTTCAGATGAGATTTTGAACTTTTGAGTTACATGCTGGAATGAGTTAAGACTTTGGGGTACTGTTGGAAGGTATGGTTATATTTTGCAATGTGAGAAAGGCATGAGATTTGAGAGGGGCCAGGGGCAAAATAATGTGACTTGGATTTTTGTCTCCACCCAAATCTCATGTTGAATTGTAATCCAGTGTTGGATGAGGGGGCTGATGGGAGGTGATCGAATCATGGGGTGGATGTCCCCCTTGCTGTTCTAGTGATAGTGAGTGAGTTCCCAGGAGATCGGGTTGTTTATAAGCATGTAGCATCTCCCCCTTCAGTCCCTTCTTTCTGCTCCAGCCATGTAGGATGTGCCTTCTTCCCTTTCACCTTCTGCCAGGATTGTGTTTCCTGAGGCCTCCCCAGCCATGCTTCCTGTGCATCCTGTGGAAATGTGAGTCAATTAAATTTCTTTTCTTTATAAATTACCCAGTCTCAGGTAGTTCTTTATAGAAGTGCAAGGATGGACTAATACAAACCACTATCTTTCATGAACATAAATGCAAAAATTCTTAACAAAATATTCACAAATTAATTCTAACAATGTATAAAAAGGATTTTAAATTGTAATTGCAACCAAGTGGGATTTATTCCAGATATGCAAGTCTGGTTCCACACTCAAAAATCAATTTATACAATATATTGCATCAAAAGGCTAAAGAAGAAAAATTATATTATTATGTCAGTAGATGCGGCAACGTACCTGCATAATTCAATACTCATTCATGATAAAAAAAAAAACTCTCAACAAATTGGAAATAGAAGGAAACTCGTTCAACTTGACAAAAGAATATTTACCAAAAAAAGTGCTAATATTATACTTTATGGTTAGAAACCAGATGCTTTCAACCTATCTTTGGTTACAAGACAAGGATGTCCACTCTCACCACTCTTATTCAACATTGTACTAGAAAACATAGCTACTGTAATAAAATAAGAGAAATAAATAAAGGGGAAACATATGGAGAAGAAACAAAACTTTCTTAGAAATGAACAAGTTATCTAGTAGAAAATCTGAAAGAATAAAAAAAAAACTCGTGGACCTAATAAGTGATCATAAAAAGATTTCAGGATACAAAGTTAATATGCAAAAGTCATTTGCTTTCCTGTATACCAGCAATTGACAAGTGAAATTTTAAATTAATATCAGAAGAGGCTATATACAGCATGATTCCTATATAACATTCTGGAAGAGGCAAAACTAGAAATAGTGAAAAGATCAGTGGTTGCCAGGGGTTTGGGGAAGCGGGGAGAGATGAATTGTTGGAGCACAGGGGAGTTTTAGAGCAGTGAAAAATTCTTCATGATACTGTAATGGTGGCTTTGGTGCTAATTAGCTTGTACCCTGCAGCTGTTTTCACAGGCTGGCATTGAATGACTGTAGGTTTTTAGAGATTTTTTTATCTCTATCTAATCAGCCCAAAAGCCACCATAACAGTATTACCATTAGATATATCTAATCAGCCCAAAAGCCAGTATCATGTTTAATATTATACCAACATCCCCATTAACTCAGTAACGAGGGAAAAAAAAAGCATTATGAGTAACATTACTTATAACTTCTGTGTAAATTTTAGGCAAATAGTGATATTTATAGCTTAAAAACATGCATTTGTCAAACTCCATAGAATTTACAACAAAAAGAGTGAATTCTAGTATAAATAGATATAGCACATGCACTGTACTATGCAAGACATTAATAATAGGTGAAACTATATGTGGGTTGGGGGTGGGGTAAATTAGGTCTATGGAGACTCCCTGTAATTTCTTAACAGTTTTTTTTTTTTTTTGGTAAACCTAAAACTGATATAAAAATAGTCTATTAATAAAAAAAGAGTCCACATTTTCAAATTAATATTACATTACACTTATCATTGAAATATGTAAAATTAGAATCTGGAAGTAAAAGGAACAATGCTATAACCAAAAAAAATTGGGAGCAATGTGAAGGCTGAATTTGGGTGGATGTCTATGTGTTCTAATTGTCTCGTGTTTCATTGTGACGACTCAATAGACACAATGCGTAGTTGATAGATCAAGATATAAAGGCATAATTTTATTATATAAACTTATACATATCACTAGGGTAGTTAAAAATCTAGATCATAAAATTTGCCCTTCTCAAAAAGAAAATACTGTTAAAGAAAAGATAAATGATACAATGAAAGACTGTTTAGTAAGAGAAAACATTATCGATAATAAGAACAATATACGATAACAGAGCTATGAACAAACATGTCATATCTGTATCAATATATCTAATTTGTTCAAGATATATTGGGCATGGTGGCACACACCTGTAATCCCAGCACTTTGGGAGGCTGAGGCAGGCGGATCATTTGAGGTCAGGAGTTCAAGACCAGCCTGGCCAACATGGCAAAACACTGTCTCTACTAAAAATACAAAACTAGCTAGGTGTGGTGGCAGATGCCTGTAGTCCCAGCTACTTGGAAGCCTGAGGCATGAGAATCCCTTGAACCCAGGAGGCAGATTTTGCAGTGAGTTGAGACTGCGCCACTATACTCCAGCCTGGGTGACAGAGTGAGACTCCATCTCAACAACAACAAAACAACAAATATATAACTGATATATATATACACACACGTATATATACACATATATATATTCAATTCAAAAGCCAGTATCATGTTTAATATTACACAGACATCCCCATTAACTCAGTTATGAGAGAAAGATAAGCATTCTGAAGAATGTTACTTATAACTTCTGTGTAAATTTCAGACAAGTACGTGATATTTACAGCTTAAACACGTACTCATTTATTTTTTTCCTTCCTGTCATAATCCAAGTGATATCTCTCTCTTGTTGGCCAATTTTACCTCCTCTTGAATCTGTCTTCCTAAATTACACCTGATCATTTTTTTAACTTTTTTATTGATTGAAATATACTCAAGACCTTCCTCTTCAGATACACAAAAATTAACAAACAAAAAAAAACCCACAAAAACAAAAGTGAAAATTTTCCCTGATGGCATATCTTCTGTCAGAAAAGATATACTATACTACCTCTATCAAGCTTGTTGTAAGAATTATTTTTACTCTTGATGTCTCCAGTGATTCACTGTGCTTGATTTTCTTTTTGAATTCACTCCTCAGCTCAGGAGAATCTCTTTCCCCTCATAATTCCTGTGAAAACTCCTTGTCCATCCACCCTCAGCAATCTCCTTATACCTGAACCCAATAGGTACTTTGCATCCCTGTCTTGGTCAGCAACCAATACTGGGCTGGCCTTCCTCCTTGATGTTTTCTCTTTGTTAGATGCCCTAGGGAGCTCTCTTAGTTTTCTTTTTAATTCACAACCTTTTCTCATTTCAGTTTGTCTTAAGATACTTTTCTTCCCCATAGCTTAGACCAGGGGCAATGGAAGAAAATGGATGTGAGTTAACAATTCAAGAGATATAAAGGAGGCTGAGTAACTGCAATGTGGTCATTGCTAAGGCATGACAAGTAAAAGACAGGAAGGTGACAAGGCTGACTTTCTAGCATCTGGTTTATCCAACTGAGTGGTTGATATTAGCATTTCCTGAAAGGCTACTGGGGATGAGTAGGTTTGGGGTATAGGAATTATGGGTTAGTTTTGACGTATGCTGAGCTTAAAGGAATCAGTCACTCTCATGGTGCCATTCCTAACTGCTCCACTTTTAAAATCTAAATTCAGCCAGCTCTTACCCTGAGCACAATCTTTATATTTTCACTTTCTTGCTCCAATATTCCGGCTGCAACTGCACTTTGATCTCCTTAGAAACTTAAATCTCTTGCCTCCTTTATTTTTTTCCATCCATAAGACTCCTCAGGCCTTCCCATCCTTCCCTAGAGAGCTTATGTTAAAATTATACGCCTATTATGTATCCACAAAAATTAAAAATTCAAAAGTTTATGTTCCCGTATTTCATTCAGCACTGACAAAACACTAAGTCAGAGGTTCCCAAATCTCTTTCCACAGTGCCGTTGGTTTCTTGCTGTTTTTCCCATCGCATACCCAGATCAGAAGAAATATCTGACAGTTTCATTTCTTAGGTAGTTGTGTCTACACAACTTAATAAGTATTCATATCATAATAACTCAGTAGCCACATGAAAAAAATGTATATTGGAAAAAAAGTAATATTTTTCTTTTATTTTTAGCCAGAATTATGGATGAATGGGATGTGCATGTCTGTTAGACCCTGTACAACTGGTCATGCTTGGAATCTAGTGGAACATCGCCAACCGTCATGCTCTGTTTCACATTAATTTTAGTATAATACTTTCTTTTTATCACAGAAACCTCTGACAACCCAACTTTACAAAGACACAATGCCATTAAAAGACATGAAGCATGATCTAGTTGAAAGTGAATGACTACAAGCTCATTCTTGAGATATTTCAAAGGCATTGAGGGTCATCATTTTTACCAAATTTGTGGAACTGCAAATTCTGGAGTCCATGCCACCATTGTCTTTTCTGGGGAATACAACAACCTCATGAGAATTTTTCTTTGTGTGTGTGTGTGTATTATTCACTGAAGTTTTAACAGTTATCATATCCCTTTCACTCTTATCATTTGGTTTTACTGATATGTGGCATCTAATATCTAAAATGAGTCAAATCATATCTATAGCATACTGAATTATTTGTGTAACTTTATTCTTAAAATATTTAAAGTATTTGCAATTTGATTACTTATTTAGAAAAACTTGTATAAAATAATCAAGCATTGACAAAAACCATTCAACTATTTATTTTTAATAAAAGAAAGCTAGGGTCAGTTTTATTTTAAAACAGTTGATGTATAACCAGCAGCATTTGGGAAGTTTTGGTGACATTTATCTGAATGCCTGTTAGTGGCCCAGCAGCAGTGACATAGAGCAGGCTTTGGATGGAGAAAACATTCCAGGTCTTCATCCTTATCTCACACAAGAAAGTAGGAGCTGGAGAATGAAAATACATTCTGCTTCCAGCTGGGAAAGAATATACTTTCCCCTAGGAATGGAGAAGGTTCTTTTCAGCAAAGGGCAAGAATGCCTTCTGGAGTCATTTTCTAAAGGACCAGAAAATAGCTACTCATTTTCCCTTACAAACTTGCTATAGATACTCTGTGTTTGAAAACGTGAAGTCAAAGCTGCCATGTGTATAGGAGGCCATGTCAATGCTTCTGGCATGAGGGCTCACCCTGCCTTACTGCCTTTCTAAACTATTTTCTATTGTGCTCCGTCAAAAAATCTCTATGCATCTCTCTGTCCCAGAAACATCCCAATTGAACTGGGTTTCTTTTGTTGCTGTTTCTGTTGAAGGGAAGAGCTTTTAAATCCTCTTTAGCCCTTTACCCAGGAAGAGCAGGAATTATGTGCATCAATGTCTCAAACTTGGCTTAATGAAAGAAAACATTGACTCGTTTGTTCCATCACCAGGAAACCTTTGCTCCTCTTATGAACAACACCAGGAAACCTTTGCTCCTCTTACAAAGAAGAGAAGAATCATAAGCCTCCTTTTTAAAGGTCTATCATACTCAATCATCTATGCTTCAAGGACTTGTTTTATGATGAGTTTTTTAGCCTTGGAGAAGTTTTAAAGGAAAAGATTGAGCATTGGGAAGAGAATGGGCTGAGGAGTGAGGTAGTGAGTGTAGAAAATCCTGCTAGCTCCTTATTAAAGGAATCTAGAATGCAAGCTCCATGGTGAGCAATAATTTTCATTAAAAAAAAACTGCCATAGCTGCAATACCTAGAGCATGGTCTAGCACATATCAATAAATACTCTTAAAATGAATGTATAAAACCAAGTCTAGATCCTCTCGGATTGATGGACAATGGAAGGAACATTTCTACACAGAGACATGAAATGGGGCCACTTCAAACCTCATCTCTAGCACTTCTCTTTACATTTTATGAATAGCAAAGTGGGTGGAGGTACTGGTTGAGGGAACAGTGCACAGCTGTCTGCACAGAGATTGCACTGCCCAGAGCTCAGGGGCCCAGCAGGTTTAGGGTGTTAACCTTCCTTCTGGCAATGGATGCAACATTGCATGGATAATTGAGAGTTATCTGTAAAAAACCTATCATGTAGCATGTAATTTGCCTTTCTCTTATTCTCTTTAGGCAAGAGAAATCATAGTTCCTCCAAAAAACCATTACCTGGAACCATTACTCTTTAGAATTTGGCCTCTTTCCATAGAATAATGTGTAGTGTTTGACCATCATTTGTACCCACAGCAGTTCTATTGCTTCTGGAAGAAAATGGGTGCTAGGTTTAAACCACCCCATGCATCATTCTGGTCTAAATATGAAACTATCTGAGATAGTGTGACAGATCCAGCACTAAGAGATGGTAATATAGAAACAATTTCTAAATTGTCACTTAAAACAGATAGCAGAGACTAGTCAAGGAAGATGCTTGGCAAAGTACTGCTTTCAAAACTGGATTTTAATTATTCTCTATTCTATTATTTAGGTATTTATTTCTGATTTCAAAAATGATACAAGTTGTTTTGTGGATATTTTGAAAAAATACAGAAAATAACTAAAGAAGAAAAAGGAGTAATCATAATTTCATTGCCCCTGTATAATTATTGTCAACACCTTGGCATGCAACTCTTCCAACTTTCATTTTTTGACTCTTATTTTGGGTCTGGAGGTAAATGTGAAGGTTTATTACATAGGTAGACACATGTCACGTGGGTTTGTTGTACATATTATTTCATTACCAAAGTATTAAGCCCAGTACCCAACAGTTATCTTTTCTGCTCCTTTCCCTCCTCCCACCCTACCCACTCATGTAGGCCCCATTATCTGTTGTTTCCTTCTTTGTGTTCATAAGTTCTTAGCATTTAGCTCCTACTTACAAGTGAGAACATGTGGTATTTGATTTTCTGTTCCTGCAGTAATTTGCTAATGATAATAGCTTCCAGCTCCATCCATGCTTCTGTAAAAAACATTATCTCATTCTTTTTTATGGCTGCATAGTATTCCATGGTGTATATGTGCCAGATTTTCTTTATCCAACCTGTCATTGATGAACATTTAGGTTGAATGCATGCCTTGCTATTGTGAATAGTGCTGCAATGAACATTCATGTGCATGTGTCTTTATGGTAAAATGATTTATATTCCTCTGGGTATATACCCAGTAACGGGATGGCTGGGCCAGATGGTAGTTCTACTTTTAGCTCTTTGAGGAATTGCCATAGTGCTTTCCACAATGGTTGAACTAATTTACACTCCCAACATTGTATAAGTGTTCCCTTTTCTCTGCAAACTTGCCAGCATCTTTTATTTTTTGACTTTTTAATAATCACCATTCTGACTGGTGTGAGATGGTATCTCATTGTGGTTTTGATTTGCATTTGTCTAATGATCAGTGATACTGAGCTTTTTTTCATATGCTTGTTGGCCACATGTATGTCTTCTTTTGAGATATGTCTGTTCACGTCCTTTGCCCACTTTTTAATGGGGCTGTTAGTTTTTCTCTTGTAAATTAGTTTAAATTCCTTATAAATGTTTGATATTAGACCTTTGTCAGGTGCGTAGTTTGCAAATATGTTCTCCCATTCACTAGGTTGTCTGTTTACTCTGTTGATAGTTTCTTTTGTTGTGCAGAAGCTCTTACATTTAATTAGATCCCATTTGTAAGTTTCTGCTTTCGTTGTAATTGCTTTTGGTGTCTTTGTCATGAAATCTTTGCCCATTCCTATGTTCAAGATGGTGTTGCCTAGGTTGTCTTCCAGGGTTTATATAGTTTTGGGTTTTACACTTAAGTCTTTAATACAACTTGTGTTTATTTTTTAGTATGGCTTAAGGAAGGGGTCCAGTTCAATCTTCTGCATATGGCTAGCTATTTATCCCAGCATCATTTATTGAATAGGCAATCTTTTCCCGATTGCATATCTTTGTCAGATTTGTTGAAGATCAGATGGTCATAGATGTGTGGCATTATTTCTGGGTTCTCTATCCTGTTCCATTGGTCTATGTGCTTTTTTTTTTTTTTACCAGTACCTTGCTGTTTGGTAAATGTAGCCTTGTAATATAGTTTGAAGTCAGGTAACATAATGCCTCCAGCTTTGTTCTCTTTTCTTAGGAGTGCCTTGGCTCTTTGGGCTCTTTTTTAGTTCCATATGAATTGTAAAATAGGTTTTTCCAATTCTGTTAAAAATGTTGTGAGTAGTTTGAAGGAATAGCATTGAATCTATAAATTGCTTTAGGCAGTATAACCATGTTAATGATATTGATTCTTCCCATCCTCATGGGAAGAGGATGGGAAGAAGTTTTTTTCTCAAAAACTTCAGAGAAGACAGAAGTTTTTTCAGCAGTGTTTTGTAATTCTCATTGTAGAGATCTTTCACCTCCCTGGTTAGCTATACTCTTAGATATTTTATTCTTTTTGTGACTATTATGAATGGAATTGTGTTCTTGATTTAGCTCTCATCTTGGATGTTGTTATGTAGAAATGCTACTGATTTTTGTACATTGATTTTCTATCCTTAAACTGTGCTGAAGTTGTTTATCAGCTGGAGGAGATTTTTGGCCAAGACTATGGACTTTTCTAGATATTGAATCATGTTGTCTGCAAACAAGCACAGTTTGACTTCCTCTCTTCCTATTTGGGTGCCCTTTATTTATTTTTCTTGCCTGATTGCTCTGGCTAGGACTTCCAATAAAATGTTGAATAGAAATGGTGAGAGAGGAAATCTTTGTCTTGTGCCAGTTTTCAGGGGGAATGCTTCTAGCTTTTGCCCATTCAGTAAAATGTTGGCTGTGGGTCTGCCATAGATGGCTCTCATTATTTTGAGGTATGTTTCTTCAATACCTAGTTTATTGAGAGTTTTTAACATGAAGGAGTGTTGAATTTTATCAAAGCCTTTTCTACATCTATTGAGAAAATCGTGTGTTTTTTTTTCTTTCTGTTTATTTGATGAATCACATTTATTGATTTGCGAATGTAGAACCAAACTTGCATCCCAGGCATGAAGGCTACTTCATCATGGTGGATTATCTTTTTGATGTGCTGCTGAATTCAGTTTGCAAGTATTTTGTTAAGTATTTTTGCATTAATGTTCGTGAAGGATATTGGCCTGAAGTTTTCTTTTTTTGTTGTGACTCTGCCAGGTTTTGGTATCAAGATGATGCTGGCCTCATAAAATGAGTTGGGGAAAATCCCTCTTACTTAGTTTTTTGGAATACTTTCTGTGGAAATGGTATGAGCTCCTCTTTGTGCATCTGGTAGAATTCACCTGTGAATACATCAGGTCCCAGGCTTTTTTTGGTTGGTAGGCTATTCATTACTGATTCCATTTTGGAGCTCATTATTGATCTGTTCAGGGAATTAATTTCTTCCTGGCTCAGTCTTAGGAGGGTGTATGTGTCCAGAAATTTATCCATCTCTTCTAGGTTTTCTAGTTTGTGTCCATAGAGGTATTCATAGTAGTTCCTGATGGTTGTTTTTATTTCTCTGGGGTCAGTAGTAACATTCCTTTCAATATTTCTTATTCTATTTATTTGGGTCTTCTCTCTTTTCTTTTTTGTCTAGCTAGTGGCTTATCTATTTTATTCATTGTTTTCTAAAAAACAACTTCTGGATTTTTTGATATTTGGAATGAATTTTTATGTCTTGATTTCCTTCAGTTCAGCTCTGATTTTTGTTATTTCTCATCTTCTACTAGCTTCGGAGTTTATTCGTTTTTTTCTTCTCTAATTCTTTCATTTGTGAAGTTAGGTGGTTAATTTGAAATCTTTCTAACTTTTTGATATGGGCATTTAGTACTATGAATTTCCCTCTTAACACTGCCTTAGCTGTGTTCCAGAGATTCTAGTATGTTGTATCTTTGTTCCTGTGATATTTAAAGAACTTCCTGATTTCTGGCTTAATTTCATTTTTCACCCAAAAGTCATTCAGAAGCATGTTGTTTAATTTCCATGTAATTGCATGGTTTTGAGTGATTTTCATAGTATTCACTTCTATTTTTAGTGCTGTTTGGTCTAAGAGTGTGTTTGATATGATTTCCATTTTTTACATTTCTTGAAAATTGCTTTATGTCCAATTATGTGGTTGATTTTAGAGTATGTGCCATGTGGTTTTAAGAAGAATGTATATTCTGCTGTTTTGGGGTGGAGAGTTCTGTAATGGTCTATCAAATCCATTTTATCCAATGTTGAGTTTAGGTCCTGAATATCTTTGTTAATTTTCTGCCCTGATAATCAGTCTAATACTGTCAGTGAAGGGTTGAAGTCTCCCACTATTATTGTGTGGGAGTCTATGCCTCTTTGGACAACTCTAAAAACTCACTTTATGAATTTCGGTGCCCTCGTGTTGGATGCATAAATATTTAGGATAATTAGATCTTGTTGAATTGAACTCTTTACCATTATTTAATGTCTTTGTCTTTTTTCATCTTTGTGTTTTGAAATCTCTTTTGTCTGAAATTAGGATTGCAAGCCTTCCTTTTTTCTGTTTTCTGCTTGCTTGGCATATTTTCCTACATCTCTTTATTTTGAACCCATGAGTCTCATTATGCGTGAGATGGGTTTCTTGAAGACAACATACAATTAGGTCTTGCTTTTTTATACCATTTGTCACCTGCTCCTTTTAAATGGGCAGTTAGGCCATTTGCATTCAAGGTTAGTATTGATATGTGTGGATTTGATCCTGTCATTGTGCTGTTAGCTGCTTATGATGTTGGCTTGTGTGTTGCTTTATAGTAACACAGGTCTGTGTGTTTAAGTGTGTTTTCATATTAGTTGATAGTGGCCTTTCCTTTCTACATTTAGTGGTCCTTTCAAGATCTCTTGTAAGGCAGTTCTAGTAGTAATGAATTTCCTCAACATTTGCTTACCTGAAAAGGATCTTATTTCTCCTTCACTTAGAAAGCTTAGTATAGCTGGATTTGAAATTCTTGGCTGAAGATTTTTTTCTTTAAGAATGTGGAATACAGGCCCCCAATCTCTTCTGGCTTGCAGGATTTCAGTGGAGAGGTCTGCTGTTAGCCTGATGGGGTTCCCTTTGTAGGTGACCTGACCTTTCTCTCTAGCTGCATTGAACAGTTTTTCCTTTATTTTGACTTTGGAAAATCTGACAATAATGTGTCTCAGGGATGATCTTCTTGTGTAGAATCTTGCAGGAGTTCTCTGAGTTTTTTTGATTTTGACTGTTGGCCTCTGTAGCAAGGTTAGGGACATTTTCATGGATGATATCCTGAAATATTTTTCAAGTTTTTGCTTTCTCCCTCTTGCTTTCTGGGATGCCAGTGATTCAGATTTGGCCTCTTTACATAATCCCATACTTCTCTTTGAGGTTTTGTTCTTCCCTTTTTATTTTTTTCTTTATTTTTGTCTGTCTTATAGAACCAGTCTTCAAATTCTGATATTTTTTCCTCATCTTGGTTTATTCTCCTGTTAATACTTGTGATTGCATTGTGAAATTCTTACATTGTTTTATTCAGCTGTGTCAGACCCATTAGGTTCTTTTTTTATACTGGCTATTTTGTCCTCCAGCTCCTGTAAGACTTTATTGTGATTCTTACTTTCCTTGGATTGGGTTTTGCCATCTCCTGAATCACTATTCTTTTAAATATAAAGAAGTGTGCTTCCTGTGTCTAGGAGGTTATGAGTTTCAGAAATAAAAGTCATTAACTTAAAGGACTGCACAAAGGATTAAAATGTAAAAGGTGGCTCTTTCATGAAGTGTATCAGTAATCTCTAATTAAGTTAAACACAACTTTAATGATAAGAAGCTTCTGGTAGATGAAAATATAGTCAAGCTAAAGAAACATAAAAGGCATTATTGTGGATCAAATATTTAAATTAATACTTTCATGTGTACACACATAAAAGTACACTGATAAACTACAGATAATAAAAAATGATGCTTTTGAATGTATCTGTTTTCTTTTATTTTTGTAAAATTTTAATTTCTAAAACTTGGAGACAAAAGGTTTCTACCTTTCATGATCCCAAATGTGAGAAATAATGCATAGATATAATTAATGCTGGAACAATGAAACAGGATGCATCTTAAGTATGCACCTGCTTAATTTATAATCTGTTCAACCATCCTAATGGTGGAAGCAAATAATGATTGTTTTTATCACAAAACTGAAAATTTAAATGATGTAAATATTTATAGATCCATTCCAACCTCAGACTTGGCAAAGTTTGTGGAAATCTGACTGAACAATGTAAAAAAATAGACAATCCAAAAGACATTATATTCAAAAAAGGAAGTTGATTTCATCTTTGACATTTTCAAAGAATGCTTAGCTGAATGTTACAAGTGATGTGCCTGTATTATAATTTTAATATTAATTTAAATATAGAATATACATTAATTTTAGCATAAATCCATTATTTTGAAATTAATATTTCCTATCAAGATCTTCACATTTAATGAGAAAGTTAGGTTTTCAATCAATTGTGATTATAACATAATTATGATGTAATAATGATGATGGTTTGATTTGTATTTTTTTAATATCTAAAGGGCCAACATATATATTACCTCATTTATTCAGCACTATAACGTTTTCACATGCTTTTAAGAAATGAAGATTCAGATAGATTATATAATTTATCCAATGCACTAATTATGAAGAAGTAGCACTTGTCAGATTAAGAAAAAACTCACGTGTCTCAAGAATGTACTATGAGCTCTACCTTTCACTATGATGCTCTGATGATGAAATGGTTATCCCCATTAAAGATATTACTTGGTTAAGAAATAGAACTATGATTTAAACAAAGATGTTTCTATCTGATTTTTGCTAATTGTCTTTGTACAAAACATTTTGATTATTTCTGTTATAGTTCTCATGTATGAATTTAGGTTATAACTTGGGGTACATTTGCTGTGCAGAAAAGTTGTAGGCTAGGCTGTTCTTAAAGTCCAGGGATTGGGCTGGGGCATATGAACGTTTGTCCGGAATGCCTTGGAAATGTATAGTTTAAGATATGAGTGACAATTTGAAGGTGGCTTTTCTTTTCTTTTCTTTTCTTTTTTTTTGAGATGGAGCCTGTCATCTGGACTGGAGTACAGTGGCATGATCTTGGCTTATGGCAACATCTGCCTCTCAGGTTCAAGCTATTCTACTGCCTCAGCTGCCCAAGTAGCTGGGACTACAGGCATATGCCACCATGACCAGCTAATTTTTTTATTGTTAGTAGAGACAGGGTTTCACCATGTTGGCCAGGCTGGTCTCGAACTCCTGACCTCAAGCCATCTGCTCGTCTCAGCCTCACAAAGTACTGGGATTACAGGTGTGAGCCACCATGCCCAGCCAAGGGTCCTTTTATGACCTTTTGAAAATTTTGATATTCCTATTCCAAGCCACTAATATTTCAACATTCTTGATTTCCAAATAATTTTTAGATCCCTGACACCCCCCACATTTCTAATTCCGACCCCTCACTGACTTTCTTACAACCCCTGCATTTACCACATTCTTCGGAGTCATGAATGGAAAAGACACCAGTACTCTGGCAAAATGCAGGATGGGTTAAGTCTGTCTGTGTGATGTATATAGTTGTGGCCATTACACATTTCATAGTTTACAAACTTAGGTGTAGAAGTAAAGGCAGTTTTGTTTTCCTATAAGTGAATTTATAATATGAGCAGGTATTTCATTCTGGTGGCTAGGAATTTACTCTCACACAATTCTGGATTAATCTGGTCAATTCCATTTTCTTCCTCACAATTCTAGTTAAATTTTAAAGAGCTTTATTAGAATTGTCAAGTTTATTCTAAGAGGCTACAATAACTAAAACAGTATAGTACTAGTACAAACTAGACACAATGACCGATGGAAGAGAATAGAGAACCCAGAAATAAGCTTGCATGCTGACAACCATCTGATCTTTGACAAAGTCCACAAAAAACAGTCAATGGCGAAAGGACTCTCTATTCAATAAATGGTGCTGGGATAATTAGCTGTCCATATGGAGAAGAAATAAACTGACTCCTACCTATCGCCATATACAAAAATTAACTGAAGATCGATCAAATATTTAAATGTCAGACCTCAAACTGGTTGCTTCCAAGATTGCCGAATAGGAACAGCTCCAGTCTACAGCTCCCAGTGAGATTGATGCAGAAGACGGGTGATTTCTGCATTTCCAACTGAGGTACCTGGTTCTTCTCACTGGGACTGGTTGAACAGTGAGTGCAGCCTACAGAGGGCAGCCTGAAGCAGGGAAGGGCATCACCTCACCTGGGAAGTGCAAGGGGTTGAGGGATTCCCCTTTCCTAGCCAAGGGAAGCTGTGAGTGACTGTACCTGAAGGAATGGTGCACTCCTGCGCAAGTACTGTGCTTTTCCCAGTCTTTGCAACCGGCAGACCATGAGATTCCCTCCCGTGCCTGGCTCGGCAGGTCCCATGCCCATGGAGACTTGCTTGCTGCTAGTGCAGCAGTCTGAGATCAACCTGGGATGCTGGAGCTTGGCATGGGGAGGGGCATCTGCCATTGCCAAGACTTCAGTAGGCAGTTCTAGGCTCACAGTGTGAACAAAGCGGCAGGGAAGCTCAAACTGGGTGGAGCCCACCACAGCTCAGCAAGGCCTGCTGCCTCTCTAGATTCTACCTCTGAGGGCAGGGCATATCTGAACAAAAGGCAGCAGACAGCTTCTCCAGACTTAAACATACCTGCCTGACAGCTCTTAAGAGAGCAGTGGTTCTCCCAGCATGGTGTTCAAGCTCTGATAACAGACAGACTGCCTCGTCAAGTGGGTCCCTGCCCCCCGTGTAGCCTGACTGGGAGACATCTCCCAGTCACCTGTGTGAGTCACCAACTCACACAGGTGGTTGGCCCTCTGGGATGAAGCTTCCAGAGGAAGGATCAGGCAGCAGTATTTGCTCTTCTGCAGCCTCAGCCGTTGATATGCAGGCAAACAGGGTCTGGAGTGGTCCTCCACCAAACTCCAACAGACCTGCAGCTGAGGGGCCCATTTGTTAGAAGGAAAACTAACAAACAGAAAGGAATAGCATCAAAATCAACAAAAAGGACATCCACACCAGAACACCATCCATAGGTCACCAACCTCAAAGACCAAAGGTAGATAAAAATCACAAAGATGGGGAGAAACCAGAGAAGAAAGGCTGAAAATTCCAAAAACCAGAATGCCTCTTCTCCTCCAAAGGAACACAACTCCTTGCCAGCAAGGGAACAAAACTGGATGGAGAATGAGTTTGACAAGTTGACGGAAGTAGGCTTCAGAAGATTGGTAATAACAAACTTCTCTGAGCTAAAGGAGCATGTTCTAACCCATTGCAAGGAAGCTAAAAACCTTGAAAAAAGGTTAGATGTATGGCTAACTAGAATAACCAGTGTAGAAAAGAGCTCAAGTGACCTAATGGAGCTGAAAACCACAGTATGAGAACTTTGTGAAGCATACACAAGCTTCAAAAGCCAATTCGATCAAGCAGAAGAAAGGATATCAGTGATTGAAGATCAAATTAATGAAATAAAGCATGGCTACAAGATTAGACAAAAGAGTGAAAAGAAACGAACAAAGCCTCCAAGAAATATGGGACTATGTGAAAAGACGAAATCTACGTTTGATTGCTGTACCTGCAAGTGATGGGGAGAATGGAACCAGGTTGGAAAACACTCTTCAGGATATCATGCAGGAGAACTTCCCCAACCTAGCAAGGCAGGCCAACATTCAAATTCAGGAAATACAGAGAACACCACAAAGATACTCCTCAAGAAGAGCAATCCCAAGACACATAATTGTCAGATTCACCAAAGTTGAAATGAAGGAAAAAATGTTAAGGGCAGCCAGAGAGAAAGGTGGAATTACCCATAAAGGGAAGCCCATCAGATTAACAGAAGATCTCTTCGCAGAAACCCTACAAGCCAGAAGAGAGTGGGGGTCAATATTCAACATTCTTAAAGAAAAGAATTTTCAACCCAGAATTTCAAATCCAGCCAAACTAAACTTCATAAGTGAAAGAGAAATAAAATCATTTCCAGACAAGCAAATGCTGAGAGATTTTGCCACCACCAGGCCTGCCTTATAAGAGCACCTGAAGGAAGCACTAAACATGGAAAGGAACAACCGGTACCAGCCACTGCAAAAACATGCCAAAGTGTAAAGACCATCAATGCTATGAAGAAACTGCATCAACTAATGGGTGAAATAACTAGCTAGCATCATAATGACAGGATCAAATTCACACATAACAATATTAACCTTAAATGTAAATGGGCTAAATGCTCCAATTAAAAGACACAGACTGGCAAATTGGATAAAGAGTAAAGATCCATCAGTGTGCTACATTCAGGAGAACCATCTTACATGCAAAGACACACATAGGCTCAAAATAAAGGGATGGAGGAAGATATACCAAGCAAATGGAAAGCAAAAAAAAGCAGGGGTTGCAACCCTAGTCTCTGATAAAGCAGACTTTAAACCAACAAAGATCAAAAGAGACAAAGAAGGCCACTACATAATGGTAAAGGGATCAATTCAACAAGAAGAGCTAACTATCCAAAATATACATGTGCCCAATGCAGGAGCACCCAGATTCATAAAGCAAGTCCTTAGAGACACACAAAGAGACTTAGACTCCCACACAATAAAAATGGGAAAATTTAACACCCCACTGTCAACATTAGACAGATCAACAAGACAGAAGGTTAACAAGGATATCCAGGACTTGAACTCAGCTCTGCACCAAGTGGACCTAATAGACATCTACAGAACTCTCCACCCCAAATCAACAGAATTTACATTCTCATCAGCACTACATCGCACATATTCTAAAATTGACCACATAATTGGAAAACACTCCTCAGCAAATGTGAACAACAGAAATCACAAAAAACTGTCTCTCAGACCACAGTGCAATCAAATTAGAACTCAGGATTAAGAAACCCACTCAAAACTGCACAACTACATGGAAACTGAACAACCTGCTCCTGAACGACTACTGGGTAAATAATGAAATGAAGGCAGAAATAAAGATGTTCTTTGAAACCAATGAGAACAAAGACAAAAAGTACCAGAATATCTGGGACACATTTAAAGTAGGGTTAGAGGGAAATTTATAGCACTAAATGCCCACAAGAGAAAGCAGGAAAGATCTAAAATTGACACACTAATGTCACAATTAAAAGAACTAGAGAAGCAAGGGCAAACACATTCAAAAGCTAGCAGAAGACAAGAAAAAACTAAGATCAGAGCAGAACTGAAGGAGATAGAGACACACACACACACACACAAAAAAAAAAATCTTCAAAAAATCACTGAATCCAGGAGCTGGTTTTTTGAAAAAAATCAAAATAGACCGCTAGCAAGATTAGTAAAGAATAAAAGAGAGTAGAAACAATTAGATGCAATAAAAAATGATAAAGGGGATATCATCACTGATCCTACAGAAATACAAACTACCATCAGAGAATACTATAAACACCTCTACGCAAATAAACTAGACAATCTAGAAGAAATGGATAAATTCCTGGACACATACAAACTCCCAAGTCTAAACCAAGAAGAAGTTGAATCTCTGAATAGACCAATAACAGGTTCTGAAATTGAGGCAATAATTAATAGCCTACTGATTAAAAAAAAGTGCAGGACCAGATGGATTCACAGCTGAATTCTACCAGAGGTACAAAGAGGAGTTGGTACCATTCCTTCTGAAACTATTCCAATCAATAAAAAAAGGGGGAATCCTCCCTAACTCATTTTATGAGGCCAGCATCATCCTGATACCAAAGCCTGGTGCAGAGACAACAAAAAAAGAGAATTTTAGCCCAATATCGCTGATGAACATCTATGTGAAAATCCTCAATAAAATACTGGCAAACTGAATCCAGCAGCACATCAAAAACTTATCCACCACAATCAAGTCGGCTTCATCCCTGGGATGCAAGGCTGGTTCAACATATGCAAATCAATAAACGTAATCCATCACATAAACAGAACCAATGACAAAAACCACATGATTATCTCAATAGATGGAGAAAAGGCCTTCGACAAAATTCAACAACTTTTCATGCTAAAAACTAGGTATTGATGGAACATATCTCAAAATAATAAGAGCTATTTATGACAGACCCACAGCCAATATCATATTAAATAGGCAAAAACTGGAAGCATTCCTTTGAAAACTGGCACAAGACAAGGATGCCCTCTCTCACCACTCCTACTCAACATAGTATTGGAAGTTCTGGTCAGGGCAGTCAGACAAGAGAAAGAAATAAAGGGTATTAAATTAGGAAAAGAGAAAGTCAAATCATCTCTGTTTACAGATGACATGAATGTATATTTAGAAAACCCCATCATCTCAGCCCAAAATCTCCTCAAGCTAATAAGCAACTTGAGCAAAGTCTCAGCATAAAAAAATCAATATGCAAAAATCACAAGCATTCCTATACACCAAGGGCAGACGGAGAGCCAAATCATGAGTGAACTCCCATTCACAATTACTACAAAGAAAATAAAGTAGGAACCCAACTTACAAGGGATGTGAAGGACCTCTTCAAGGAGAACTACAAACCACTGCTCAATGAAATAAAAGAGGACACAAACAAATGGAAGAACATTCCATGCTCATGCATAGGAAAAATCAATAACGTGAAAATGGCCGTACTGCCCAAGGTAATTTATAGATTCAGTGCTGTTCCAATCAAGCTACCACTGACTTTCTTCACAGAATTAAAAAAAAAAAACTACTTTAAAGTTCATATGGAACCAAAAAGAGACTGCATTGCCAAGACAATCCTAAGCAAAAAGAACAAAGCTGGAGGCATCATGCTACCTGACTTCAAACTATACTTCAAGGCTACAGTAACCAAAACAGCATGATACTGGTACAAAAACAGATATATAGACCAATGGAAAAGAACAGAGGCCTCAGAAATAACACCACACATCTACAGCCATCTGATCTTTGACAAACCTGACAAAAACAAGCAATGGGGAAAGGGTTACCTGTTTAATAAATGGTGCTGTGAAAACTGACTAGCCATATATAGAAGGCTTAAACTGGATCCCTTCCTTACACTTTATACAAAAATTAACTCAAGATGGATTAAAGACTTAAATGTGAGACCTAAAACCATAAAAACCCTAGAAGAAAACCTAGGCAGTACCATTCAGGACATAGGCATGGGCAAAGACTTCATGACTAAAACACCAAAAGCAATGGCAACAAAAGCCAAAATTGACAAATGGGATCTAATTAAACTAAAGAGTTTCTGCACACCAAAAAAAAAAAAAAAAAAAACTATCACCAGAGTGAACAGGCAACCTACAGAATGGGAGAAAATTTTTGCAATCTATCCATCTGACAAAGAGCTAATACCCAGAATCTACAAGGAAGTTAAACAAATTTACAAGAAAAAACAACCCCATCAAAAAGTGGGCAAAGTATACAAACAGAGACTTCTGAAAAGAAGATATTTATGCAGCCAACAGACATATGAAAAAATGCTCATCATCACTGGTCATCAGAGAAATGCAAATCAAAACCACAATGAGATACCATCTCATGCCAGTTAGGATGGTGATCATTAAAAAGTCAGGAAACAACAGATGCTGGAGAGGATGTGGAGAAATAGGAACGCTTTTACACTGTTGGTGGGAGTGTAAATTAGTTCAACCATTGTGGAAGACAGTGTGGAAATTCCTCAAGGATCTAAAACTAGAAATACCATTTGACCCAGCAATCCCATTACTATGTGTATACCCAAATGATTATAAATCATGCTACTATAAAGACACCTGCACATGTATGTTTATTGCGGTACTATTCACAATAGTAAAGACTTGGAACCAACCCAAATTTCCATCAATAATAGACTGGATAAAGAAAATGTGGCACATATATACCATGGGATATTACGCAGCCATAAAAAGGATGAGTTCATGTCCTTTGCAGGGACATGCATGTAGCTGGAAACCATCATTCTCAGCAAAATATCACAAGGACAGAAAACCAAACACCTCATGTTCTCACTCATAAGTGAGAGTTGAACAATGAGAACACATGGCCACAGGGAGGGGAACATCACACACTGGGGCCTATTGGGGGTGGGGGATAGGGGAGGGATAGTATTAGGAGTAATACCTAATGTAAAAAATGAGTTAATGGGTGCAACCACCAACATGGCACATGTATACCTATGTAACAAACCTGCAGGTTGTGCACATGTACCCTAGAACTTAAAGTATAATAAATTGAAAAAAGACATCAAACTATAAATATTCTAGAAAAAAACCTAAGAAATACTCTTCTCAACATTGGCCTTGACAAAAAATTTATGGCTAAGTCCTAAAAACCAATTATAATTTAAAAAAATGACAAGTGCGGCCTAATTAAATTCAGGGGCTTCTGCATAGCAAGAGAAACTATCACCAGAGTAAACAGACACCCTGTAGAATGGGAGAGAATATTCACAAATGATGCATCTGACAAAGACCTAACATCCAGAATCTATAAGAAACTTAAACAAATCAATAAGCAAAAAACCAAATAGCCCCATTAAAAAGCGGGCAAAGAACACAGATAGATACTTTTCAAAAGATGACATACGAGTGGGCAACAGACATATTAAAAAATCTTCAACATCACTAATCATCCAAGAAATGCAAATCAAAACCACGAGTTACCATCTCATACCAGTCAGAATGGCATTTGTTAAAAAGCCAAAAAGTGACAGATGTTCATGAGAATGCAGAGAAAAGGAACGTTTATACACTGTTAATGGAAATGTAAATTAGTTTAGCCACTGTGGAGGGAAGTTTGGTGATTTCTCAAAGAATTGAGAGTTGAACTACCATTCAACTCAGCAATTATATTACTGGATATATACCCAAAGGAAAGTAAATCATTCTAGCATAAAGATGTATGCACTTGCATGTTCATTGCAGCACTATTCATAATAGCAAAAACGTGGAATCTATCTAGGTCCTCATCAACGGTGGATTGGATAAATAAAACGCAGTACATATACACTGTAGATTACTACACAGCCATAAAAAATAATGAAATAATGTCCTTTGCAGAAACGTGGATGGAGCTGGAGGCCATTATCTGAAGCCAATTAACAGAGGAACAGAAAACCAAATACAAGGTGTTCTCACTTAAAAATGGGAGCTAAACATTGGGCACACGTGAACATAAAGATAGCAGCAACAGACAATGGGGACTACTAGAGTGGGGAGGGTAGACAGTGCCAAGGACTGAAACACGACCTATTGGGTACTATGCTCAATACCTGGATGACAGGATCAATCGTACCCCAGACCTCAGTATTACACAATACATCCATGTAACAAACCTGTACATGTACCCCCTGAATCTAAAATAAAAGCTGAAAAAAGAATTGTCAAGTTTAGGGAAAGGAAGGCATGCTGGCTTATCTGTCAACTCTCCATGTTGGCACAGGACAAGACATACATTTTTCCCGTCTGGTCCTTGATTTCTCTCATTACCTAGTGTGGCATATTCTAGCAGGTCACATCACACTAGGGATGTGAGAATTTTTGCTAATTCTATGAACTTAAATGGCTTTTTCTCCATTCGCAGTACAGGGATCTTCATTTCCTTCAGGGCAAGGAAACTGACTTCTATTTTGTCATATGTTCTTCCTAATCTATTATTTATAAGTGAACTTTATTTCTCAAATCCCTCAGGGTTCTAGTATTTGGTTCTCAAAAAGGCTTGAAAATATTGCCTCCCATACATAATGTCTCTACAATGAGTTTTGAAAATGTATTTGGAAAAAAAAGAAAAAGGCAAAAATAGTTTTGTTGTAACCAGCACTTTGGAGGTAAATAATAAGTGCTATCTATAGGGAACAGGCATAAAAGAATAAAAATGAATTACTGAGAGGAAATTAGACTGGTTAAATTATTGTATTGGTATGTTTAGTCAATAAAGTTTTTAAAAGAGTAACGGTTATTTTAAGTCATATCTCCTCACGGATGAGGAATCAAAATGGCTGTGTCAGAGCATGTTGTAAAAGAGATTGTAACTGGAGAGTTCAACAATCCCTCGCAACTGATAGAAGCTAGACAGGAAATCAGCGAGGATATAGAAGGACCTCAAAAACCTACAGGATCTAATAAACATTTATAATACACTACCTCTTCTAAGTGTGCACAGAATAGTTATCAAAATAGACTATGACCTTAGCCATAAAAAAACCCAATAAATGTTTTAAAAATTGAATAATTCAGAGTATGTTATTTGATCACAAGTGAATACAAATAGAGATCAAAAGAAAAATAACAGGAAAGTCTCCAAACACTTGAAAACTAAACAGTTTTAAATATAAAATTAAATTAAATTAAACAAGGGGAGGGGTCAAGATGGCGGAGTAGAAGCCGCCAGCGTGCGCTGCTCTCAGGGAAAGGAGACAGGGTGGGGAGTAAACACTGACCCTGCAAGCTGATCCCCTAAGAAACTGTGTTAGGATCCACCAAGGCAGCGAGGGGACACAGAAAACAGAGGGGAGCAAAGCTGAGCAAGGGACCTGCCAGCCTGGGAATGGGAGATTGCCCCTGCCCCACAATCCACCTAGGCTGATACACGTAACTGCCTGGAGTCTTTGCGGAGGCAACATTCGGGTCCACAGGGACTCCCCCAGCACAGCCTGGTGCCGGTGCCACAGCTCCATAGAGGCCACCGTCAGTCGCAGTGCCAGAGAGCAGTTACGTTACTCCACCGCTCCTCAGCAGACAGGGCCCCGTGAGCAGCCGCTTCCAGACAGCAGCCCTGCTTCTGCTTGAACTCTGTAGGCAGCCACAGCTCCAGGTTCCCCCAGTGTGTCCGGAATTGGTGGGTTCTTGGTCTCACTGACTTCAAGAATGAAGCCGTGGACCCTCACGGGGAGTGTTACAGTTCTTAAAGACGGCGTGTCCAGAGTTTCTTCTATTTGATGTTCGGATGAGTTCGGAGTTTCTTCTTTCTGGTGGGTTCGTGGTCTCGCTGGCTCAGGAGTGAAGCTGCAGACCTTCGCGGTGAGTGTTTCAGCTCTTAAAGGTGGTGTGAACCCAAACAGTGATCAGTACCAAGATTTATTGCAAAGACTTAAAGAACAAGTCTTCCACTTGCGGAAGGGCACCCCAGCGGCTTGCCAGTGCTAGTTCGGGCAGCCTGCTTTTATTGTCTTATCTGGCCCCACCCACATCCTGCTGATTGGTCCATTTTACAGAGAGCAGAGTGGTCTGTTTTGACAGGGTGCTGATTGGGGCGTTTGCAATCCCTGAGCTAGACATAAAGGTCCTCCACGTCCCCACTAGATTAGCTAGATACAGAGTGTCCATTGGTGCATTCACAAACCCTGAGCTAGACACAGGGTGCTGATTGGTGTGTTTACAAACCTTGAGCTAGATACAGAATGCTGATTGGTGTATTTACAATCCCTTAGCTAGACATAAAGGTTCTCCAAGTCCCCACCAGACTCAGGAGCCCAGCTGGCTTCACCCAGTGGATCCCGCACAAGGACTGCAGGTGGAGCTGCCTGCCAGTCCCACGCCATGCACCCGCACCCCTCAGCCCTTGGGTGGTCGATGGGACTGGGCGCCGTGGAGCAGGGGTTGGTGCTTGTCGGAGAGGCTTGGGCTGCACAGGAGCCCATGGAGAGGGGGAGGCTCAGGCATGGCGGGCTGCAGGTCTCGAACCCTGCCCCGCGGGAAGGCAGCTAAGGCCTGGTGAGAAGTTGACCGCAGCGCCGGTGGGCTGGCACTGCTTGGGGACCCAGTACACCCTCCGCAGCCTCTGGCCCGGGTGCTAAGCCCCTCATTGCCCGGGGCCGGCAGGGGCCGCCAGCTGCTGCGAGTGTGGGGCCCGCCAAGCCCACGCCCACCCGGAACTCCAGCTGGCCCGCAAGGGCCGCGCGCAGCCCCGGTTCCCGCTCGTGCCTCTCCCTCCACACCTCCCTGCAAGCTGAGGGAGCCGACTCCGGCCTTGGCCAGCCCAGAAAGGGGCTCCCACAGTGCAGCGGTGGGCTGAAGGGCTCCTCAAGTGCCCCCAAAGTGGGAGCCCAGGCACAGGAGGCGCCTCAGAGCTGAGAGGACTGCCAGCACGCTGTCACCTCTCACCAGGAAGCACGTGGATGGTGGGAGGCGGTGACTTCATTTGCCTTTGCTGTTCATAGCGGGGCAGGCCAGGCCTGCAAGAGCCTCCAGCAGAGTGAACCCACTTCCGCCTGAATTCTGGGGGCAGGTGCAGCTCCAGGTCCCCCCAGGAAACACACCTGGATGACAGTGCAGGCAACCACACTCACCCATGCTGCTCCCAGCCAGGTGGAACATGCCAGTTGGGGATTCCAACACTGTGGAGCCACCTCTGCCTGAACTCTGTGGGTGGGAAAAGTTCCAGTTCCCTTGGGAAGCGCCCAGTCACTGGATAGGGTCACTCCACGCACCCCCACTGCTGGCAGCCTGTTGGGACTTGCCGGCGTCTGCAATGCCCAAGAAGTGGGGAAGGTGTCATTTTCAACGCTGAGAAGAGTTAGGTGCCGGGGATTGCAGAGTGAGTGGAGTGACAAGGCATACCTCCCTCCAAAGGACCTGCTGTGAAGGGTCCTGCTGCTCTCTCCCTGAGAGAGCCCTATGGACCACAACACCTAACAAAGGAAAGGCAGGTACAAAGCCAGTGATCACAGGGAGCTTCTCTAATGCTCGCGAGTGGACCCGGTTAGGAGTCATCTCTCTCCTCCACTCGCCACCGCAGAGCACTACTGCAACTACACCACATACCACCACAGAGCACTCCTGCAACTGCACCAAACACCACCACAGAGCACTACTGCAACTACACCAAACACCACCACAGAGCACTGCTGCAACTACACCAAACACCACCACAGAGCACAAATGCAACTACACCAAACACCACCACAGAGCACAAATGCAACTACACCAAACACCACCACAGAGCACAAATGCAACTACACCAAACACCACCACAGAGCACAAATGCAACTACACCAAACACCACCACAGAGCACAAATGCAACTACACCAAACACCACCACAGAGCACAAATGCAACTACACCAAACACCACCACAGAGCACTACTACAACTACACCAAACACCACCACAGAGCACAAATGCAACTACACCAAACACCACCACAGAGCACAAATGCAACTACACCAAACACCACCACAGAGCACTCCTGCAACTACACCAAACACCACCACAGAGCACTACTGCAACTACACCAAACACCACCACAGAGCACTCCTGCAACTGCACCAAACACCACCACAGAGCACAAATGCAACTGCACCAAACACCACCACAGAGCACAAATGCAACTACACCAAACACCACCACAGAGCACTCCTGCAACTGCACCAAACACCACCACAGAGCACTACTACAACTACACCGAACACCACCACAGAGCACTCCTGCAACTGCACCAAACACCACCACAGAGCACAAATGCAACTGCACCAAACACCACCACAGAGCACAAATGCAACTACACCAAACACCACCACAGAGCACTCCTGCAACTGCACCAAACACCACCACAGAGCACTACTACAACTACACCAAACACCACCACAGAGCACAAATGCAACTGCACCAAACACCACCACAGAGCACTCCTGCAACTGCACCAAACACCACCACAGAGCACAAATGCAACTGCACCAAACACCACCACAGAGCACAAATGCAACTACACCAAACACCACCACAGAGCACTCCTGCAACTGCACCAAACACCACCACAGAGCACTACTACAACTACACCAAACACCACCACAGAGCACTACTACAACTACACCAAACACCACCACAGAGCACTCCTGCAACTGCACCAAACACCACCACAGAGCACAAATGCAACTGCACCAAACACCACCACAGAGCACAAATGCAACTACACCAAACACCACCACAGAGCACTCCTGCAACTGCACCAAACACCACCACAGAGCACTACTACAACTACACCGAACACCACCACAGAGCACTCCTGCAACTGCACCAAACACCACCACAGAGCACAAATGCAACTGCACCAAACACCACCACAGAGCACTGCTGCAACTACACCAAACACCACCACAGAGCACAAATGCAACTACACCAAACACCACCACAGAGCACAAATGCAACTACACCAAACACCACCACAGAGCACAAATGCAACTACACCAAACACCACCACAGAGCACTCCTGCAACTACACCAAACACCACCACAGAGCACTACTGCAACTACACCAAACACCACCACAGAGCACTACTACAACTACACCAAACACCACCACAGAGCACTACTACAACTACACCAAACACCACCACAGAGCACTCCTGCAACTGCACCAAACACCACCACAGAGCACAAATGCAACTGCACCAAACACCACCACAGAGCACTCCTGCAACTGCACCAAACACCACCACAGAGCACTACTACAACTACACCGAACACCACCACAGAGCACTCCTGCAACTGCACCAAACACCACCACAGAGCACAAATGCAACTGCACCAAACACCACCACAGAGCACTGCTGCAACTACACCAAACACCACCACAGAGCACAAATGCAACTACACCAAACACCACCACAGAGCACAAATGCAACTACACCAAACACCACCACAGAGCACAAATGCAACTACACCAAACACCACCACAGAGCACAAATGCAACTACACCAAACACCACCACAGAGCACAAATGCAACTACACCAAACACCACCACAGAGCACTCCTGCAACTGCACCAAACACCACCACAGAGCACTACTGCCAACTGCACCAAACACCACCACAGAGCACAAATGCAACTCCACCAAACACCACCACAGAGCACAAATGCAACTGCACCAAACACCACCACAGAGCACAAATGCAACTACACCAAACACCACCACAGAGCACTATTACAACTGCACCAAACACCACCACAGAGCACTCCTGCAACTACACCAAACACCACCACAGAGCTCTACTACAACTACACCAAACACCACCACAGAGCACTCCTGCAACTACACCAAACACCACCACAGAGCAGTACTACAACTGCACCAAACACCACCACAGAGCAGTACTGCAACTACACCAAACACCACCACAGAGCACTCCTGCAACTACACCAAACACCACCACAGAGCTCTACTACAACTACACCAAACACCACCACAGAGCACTCCTGCAACTACACCAAACACCACCACAGAGCAGTACTACAACTGCACCAAACACCACCACAGAGCAGTACTGCAACTACACCAAACACCACCACAGAGCACTCCTGCAACTACACCAAACACCACCACAGAGCTCTACTACAACTACACCAAACACCACCACAGAGCACTCCTGCAACTACACCAAACACCACCACAGAGCATTACTGCAACTGCATGAAATACCACCACGAAGCACTACTGCCAACTGCACCAAAATAGAAAAGAACCCTGTGAGTAAGAGCCTATCCACCGGCCTACCCTGTTAAACCTCACCTACTGGATCACAGCCCAAGATACCTGCGAAAACTACGGCAGAAATCCAGGTACAAATAAAGATTCTAAATGGTCTTGGCCCTCTGAAAACACTGAGAAATGAAGCCAGCTGACTATCCTCAACTTACATCACAGTGAAAGGAACACCAGACCTCACACATGAGAAAGAATCAGTGCAAGAACTCTGGAATCTCAAAAAGCCAGTGTGTTCTCCTGCCTCCGAACACACATACTAGTTCCCCAGAAATGGCTCTTAGCCAGAGTGAGATGACTCAAATGAAAGCCGTAGAATGCAGAACCTGAATGGCAAGGAGATTCAGATGAAAGTTGAAACACAATTCAAGGACTCAAAGATATTGAGTAAGGTGATCCAGGAGCTGAAAAACAAAATGACCATTTTAAGAAAGAACCAAACTGACCTTCTGGAACTAAATAATTCACTTCAAGAATTTTATAATAAAACCAAAAGCATCAACATCAGATAGATCAAGTTCAGGAAAGAACCTCAGAGCTTGAAGTCTGGTTCTTCAAAGCAACTCAGTGAGACAAAAATAAAACATAATTTTAGAAAATGAACAAAACCTCCAAGAAATATAGGACTATGGAAAGAGACCAAATCTGTGACTCATTAGCATATACCTGAAAGAAACTCTACAATCTTTAGCGCATGGCTTCCAAGGTCACTCTGCTTATTTCCTTCCCAGCTGAGAGAAACAGGGAACTGAATATGGAGCACCCATGCTGCCACCTGGAACACCCCAGCCTCAAGTAGTACATACCATTTTTCATTTACATTCTGCTGCCTAAATTAGTCATCTTGTCACCCCTAACTTTAAGGGTGCATGAGAAATGCAATCTATATGTGTGCTCAGTAAGAGCAGTAGCATACATGTTGGTGAACAACTATCACTCTGATAGAATCACTATTATCAAATTGTAAGGGGAGGGTATACAAATGCAATAAGGGAGACAATGGGAGATAGATTTAAAAGCAACTTGTCTCTATTTTTATTGAATGTAGCTCTATAATATCAGAGTAGCTTAGGTAGTATAAAGGTCTAAGAGCCAACCACAGTAGAGAGAATTTATCACTGACATGCTCTGAATACAAAGAAATATTACCAGTACTATCATCTCGGAATTCCTTCACTGTAAAGTTAGAGTCATCCTCTATGAATAACACTAATATCCAATAATGCAAATTTGAATACAGCAAATATTAAATGCATATGTCTATATGAATCAGCTCAATAAATAATTATGGATTAATTAATCAAATAGAGTTCTATTCCTTTCTAGGGTTATTCCCTGGAATATCTTATCACTTGGTAAAGTACCGTTTGGTTGTAAAGTTGGATCTTTAATGTCAAAAGAAAGATTAATATGTGATACGGTTTGGATGTTCGTCCCCTCCAAATCTCGTGCGGAAATATGATCCCCAGTGTTGGCAGTGGGGGCTGGTGAGCAGTGTTTTTGTCATGGCAGGGGATCCCTCATGAATGGCTTGGTGTGTCCCTGTGGTAATGAATGAGTTCTTACTCTATTAGCCACATGAGAGCAGATTGTTAAAAAGAGCCTGGCAGCACCTCCTCTCCCTCTTTCTCTTTCTCTCACCATGTAACACACCTGCTCCCCCTCCACCTTCTGCTACAATTGTAAGTGCCCTGAGGCCTCACCAGAAGCAGATGCTGACACCATGCTTGTACAGCAAACAGAACTGTGGGCCAAATAATCCCTTTTTCTTCGTAAATTGGCCAGCCTTAGCTATTGCTTTATAGAAACACAAAATGAACTAATACAATATGTTTTACCAAAAACACGATTTTACTTGATAAAGTTATTTAAAGAATTGTTTGCATTTCATATTGAATATTACATTTTAAAACAGATCAATTACAGCAAAATTTTGAAAAATATTAAAAGGTAGGAGAGGAATAAAATCTTTAATCCTTGTCTGTTTTCATTAAACTTTTTCTAACCATAGTGTCTTAATGGGCTGTAAATGTCAGTTTGCTGTAAATCTGCTAGAAATGCTAAAGTTGATCTTTAAATTTTATATGGTTTTAAAGCTACTGATTAAAATGTGAAAGAAAATAATTTTGTCTAGAGTTATTCTTTTTGTGTTTATGTGTGTATGTAATTTGTGTATGTTTATACAGTTTTAAAGTTTGCATGGGTCAATAATAGCAATCTCAATACAAATGCAAGAGAGAAGGGCAATAGTTAGAAATATTTTACACAAACAAAACAAAACAAAAAAAGACACACATATAACAGTCAGCCACTAACAACAAAAAATGGGATTGGTTGCTTTGATTAACTTTATATGGATATGGTACAGGAAGTCATTTAGTGAGAGTCCATTGTCTATTTGTCTGCAGCATTGGAAGTGCAGGCAGTCTGAGCTGGAGAAGACAGAGTTGAATTTGATAAGGCTCATCTACAATCAAAATCAGACGACATTCTTACACTGGAACACATCACTGTTTCAATAAACTTTATATTTTTATTTAACTCAAAATTAAACCAATATTTTAAGGAAGCTTTTATAAGATTTACCTTCTATTTTTTAAAATTATGGATACATATTAGTTGTACATATTTATGAGGTCCGTGTGATGTTATTATATAAGCATACAATGTATAATGATTAAGTCAGGGTAACTGGGATACCTATCACCTCAACACTTATAATTTCTTTGTGTTAGGAACATTCCAATTCTACTCTTTTGGTTATTCTGAAATAGGGAATACATGATTGTTAACTATGGTTGTTCTATTGTGCTACCAAACACTAGATCTGATTCCTTCTATCTAACTACACTTCTGTACCCATTAACTACCTGTTCTTCTTACCCCCGCCCCACCACCCTTCCCGACTTCTGGTGACCACCATTCTACTCTGTCTCCGTGAGTTTCATTTTTTTTTAGCTCCCACGTATGACGAAGAATATGAGAAATTTGTCTTTCTGTGCCTGGCTTATTTTACTTCACATAATGTCCTCCAGTTCTATCCACAATGCTGTGAATGACAGAGTTTAATTCTTTTTTATGGCTAAACAATATTCCTTTGTGCATATACAACACATTTCCTTTATCCATTCATCCATGGATGAACACTGAACTTGATTCC
Source organism: Homo sapiens (assembly GCF_000001405.40). NCBI lineage: Eukaryota > Metazoa > Chordata > Mammalia > Primates > Hominidae > Homo > Homo sapiens. The sequence goes on along the minus strand of NC_000004.12, from coordinate 189,229,597 downwards.
ATATCTCAGCTATTGTGAGTGGTGCTGCCATGAACGTGGGAGTGTGGATATCCGTTTAACATGCTAATTTCTTTATTTTGCGTCTATACCCAGCAGTGGAATTCCTGAATCATATAATAGTTCTGTTTCAGTTTTCTGAGGAGCTGCTAAACTCTTCTCCATAGCAGTTGTACTAATTTACATTCCCAACAACAGTGTACAAGGGGTCCCCTTTCTCTTTTTGAACAATATTTAGATAAAAATTAATCTTAGGAGTAAATATAAGATTGATTACTTACTGTGGAAGTGCCATTCTGAATGAAATGTCTGTTCCATTTTAAAACATCATAAAAACATTTTCCCTCAGCGTATGTTTTCCTTAAGTGTTCAAGTTAAACAATGTGTTATGCAACTTAAGATGAAAATAGAGTGGAAAAAAATTGAGTAACAATTCAATTGTTGCTACTCTGTATGTGATTCTTTAAGGAATTGATACATGTGTTTGTTCTTAGATCAAACTGAGTATTTTACTTAACTGCTAAGCAGGTTTCTCTGTAAAAGTTCTGCAGGCCTCCTAAGTGAAAAAAAAAATTTGCTGTTGCATAACATCATACAAGCAATTTGCATGAGAGAATTAGTTCAAAAACCAGGAAGGCATTTACTGTCTCATCAAAGCATGTGCTGGTATCCCCTAGGCTAATCTGAAGTACATCAGGCAATTGCCCCTAGGGCATGTCCTTTATTTAAAGGGATTTCTCTTGCACTGTAGTATGTTTAACATGGCCCAAAAGAATATAAATAAAACTAAAATTTCACACAGCGTTTTGTGAATTGTTTATTGGTGATGTATTACTCCAGGAGGATACTGGCTGTAAGAATAAGTTGCTTTTTTTAAATTTTTTGAGACAGAGTTTCATTCGTTGCCCCGGCTGGAGTGCAGTGGCACAATCTCAGCTCACTGTAACATCCACCTCCTGGGTTCAAGCGATTCTCCTGCCTCAGCCTCCCAAGTAGCTGGGATTACAGGCATGCACCACCATGCTCAGCTAATTTTGTATTTTTAGTAAAGACAGGGTTTCACCATGTTGGTCAGACTGCTCTCGAACTCCTGACCTCAGGTGATCTGCCCGCCTTGGCCTCCCAAGATGCAAGGATTACAGGAGTGAGCCACCGCGCCTGGGGTATAAATTGCTTTTTAAACTAAAATTTTTAGACTCTACTTTTGCCTCTTAAAAAAGAATTATTTTCGTTTCTATGAAACTTTGTTTTCCTCGTAGAGAAGAAAGTTAAGATCTTGTTATAGAGTTTCAAATAACTTCCTTTTGCTTTTATCCAGTTGATTTCTCTATTAGTTTAAAATTATTTGAAACTGAGAGAAAACAGTTTCTTTTTATATAAACCAGACACTCCTCCAAAATGGGAGAAGAAAATGATCTAACTTTTCAGCTTTTCATTACAATTTTAAACTAATTCAGGGACTATGTTCTTGCAAAGTGTCTATGACTTGTGCAGTACATTACACATAGGGAGGTCTTTAAACAGTCTAGAGAAATATTTCTCAGATAACATTTGACAGGGATTTTTTTTCCTCATTTTCACAAAATACAGAATTAAAAGCCTCACCTAGAGTTGCTTCTTTATGAACACGTCATATTTTCCAAGATGACAGGTAAACAAAGGAGATCTCCTTATAGTTTAGTGAAAACTATAATATTAAATTTTAAGTTTTTCAAAACTAAAGACCATATTTTGATCATAGTCACATTCCCAAGAGAATCTAATGTAGTATTCTAATGAAAATAAGTTCTTAATAATTTTTTTCCCTAAACTTAACAGAAATAGACAAAACATGAGAGACAAGTGGCCCAGTTTAAATTGTAGAATCCTCCTTTCCTAGGGTCTGCAATATTTAGTGTTTCAAATTGTAACAAATCAGCTCCAAAAGGCCAGTGGCCCTCATAGAGCCTTGTTACTGTGGGAGTAGCAGCCTGATGCGGCTGTGCATATTGGTGTACAGTTACCCCACGACTCTGGAACCTGAGTTCCTTCCTTCCCATGGCTTTGCTGCTTTCTAGGCTCTCCTCAGCCTCTGCATTCACCTAACAGAAGACTAAAGAGAATGGGAGAGGCACAACCACTTCTTGAAGTCTGAGTGGGACACTCATCATCATTATTCACTAGTTATATTGGCTGGAACTAATCACGTGGCCAGACACAGATTCGATGGGGAGGCAACTGGTGGACAGGAGGATTTTAGGCAGAAGTGATTAAAATCAAAGCAAGGAGGCATTAAAGTGCCTCGTATATTCCAAGAATGGAATATCCCAGTGTCTGCTTGTCTCCAGAATTATGTGTAGAGAGTGAGTGATAGGGACTGGAGCCAAAAGAATGTAAAACTAAAGTGTGAAGGAACTTGAAAACTGGGTGGGTGGAGGGATATTTTGGAGTCTGTATATTTTTTTATGGCAGGGTCTTGTTCAGTGGCCTAGACTGGAGTGCAGTGGGGCCATCATAGCTCATGCAGCCTCAACCTCCTGGGCTCCAGTAAGCCTCCCTCCTCAGCCTCTTGAATAGCAGGGACTAAAGTGCATGCCACTATGCCTGGTTAATTTTAAACATTTTTTATGGAGATGGGGTCTTGCTCTGTTGTCCAGGCTGGAGTATAGTGGCATGATCATGGCTCACTGCAGCCTCAACCTCCCGGGATCAAGTGAACCTCCTTCCTCAGCCTCCTGAGGAGCTGGGACTCCAGTCGGCACAACCGCACCCAGCTAAATTTTTAATTTTTATTTTGTAGATATGAGGTATCTTTATGTTGCCCAGGCTGGTCTTGAACTACAGGGCTCAAGGCATCCTCCTGCCTCAGCCTACCAAAGTGCTGTAAGCATGTCACCTAGCTTGGCTCCGTATTTTAGAATACAATGTTTATTTCTAGCTCCATGGCAGATTGGAATCATGAAAGCTGAGATGAGGCTGAGGGAAATGCAGAGGCTTTGGAGAGAAGCTCATCACTGGGCAGAGTAGTTGCCTTCATGTTTATTCAATGCTGGAAGTGGGAGGAAGACACTTAGGTTCTCCATGTGCTAAGTGCCGACTTGTGTGGCATCAAGACACACAGCCCAAGGAATCAAGATCTAGTGATTGTGACAGCTAAACCTGGAGGTTTCATCATCAGAACCCCTCTAGATCCTTGGAAAATATATGTGTATACATATGATCTTTGGAAATAAAATTTTCACTTCATCCACACAGCTTTTCTCCCTCCATTTTTACCTATGACAAATAATTAAACTGTTCACCAACACATGCCTATTTCAAAACTTTTTTCTCAGGATATATTTTGCTTCTAGACTGAAACATAAAAATTTAGTTTCATTATCATCAAAATGTGTTGGGTTTCTCTATGAGCTAAAGCATCACTGGAACCTACCAAATGTATATATTGAAGGACTTACGACAATCCAGTTATTACTTTAAGTATGAAGCATTTATTGCTATTTGTATGTTTTCTCTATTAAAAAGTCAATGATGAACATGATGCTACATTTTTATGTAGTCTTGGTTCTCTTTAGAAAAAATGTATGAGTATAGTGAGAATGAAGCTGCATAACTAAGAAAATAATTTGATAACCAAGTACTGTTGCTTTAAATATGATCTAGAATATAATAGCCTCTTATATACAAACATATTAATAATAATTTATTTTCTAGCATGACATAATATACCAAAAAGGGGTTGTTAGCTACCTTTTTGTAGTTGTTGTTTTTCTGAGATGGAGTCTCGCTCTTTCGCCCAGGCCAGACTGCAGTGGCTCAATCTCGACTCACTGCAAGCTCCGCCTCCCGGGTTCATGCGATTCTCCTGCCTCAGCCTCCCGAGTAGCTGGGACTACAGGCGCCCGCCACCGCGCCCGGCTAATTTTTTGTATGTTAGTAGAGACAGGGTTTCACCGTGTTGGCCAGGATGGTCTCGATCTCCTGACCTTGTGATCTGCCCGCCTCGGCCTCCCAAAGTGTTGGGATTACAGGCATGAGCCACTGAGCCTGGCCAGCTACCTTTATTTTGTTGTTGGATAATTAGATAATCAATATTGCTGATAATAGTAAGTAATTTCATTTTTTTTTTCATTTGTTTTGTGAGCAATAAAAAATAACCATATGAAAGAGTTGAAACTTGCTTTCTGGCACAAAAAAAACATTGAAAATGCCTGTTCTACATAGCTGTTTGCAGTGCAGCAGCACAAGGATCCCTGTGGGAGAAAATGAATATTGAAATATTTTTCCTTTTTATTTCAGATTTTCATGAATGATAAAAATGCCTTTGAGGAATGAACAGAAAAGCTACATAAATTGAATTATAATGGCAAAGTAAAATACCAAATTAATCAGAAAATCTAGATGAAATCCCATTGTTCCGTGAAAATAAAAAATCATTATTATTATTTTTTTTTTACTTCTTGGTTAATTGCAATGGATGATATACTGAATGTCAAATCTTAGGAAATTGACAATTAATTTAGAAGAGAATCTGAAAGTCATTTTATTTATTCAAATGAAAGAAACATTTATACATATAAGTTGGAACAGTGTGACTGTAATGCAGCATATTCAACCGTATTATGTGCAATGTTAGAGTCCAGATGACAGTCTTCTTCACTTCCAAATGAAATGTAAAATTGGCTTTATAAAGTTTTTCTTTAGAAAATACAAAGAAAGATTCAGCTCTTCCCCTGGCTGGCAAATGAACCAATGTTGTAATGCCTGCTATTGGTATTTTAAAAGTTGTTCTGCCAATCTGAGGACACTAAAGAGCTATTTCTAAATAATAGAACACTTCTATTTATAGTTTTAGAAAACTATAAAATGAGAACAAGTCGTCATTCCTCTGTAATGCTTGCTAACTTGCTATGTAGTTAGAAAAATTTTAGAACCAAGTATTATTTCTCACACATCAGCTTAGCAAAACTAGAAAACTTTGAATGTGCTCTTTTGGCAAGATGCGGAGAATCAGTTGCTCTGATTTCTTGTTGGAGGTGCAAATAGAATCTCTATGGGGAGAACTAATTTGATAATATCTAAGAAACTTGTTACTCCTTGTATTACTTGACTGAGCAATACCAACTCTATAAATATAACTGTAAGACTCACCTCCACAAACAGGGGAAATGTACAAGTTTATTCAGTATGCCATTATTGGTAAAAACAAAAAACTAAGGAATAAAATTAATGCCCACCAACATAGAACACATCACCAAGTGGAATGTTGTTAACTGTAAACACACACACACACACGCGCACTCACACACACAGAGAGAGAGAATGAAAAATCACTAGGATATATTTGTAAGCAATCAAAGCAGGGGATGCAGGATATACTGTGTACATTACATTAAAAAAGGGGAAATAAGAATATATCCAAACATTAGACACATATCTGAATATCAAACTAGGAACTAACAAAAATTATGGATAAGAACAGGGTAGACAAGTTTGCAAGACTTGTATGAGTATGTTTAAAACAATAGTTTTGATCTTTAATCATACAAGTATTTTACATATATAAAAAATACATTAAAGACAACAAAAACAAATGCTAACATTGAAAATATTAACAAGAAAAACAGTAGAATATTCTTACAGACTAAGCATGATGGTGTTGGACATCGGAGTCAAGAAGCTAGCTAGAGAATTGATAGGAGGGCATGTGTGGTTGTAGTCACCATCCATAATTTAGAGGTCATCCCCACCATCACAGTATTGAATCATGCAACAGACATTCTGTCTTCACATAACATTTCACTCAATACTTTTTCCTGGAACTGAGCTGGCAGGTTATACCATGACTTTTTCTAGAATGTTCCTTAAAAAAGCTGGCACAGTTTAGTTTTTATTGTGAGATGGCTGGGAAAACAGGTCACTGTGTTCACTGAGCTCTTCAGGGATTGTGATGAGCCAAACTGACAATTTATGTTCTGATTGCTTTATCCATAATGCACAGAGCTGGTCAAAGGAGTCATTGAAAAGAAGAAAAATAGACACTGATTACAGCACAAGTCAAGTGTGCAAATAAACATCACAATCTCATTTTGACATCCTAGGACTGTGGTTCGGTATCATGTCATCCATCTTTCATAGGCAGTTCAGCAACCCTCAGTCATGCCCTAAGCAGGGTCAGTGGTGACCGTCCTGCACTGGTGCAGTCACCCAGCAGATGCGTGGTCAATGGATGCTTCCATCATGCCTCTTCCAGACCCTGAAACCTAAACCTCTCTCAGATCAAATTCAAAAATCTCTGGCTTGACATGCCAGGTTCTTGGTGTTCCCATTCCACTTTCCTCTCTAGCTTGCTGAGATGATTCTATTCTTTATACATATATATCTAGCCTGTAATACTTTCTCTCTTCTAAATATCATGACCATTTTTTTCCTATGCTTTTCCATTCTTTTTTTCCATCACTAAAGATCTAACCTTTCTTCTCTTTTTCTGTCTTAATAAGACCACCTCTTTTTGATTTCATAATGGCAGCTTCTAACAATTTATTTTTCTCTTCATATTAACCTTTTTGATTATACAATTCACTATATAATATTAGAACATCTCTACGTTTTCTTCAGATAAATAGGTATTTAAAAGTAATTTCCACTGACAATTATAAAATTTCTAAAAATCTATTTTCTAACACCTTCCAGAATTGGAGAATTAGATGTTATTGACTTAATGATGCACCAGAATAATTTTTTCAACACATCCAGTTGAAAAAAACCTATTAATATAAAATATCCTATGCTATTTAATCTTTATTAGACTTTTTAAACATGCATATTTTATAATTACATATAAGATTATTTAAATTGATATAATTTCCCCACATTGGGGGAAATCCTTGATATCTATCTAATTATTCACTATCCAGATAAATTACAAACTTAATCCCAAAATATTAATTTTATTATCTAAATATTTGAAAAGAATGTTCTTATTTGAAGTAATACTTTATTTTTTCCCAAGCACTGGGTCCAGTACTTGATAATGGAGTTGCTGGGTTTGCAAGATGCATGAATTTGGAGGTTTCCACTCATCCTGTCACTATATTGATGGAAGACACCCCTACTGATGTCTAAGATTCTACAATTAGAAGTGTATTAATTTGACCAAAGTCTTTTATATTAAAATTTATATAATAAACATTCAAATGTGCTAAGAATTCCATAAAATAATGTATGAACTTGAAAAACCTAATTAGCTAGTGAAAAATTATGTAAATCAGCTGAATCCCTGAAGGAAAAGTTTGGGTTGGAGGGAGTATGTGGTCACTTAGCGGCTGGGAGGAAGTGCACAGCCAAGATGAGCAGAAGTGCACAAAAGATGAAGGACTCTGCTATGCCAAGATGAACTAAAATTACTCTTGTATTGCCTGGTGGACAGAACATATATTTCTAAAGAAAATATATTTCTAAGATATTTATGAATGAAGAGATCCAGAGAATTGTGCTTTAAATATTTATCTGGCACTAAATTTAAAAACATGTTGACACTTTGCTGCTGATTTTTAAATACCCAGATATGGAATGACAGTCAAATTGTTTTCTGTAAATTCTGAAGGACACAGAACGTGTGTGAATAGACATGACTTCTTGGTTTAACTCCCTTCTGGTTGCAGTGGCTGCCCTTTAGCCTTTTAAATTGTAGTCTTGTTAGTTTTACAATACAGATCAAACTACCCTTTGACACCAGCTGCTCTGAGTGGCTGGCACCACACACTAGATATTTTGCAATAAAACATCACATGGTCAGGAAAAGCTAAATCCGACTGGATGTTGATGATCAATACACATGCTACTGGAAAAAACAAATCAATGTTCGCCTCATCAGATCTCCGCTTTGTTCTTACAAATGGTTTTTTCTATCCTGACAGTATGAGAGGTCATCTAATTTAATTAATAGAACCTAATATAACCTCTAGTGAAAAAAAGTCAGAAAACTGCTATTAATAATTTTTTACTTTTAATAGAAATATGAGGAAGAATAGTAGAATTTGAAATAGCAAGTTGTGATAAATTAATAATTCAGTGCTAGTTTTATAACCCTATTATAAAATGGCCTTCTTTAGTACTCATTCAAAGTCAATGCCCATTGACTTTCTGTAAGATCAACAGACAGACAATGAAAATAAAATTAAATATGGATAGCACTGTCGTTGTACCTATAGAAATAAATAAAATAGTCTCCGTTTTAGAAGACAATGAAAATAAAATTAAATATGGATAGCACTGTCATTGTACCTATAGAAATAAATAAAATAGTCTCCATTTTAGAAGTTCTATGGATTTCTACATCTTGTCATATACTGTGTTCTGTTTCTTTTCTTCCATGATAGTATAAATAGCCACTTGCCTTTTTTGAATATCTTCTTTTTTTTTTTTTTTTTGGTAAACTGAGGGGGCTGGGTTAGATGGTCTTTAAAATAACTTTAGATCCAAATATAAAGGTTAATTTACATACTTTTAAAAACCAGAAGTCTTTCCTACTTGGAGTTTTGGTGAAATCAAGAAAAAAATGGTGGGAAATGGCATACATATTTCTTTTATATAAAAAATAAATAATGACGTAAATTACTAAAATTTTATATTTTTGAAATTTAGTTACTTACATATTATTTAGTAACACACTACTATGTAGTCATGATATAATTTTTTTATTTTGCTCACCAAATAATTATAGGTACGCAGTGAATAAAATAATAATATCTGCCATAAAGCAACAACTGAAAAATGTGGCAATTGTGAATATTCCTATGTAAGTATTTGTAGACATTTTTATTTCTATTAGGGAAATATCTAGAATTAGAATTGTGGGGTTATAAGTACAATTTTGGCTGTTTAATACAACTTTTTTTGCAAACCAGTTCTACCATTTTCCAGTTTCACCAACAACATATGAACATTCCCATTGCACTCCACCCTTGCCCATGTTAGATTTTATCATTTTTTTCTATTTCTTCTATATCTGCTAGAGGTTTTAATTTACATTTCCCTGGATACAAGTGATACTGAGCACATTTCATGTAGATATTGGTCATTTATAATCTTTCCTTGAAATGACTGCTAAGATTTTTCATAGGAGGTTATTTTAGCTTTTATTATTAGTTATAGAAATTCTTTATAAGTATTGGATTTATCAAGATTTCAGCTCTTTGTTAAGGATTGTTTTGTCAATATTTGTTCCAAGTGCATTCTTTGTCCATTTTTTTCAATGATGGAGTTTTTATGAACAGAAATTCTTTCATTTTAATGGACTGCATCAATTGTCACTATTATTTAATTCTGTACCATGAGAAATAATTGTCAAAGAGAAAAAAACTTATTTTTATTTTTTCTCTTAAAGCTGTATAGTTTTAGTTTCCTCATTTATTTGTATCAATTAACTAGTTTAAACTAAGTTTTGGGTATAGTGTTAAATAGAGGTTACACATATTATTTTTTCTATGTGGATATTTATTTTAGCACCCTCTGTTGAAAAAAAAATTTATTTCCCAATTACCTTTGTGTAAAATAAGATGATTGGAGTCTAATTTGTTCTTACAATTGTGTATCATTTGTTGATTGAACGCTGGCACCAAGTGACTTGATGATGGTAATAGTTCTGTAAGTCTAGGAATCACATGGTATGAGTCCTCTCACTCTGGTTTTTTTGGCTTTATTGTTTTTGCTCATTTGCATTACCTGTAAATTCAAAAGTAAAATTGTAGATTTCTACAGAAATGTCTGCTAGGATTATATTTAGGATTCCATTAAATTTAAAATTAATTGGGGATAGTTAACGTATTATTATTGTGTGTTATGATCCAAGAACACTTTGTGTCCTACAGTTTATTTAGATATTATTTTGGTTTCTTTTGGCAATGTCTTGTAGATTTCTGTAAAGATATTGCCCACTTTTTGCTGAAAGAACTTGTAAGAATTATGTTTTTTGGTGGTATTGTGAATGGTATTTTAAAGCTTTAATTTTCCAATTGTTTATTGCTTTATATAAAAGTATCATTGACTGCTTAAACATAAGCCTAACTCAGAACTATGCTCAATTAGCTTATTACATTTACTAGTTATTTTGTAGGTTTCTTAGGATTTTCTGTGTGAACAATCATGTCATCCACAAATCAAAATAGCTTACTTCTTTCTGGTCTTTATGTCTTTTCTTCCTTCCTTTTTTCCTTCTTTCCTTTCTTCCTTCAGCATGCAGCTCCTTATTATAGTCTCATATTATTGTTTTAACGTTTGTGAGATAGTGCAGGGATAATGCCTCTCGTATTTCTGATATTGGTAATTTGCGTTTTCTCCTCTCTTTCTTGACCTAGTAAGCTAGGGTTTTATCACTTTTCTCGATCTATTCAAATAACCATATTTGGACATCGTTTCTTTTCTCTATTACGCGCTTATTTCCATTTGGTTTATCCAGTTCTCAAAATCATTCTCTTAAATATGCAAATCCCTGATATTTTTGGAAGTTTTTCAGTACCACTATTTAATTGATTGTATTTATATTGTCATTGTTCAGTTGAATATTTTGTAACACTCAACAATCTTTGACCTGTTAGATAGGAAGCTATCCTGGCCCTAAAGAAGGGAAAGATCAGATTGGGGACAAACTTTAGAAGTTGTTTAGCTTATTAGTATTATAAATAAATAATCCATCTAAATACTAAATTTTTAAACTCCATCTCGCTCTTTTACACACACACAAAGTAGATGTTGTGTTTATTCATTTAATAAGTACTTGTTGAGTGATGAATCTGTATTAGCCATTTTTCAAGACACTGAAAATACAATGTATTTCAATAGCCATCACTATGATTTATCAAGCTACTGTATGCTAGGCATATATATTACTTTAATCACAAAGTTTCTATGCTATATTTTTAGGCTGGAAAAATATGACATAAAGGAGTCAAATGTCTTCAGAGTTTTATTTAACTTCTTTATGTTGGGGTTCGAAGCCAGGCTGGTCAGATTCTACAATCAAAGCACAGTAAACTAAGGCAGGCAAAGAAGCATTAAGGAAATACAAAGCAGGAAGGATCTTAAAACTTTTATTTTGAAAAATACATTCAAATGTCAGAAATATCTGAAGTACAAAAAGTCAGCAATGGTTTAGGATGAAGTTTATTAAAAGCAACATCCCATAAATCTAAGCCATTATTAAGCATCCTGTATCTTAACAATATATGTTGAAAGGCTTCTGGGGACAATATTCGGCTGGAAGTTTTTTTTAAAACGTCACAATATGACTTACTATGGCAACCAGAAGTGATAACTTTGTTCCAGTGGCAGGTAATAACCTGCTTCTTTCTTCCTATTAATACATGATTTCTTTTGTGGCTGTAATAAAACAACATATACAAATGATTCATTACAGTAAAGACAGATACCCAAGGAAAAGATGCTAAAATTTTCATTCTGTTGAATTCAGTGTAATTTAATTTAATGATATGCCCATGAAGTAACATTTGAAATTACCAAAGTCTAGCTAAAGGGGCAATCATTGTGTTTAATTTCAGCTCCTCCATTTTTTTCAGATTAATACAGTGTGCAAACCATTTAAGCTAACTTGCATTTTGGATGTCTGCATCAGCTACAGGAAGTTGCTTACTAAGTTTAGAGTGTTAAAGATGATAACATACAAAATTATTTTCTAATACTAACTAATGAATATATGCATGCTTTTGGAACTTGGGATAGCGTTGGATGCTTTTCAATGGGCATTTTTTCTAATGCTTTATTTAATTACTTTTTAAAAATAATAGAAACTTCCTTTTCATCACAGAGAAACTCTCATTAGGATGGCCAGTGTGATTGACTTACAAATAACCATTCTGTGACAGAGGACATAAGCCAATTCACAAAATCAGTATTATCCTCCTTGTCAATCCTGACTTTATGAATGGTACTATGACCCAATTCTGGCCAATGAAGCATGAAGAAATTCTACTGTAGGGCTTCTGAGAAAAGTTTCTCCTTCTTGAAAAAGAGACGCTTCCTCTGGACAGGGCCAGGTGATTGCACAGCCGTCCTGTAGCCATGAGGGCTTGAGGCTGAGGGTAAAGGTGACCCTCTGAGACTGACAGAGCAGAAGCCAGGACCTGGGTCTCCAATGACTACAGTGAGCTGTTGAGACACTCAGGCCTGGATCTTGTCCTACCTTCAACTGAGAGAATGCATTTCCATGCTGTTTATCAGAATCTGACTGGGGTTTCTGCTACAGCTGAAAATATCCTAACAGATTCATTCATTTAGTTTCACATAATCATGGTGTGGTCAATTCAGGTGGTAATCTGAATTTGAGATTGAAGATTATGTTGACAGTGCTGTAGCTTTTCCATCATATTCAGCAGATACAAAGAGAAGAGTAAAACCAAGGTCCTATGCACTTTAAGTCTTATAGGATCTATTAAAAAAAGAGTCATTTCTAGAATTTCATTTCATATTGTGTGCAATAAGGAAATCCAGAGCATTTTGTCTTAAGTAGCAGCTTGAAAGCAAGGATATAAGAATAAAATTTATTTGCGCTTGTTTTTAATTTTAAGTTTAACATTTGTTGTTGTTGTTGTTATTTAGATAAGTCCAGAACAAAAGAAAAATTCCAGTTAGACAAAGAAGATGCATCCTCTAACAACCAACTGCTGTCTTTTCTATCAGAAATTCTACCTTGTTCGTTTCTTATCCTCACTCCTCCTGCTCACCCACCCTCATCCTGCCGGTTGTAAGGGTGCCTACTCCTTTTCGTCCTTTTATACTTCAGCCACCAGTAAGACAGTAGTGATCACTGTTCGATCCATAAAATTCTAGCATCAAAACAACCTGGACCAGTTAATATCTTAACCAGTGGTTAAAGATGAAGATTTATAAACCCTGCATCACACTTTACAAATCAGAATATCTAATGGCAGGACCCAGGGATCTGTATTTTTAATAAGGCCCACGTGAAGCACATTCAAATATGAAAACTACTCCTTGAAGTCTTTTGAGCTCAAATGTTTCTCTTGTTAGAATCCTTTCTGAATTTCTCCATTCCACGATGGTATCCCTTTTTGCCACTCCTTTCTCCATGATTGTTTGCACTGTTCATGGGGGTACCCAGCGTAATGAAGGCTCCAGGGAGCAGGCTGTGTGACCCTATTCACAAATCCATTCCACTGCCCAGCACAATGCCTGATTCAAGGAGGTGCTCATTGTGTTTGAATAAGTAAATGGGAAAAAGAGAGGTCACCATTTTGGGGGTCGGGGGAGGGGGATGGAAAACACTGCGTGGAAACAGAGCAGGAGTCACCGAGAACATTGGGAAGATATGACATGACCAAACCTTGCTGTAGAGTAGCTGCTGAGGATGGAAAGAAAATGAGGTGGGGGGTGTGAAATTCAATTTCACAGAAAAAGAATTTTCCTTCTGCCAAGAATCAGCACCAAGGCTGGAGAAAAGGATAGGGAGGGAGCTGGGGTCATCTGCGGTGACATTGCACGCCCTTTTCAGAGGAAGACTTAAAACCAACAGTGCAGTAGTAGGCTCAATTCCTGAGTCAAAAGTGAAGCTAATTAGACCAATACATTTATTTAGATTCATGCAGACAAAAAACAACTGGTCTTTAAACCTTTACATTTCTGCTTTAGTAGAATGCAGCCCTCAGACCAATGATATTAACCATGTCAACTTCGTTCATTTAACAAATGTGGTTTATTTCTGGTTGAACACTGATTGCAACGTTTGATGGAAACTATGAGGTACTACATTGTATCATATGCTATTTTTAAGCATCTAGCAGTACAAGTAGTAGTTTGGGCTGGGTCTCAAGTGTGGGAAAAATTTAAAGCATATGGCGTGGCATCCCTGAAGCTGTGATAACTGTGTTGCCCAAGGTGTGCAGGTGCTTCTAACCAAGAACAGGAAGTGAGTTTCACACATCTCTCTTAAATACTGTTTCATATCCTAACTTCAGATACTGCCAAATACTTCTGTTGGTAAGAAAAATGAGAGAAGATTGATGGAAATCTAAGAACATAAGAATTAAGAAGAAATGAAATTACCTATATACGTACGGTAAATAATTACAAAAATCCAGAACAAGAAAATCACATTCAGATATTTGCAGTACATGATGTGAATTATATGGGAATAAATAAAAATGATAAATCACTCTTCAAGTAGCATTCCTCAACTGTCCTTATATAATTTATTTTGGTAAGCTTGATAAAGCATTTACCAAATCTTCATGAATCATTCATTCTAGAGAAGCAATTTCAGGGGAAGGGAAGAGGTTTATGGAGACAGAAAAACACAGGAGTTTGGATACCAAATTCCTCCCAGTCAAAAGGGTAGCCTGGCTTCTGTTCTTCAGCTCAAGGGCTGAATGTTCTCATGGAAATAATGGCTAACACATGAGTGCAGTCAAAAGACGGTATCTCCACCTATTATGAGGTTAGGTTCTGTGTATCACTCACCAATGTATCCCCAGGGTCTACCTCAGTACCTGGTGCATAAATACACAATAAAATGTGTATTGATCTGAAACAGACTCTTAGAACAGAGGCACAAACATTCTGAGTCTGTTTAGGGATACTTTTAAATATTGTCTAAAGTTTGTTTAGAAGATATTTTCAGAAACTACTTTTTCATATAAAAATGACTTAAGTGAATATAGAGTTCTCCAATTCTGATACTATATGAAACTTGAAATAACAGCTGCATTTTGTACTTCCTGTAATCCAGAAAATCCCCAATTTATAAATAAGTTTTACTACAAAACCATGTATTAGTTTTTAAATTTGAATGAGTTTTTTTTACCAGCACATTTTAACCACTGCATTTCATCACTGTATTTTCCAAAGCATTTTAACAGTTCAGTTCAGTAAATATTTAGTGAGTGTATAATATGTGCAAAGCATTTAAAAGAGTTATATAAATTCTAAACATGAAAATCCAGGTTGCAGAACCAAGAGCTCAGCAACTGGTGGAGGGGACAGACATATAAAGAAATCATTTCAGTATAAGGTTGATGTCCAAACGTTCAAGTGGACAATATAAACGATGTGATACTTGAGTACAGCAATACTAATTTTAATTTGCAGAAAAACATTTTATTTTTGGACAATATAAACAATGTGATACTTGAGTATAGGAATACTAATTTTAATATGCAGAAAAACATTTGTAGTAAATTATAGTTCATAGATAACACATCAACTTAGTAATTTTTAAAATGAAATATAATAGCTCTTGAAAACTAAGATTACGTTTAATTGTCTAAAGTGAAAAATGAAGTCATCAGTGGACCATTTTGTGCCTATTCTAAAGGGTATTTTAGGGACACTTTTAACTGACCAAGAATTGAACTAAAAATGTTTAAATCCATTTTCACTTTAAAGTTTGGATCCTAATTTTTCCCTTGTATATCTGTGCTGTATTCAATTTAGATTTTAATACATAATTTAGTTTAGGATTATTTAAACTACATTTAAGTAATGTCGTCTACCTTATGGAGCCTTTTTATCACTGCCAACCTCCTACCATTTTACCTTTAAACTCTGGAGTGGTATTTATCACTGTCTATCTGCTTTCATAATTCTTGGAACATATGAGGAGTCTTCAAAAGTTCATGTACATTATGAATAAAACTATGCATGGATTTCAAAAATGTTTTGCACCAAAATGAACTCACACTAACTTCTTATAACGTGTCTGAACAGAATCTAGTATGAGGAACTATGAAGGATAAGATATGAATTTGAACAGAGTCCGTATCAAAGCAACATAAATTCTGCTAAAATTTAAGCAAGAATAAGCATCAAATTTATAGTGATGCTAGGGTGAAATAACAGTAAAGTCATTGATGCTTTATAAAAGTTTATGAAGACAATGCCCCAAAGAAATCAGCAGTTTACAAACAGAAAAGTTCTTTTAAGAAAGGATGAAATGGTGGTGAAGATGAAGTCTGCAGCAGAAAACCATCCACATCAATTTGTGAGGAAAAAATTCATCTTGTTTGTTCTCTAATTGAAGAAGATTGATGATCAACAGCAAAAACAATAGCCAACACCATAGACTCCTCCACTGGTTCAACTTACACAATTATGATTAAAAAATTTACGGTTGAAGAACCTTTCTACTTGATGCATACCAAAACCAATGTGAACAGATCAGCTGAAGACGAGAGTAAAGCTTGCAATGGAAATTTTGAACAAGTGGGATGAAGAGCCTGAAGCATTTCTTCAAAGAATCATAACAGGAGGGGAAGCTTGGCCTTACCACTACAATCCTGAAGACAAAGCACAATCAAAGCAATGGCTACAAGAGGTGGAAGTAGAGCAAAAGCAGACAAGGCAGCTTGCTTGTTGAATTTCTGCAGAGGCAAAGAACAATAACATCTGCTTGTTGTAAGAGAGTATTGAGAAAGTTAGCCAAAGCTCTAGCAGAAAAATGCCCAGGAAGGCTTCACCACAGAGTGCTTCTCCACAACAACAATGCTGCTGCTCAATTACTCTCATCAAACAAGGGCAATTTTGTGAGAGTTTCAATGCAAAATCATTACACATCCTCCTTACAGTCCTGATTTGGCTGCTTCTGGTTTCTTTTTGTTTCCTAATCATAAAAAGTATTTAAAGAACACTCATTTTTCTTCAGTTACTAATGTATAAAAGACCACATTGACATCCTTAAATTGCAAGGACCCTCAGTTCTTTAGGGATGAACTAAATGGCTGGTAGCATTGCTTACAAAAGTGTCTTGAACTTTATGAAGCTTATGTTGATAAATAAAAAGTTTTATTTTTTATCTTTTTCTTTTATTTTTCCACAAACTTTTTGAAGTCCCCTCATGACTATATGATGCTTTGAGGACAAAGACAACACTGATCTCTCATTGTTTTTACTTCCTTCACAACAGCTGGCTCAGAACTTCACAGTTTCAACCAGTATTCATTGAATGGTCGTCCATGGGCTTCCTAGTAACAGGTTTAATTTATAAATTATGATAGGAGCTAAATGTTTGCTTCTAAGTAAAATAAAGGTGGATAGGAGTCGCAGATTTTACCAGTTAAGGATGCATTAAGAAAACGGAAACAAAGGGATAAACATAAATTATTATTTGATTAACTTATTCACTTGCATGATGTCATATCCTTATATTTACTAAATTAATCTGCATCACATTATTTTACCTACAAAATTAGCTAATTTTACTCTTGATACCTAATCCTTTGGGTATGGTTTGAGTGGCCCTACCAAAATTCATGTTGGACCTTAATTCTCAGTGCAGCAATGTTGGAAGGTGAAACTTCGAGGAGGTGGGGACTAAGGGAGTTGTGTGGGTAAGGTCATGTCGGGAGCTCCACCCTCACAGGCAGCTTGACGCTATGGTATTGGTAATGAGTTCTCACTCTTGAAGACTAGATTAGCTCTTGCAGGAATGGATCCATTCATGAGAGGGTAGGTTGTTATTGATCTAGGTTGCCTCTGGTGTCTTGCCCCTTTTGCGCACCTGCTTCTGTGTCTGCTTCCACCTCTCCATGTTGTGGTGCAGTGTGAGGTCCTCACCAGGAGCTGACCAAACATTAGCTCCATGCTTCTTGGACCTCCACGCCTCCAGAACAGTGAGCCAAATAAGCCTCTTTTCTTAATACGTTACCTTGTCTCAGGTACAGCAACACGAAATGGAGTAAGACAAACCTTATTACATGAAATGACATTTAGAGTTAATCCATACCTTTTAAAATGTTTATCCTGATGGCATTATTTTTGACAGCCTGAAATGCATAAACTTCTTTCTAGGACATCATTCAGGCATTCTTTTGTTCATTGCTTCATCGTCAATTTAACATTGTAATGTCTTTGGAGATACAAAGAAGAACAAGGTGTGATTTCTACTCTCAAATGACTGAGGCAAATCAGAAAGGAAATATATACAAAGATCTAATTTTAAAACAATGTGAATGTGTCCTAATGAAGATATTGAGAAGAACTGGCAGGTGGTGAAGGAAGAAAACGGTCAAAGTGGTGTCCTGGGAAGAAAGCATTTTTGAAGGTTAAGAGTGCCGAACAACATAAAATGATCCCAAGAAATCAAGCACTGTATGATATACAATATGTTAAGAGGATTTAGCACATGAAGGGCGTTTGTTATTTACAAGGTCACTGGCAGAAGATAATTGGAGTAAAAGCTCAATTGCAATGTGATAAGGACTTTTTAGCTGAAGATGAGAACAGGTAGCTGGCACACACAGATAATTTGGTGAAATTAGTTTATTCTTGTAGGTGAGGGGAGAGCCAGAGGAATAACTGGAAGAGCAGGTCTCTTAAAATAAAAAATAATTTTGTTTATTTTTGGCTTAAAAAATTTAAAATAATGATGGGAAGGAGCCAGTGGAGAGTGGATGTAAATATAGTAGAGGCTATCAATGCAATAAAACTGAGTAATGGAGAAGGCGGGAAGAAACAGGACCAGAATCAAGAAGGAGGAATTAGCCACGTGGAGAAGAAACACTTCTGATGAATAGGGATGGAAGATGGAGCAGGAAGGTGCAAACTCGGGCTTTTACAATTCATGATGGGACATCAGAAGGGGTTCTGCTCTGATAGTATTTAAGTATTTTTCTAAGAAGTAGGAGGCAAGGAACCACAAAATTACTTGAATTGCAAATTATCATATTGCCTTCCCTTTCAATATTCTCATATAAAAAACAGGGATATGAATTGTTGATCTGTCTCCTCCAGAGAAATTAAATGAGTATGTACATTTTTATTAATGTAGCACTTAACATTGGAGGTTACATGATAATATCAGAGGGAGGATATCAACTTATATCCAAGTTTGAAATAGTATGTCATTTCCTTTTTTGTTGTTGTTTTGTTTGTTTTTGTTTTTGTTTGTTTGTTTTTGAGACAGAGTCTCACTCTGTCGCCCAGGCTGGAGTGCAGTGGCACAATCTTGGCTAGCTACAACCTCCGCCTCCCAGGTTCAAGCAATTCTCCTGCCTCAGCCTCCCCTGGTAGCTGGGACTATAGGCACATGCTACCACGCCCAGATAATATTTGTGTTTTTAGTAGAGATGAGGTTTTGCCATGTTGACCAGGCTGGTCTCGAACTCCTGACCTCTGGTGATCCACCTGCCTCGGCCTCCCAGAGTGCTGGGATTACAGGTGTGAGCCACTGCACCTATCTAGTATGTCATTTCTTAGATATGCATTCAATGATTGACCATAAGTTCTCAGTCCCACCACCATCACCACTACCACCACAAGTCTACCATCACCACTAAATATCCTTTTAGCAGTAGGGTTTATTAGCCGCTGCTCCAAGCATTTTATGTATACAGTATTATATGCCTTTTAACCATCCTAGCTATACTCAAAGGTAGTCATATTAATACTCCCATTTTAAAGTTAAGGAATCCAAAACAGAGAGTTCAAATAATTGACCAAAGGTCACACAGAAAGTGAGAGGTGGATCTAAGATTCTACCCAGACAACCCAACAGCAGAATCCTGATCTCAGCTACACTTCTGTACTAATGGACAGCAGTGTCAGACTCACTCTGCGTTCATACAGGTGACCTGGAACCCAAGTGGTTGAATGTCATAGAAAGAGGCATGTGGGGAGGAGAAGACCCACCAGGTTCTGTACTGATGGGTAGTACAGAAGGTAGGAGAGCCAGGATGAAAATGTCATTATCAGCCTTATACATACACATGTATTTTTTAATGATTTTAAACAACTAACGCTACATAAGTAAGTGAATATGGATAGTTATCCAATATATTTTAAAGAAATAAATAAAAATCCACATTTTTCTTTGTTTTAAAATCACCATATTCAAGTTTTTAGTACTGTCTTGAAATCGTGCTTATTTTATAATTTAGTAAGTAATATTTCTCTCATTTTAGTGACTGTTTATGCATATATACTTTGACCAGGTCTCATTTCAACATTTGTCTTTCGAAGTCAATTCATAATTTTGTGTACTCCAACATGTAAAATCACTTCATTAATTATAGAAGTCTTAATTGATATCTCATTTAAGCATTTCATACAGAGAACCTAAAAAGCTAGTACTACCTGGATATTAGATGGAACAAGTAATTTCTGTCTTTCCAAAGCTAGTTCTACTCTTGTGTTGAGTAATAACAAAGACATATTCAACTTGGCAAATCAGGAAGAACATGCACTTCTGGATCTGGTACACTTAGATCATAGAATATTTGTCATTGTAACATTTGAGCCATCTTTAGGATGAGAAATGAGTCTAATTTTGACTTCATAAAGACATGCCACCTTTTTGATCTATGTTTTCAGCTAGCCAACGAAACCACGAGCCGTGCTTTCATCCAGCTGAGAGGCCTCTGCAGGGTCTGTTTAAGTCCCAGGGTCTGCACCCCTGCAGTACAATGGAGTCATTATGGCTGTCAGCCTGATAACCTTGAAAACCTGCCCATACATTTTCTACACACCGTACTAATCACAGCTGAGGGGAAAATGATGTTCCTACTTCGGCATTAGCAGTCTGACAATTTTAAGTGGAAAAAATGATTTTCGATTTTTTCCATAGTCTTAGAAATTGATATTTTAACTAACTAGTAACCCTAAAGCCTCATTCCAGAGCTACTGTCTCATGTAGTTTTAATTTTTCCTCCCTTTGGTGAAATGACCTTGGACTACTGCGCTAAAGAGCAAATGGCTGATTTGATATTTATATCCGAGGTCCTGTTCAGTAAATTTCAGTGAAAGAAATATAAACAAGGTAAAAGTGCATTTTTGCATAAGTGCTTTCTTCTGAGAGTCAGTAGAAAAGAATGTGCCAGTCCTGACAGTGATTATGTCCCTTGCTCCTTTTATTTAATATTTAATTAATTTTTACAAAAATGTCGCAGGTGATTACAACTCTCTCAAGGTTAAGGTTTATATTTTGGAAAGTAATTCAGAGTTCTAAGCTTCCAACTTTGACAGAATGGTCATCACTGCAATGCCAAACATCTCTGTTTAATACTTGCTTACAAAAAGAGGATCCATGGGCCAAATGAGGAAAAGTAGTTTAGTGCAGATGCTTGCCCTAGTTTAAGCATGTTGGGTATTCCATCCCTCATAATGATGTTTATTTGCACTACGCATTATAATTTACAAAAGGCTGATATATCCATTTCTCATTGCTACAGAATGGGCTGCAATTTCTGAATCATTCCAAAAGGCCTCTACTTGAGAACATGTTCACTATTACTCCTGCTAAAACTGCACATCTTAGGACATTGTTATTGCTTCTAGCTCAAATAATAGGAAGAGGAGATATGCTCAGGTAGAAGAATTGAAGAAATATGCTACACTTAACAAAGACTTCATCAAGACTCTAGTGAACACCAGTGATTGCTTTTTACTGAAAAGCTGTGTCCTAGGAGTTACCTTGACCTGCTGAACACAAAGGGATTTTTCACTCCTTGTTTGCCAGGGAAGGCAGCACCACAATTTCCTGCAGTCATTCAGGGAAAGAAGAGGAGAGCTCTGCTCTCCTGCAGCGAATCCGCCGTGTAACAACTAGGGAGGTTCGACCTGTCAATCAACTGGCGCCATTCCTTTGTTAAGGAGACTTCAATGTCTTTATGAGTTCAATGACCATAGAGTGAATTCCAGAGTTTTCCATAGTCCTCAGGGCTCTGAATAATTCCATGCTTGCCTGCCTCCCTTGTACAGTTTTTGCCATTCTGGCATTGCCCACTTCATGCCATCCAGGCTATTTTGTCACTGTTGCTGTTGCTCCAGATCATATCAGGTTTACCCTTGCTTTTACTGCGACTGAGATTGTCCTCCCAGATACTTAGACAGCGGGTTCAGTTCTATGTTTTACATTTCACTTCCGATGCCAGTTCCTTCAACAGCTCCTCACACCTCAGAATCACTCCTTGTGCCTCCCTTCAATCACTCCCTGTCTCTTGACCTTGTTTTATTTCTTCATAGCACCTAACACTGCCTGTAATTACCTCATCTATTTATGTATCTAATTTCTTTCTTCCTTCACTAGAATGTAAATTTCACAAGAGGAGGGACTGTGTCTGTCCTATGCATTGCTGGGTCTCCTAGGTCGAAAACAGGGTCTGGTCCCGGAGTAGGTGTGTACTCAGAACATGTTGATGAAAAAAAATAAAAAACAAAAAACAAAAAACATTTCTTCTAAATGCATTTCTTGAGGAGAAAAAAAATGGAAACTGTTGAAATGATTCAAGCTAACTGTTGAAAATTAGAACTGAAAGATTCATCCATCTTCTGAAACCCTTTCAGAATTCTTTTGAGACATTCGTTGGCATCACTGAGTCTTTTAAAAATATTTCGTGCATTGCTTTCAATAACGCAATGTGTTTCTGTTGGAAAACTGGTCTGGACCATGATTGCCAGCGGTGACTGATAACTGCCTGCGGTGAACGGCTGCCCTGGCATCCATCCAAGGAGCGGACAGCAACAGGAACCAATTCAGCTTTCAGGATTCTGGTCATGGAGAAAAGGGGTTAGTTGGGGGGCTCTTCTTGAGCAATCTGTGCCAAGACAGACGACCGGAGAGGGAAGTGGGTCCCAGGGCACTCAGTGCAGAAAGTTCTTTTGCAGAGGCTCAACGTGCTGTCAGATTCTACTGGCCAGTTGCATTTTCTCATCTTTATTTTCCATGGATATTACCATCTCTTGGGTCTTCACTCGGTGACGACTGTCTCTGCTCTTTTTGGACCATTGATCTACACAAGTACTTATATTTAGAAGCAAAATAGAGAACAAATCACAATTGCTTAGTTCACATAGAATTTTAATATTTCCTCTTAAGACTCAGAAAGATGATTCTAATATCCGGTATAATAAATTCTCCTCATAAAGCATTACAAAATAATTAATGATGGCCCATTTCAGTTTGATAACTCACCAGAACGTCCATTAGAGAGAATATCTGAAGTTTGCAAAAGGACTGAGGCTAGATGTGAGCCGGCAGTCTATATTTTCTACTGGCCAAAGGCAGTTCTTCCTACTTACAGCTTAGTGTTGGTCTCTGTGAGGCTTTACTCTGTTCAGTCTCTTGCCTCAGTATCCATTTGTGTCTCCTCTTCTTTTCGCCACCTAATTGTGCACCCTACCTGGGATTCAGTAGTCACCATGTTCTTTTTTTGGTTTGCTCTTCATCTTAGGACCTTTTTGATTTGCACAGCTTCAAATCACCTCTGGAGTGGGACTCACATCTGTGTCTCCTGCCCTGAGTTCCAACCTTGCTTTCTATATATTTTTCTACACTTTAGCATTCATTATTTATTCTGCAAAATCATCTGCCTGTTCTATTAGTTTTCTTATAACATCAAATACAATAAACTCATTTTCATATGAGATCAGCTCTCTAAATTTCAGGGCTTATATGAATGAAGAGACTGTCTAACGGTCCTACCTACCCTACCACAGCCCTGAGAATGCCTAGTTTGCAAACTTATGTTAATAGATACATTTGTTTACATCACTTTGTAGCTGAAAAAATAACAATAGGTTCATAGCTGCCAGGCTCAAATAAAAAGACATGGTTTCTACAAGTGAGTGAGCTACAGAAATGTTTGACAATAAAACATTCTTTTCACTTTTAATAAAATTTCAATTCATCATCATTATTATTATTATTATTATTATTTTTTTTGAGATGGAGTCTCTCTGTTGCCCAGGCTGGAGTGCAGTGGTGCGATCTCGGCTCACTTCAATTTCCGCCTCCCAGGTTCAAGCAATTCTCCTGCCTCAGCCTCTGAAGTAGTGGGATTACAGTCATGCACCACCATGCCTGGCTAATTTTTGTATTTTTAGGGCAGACAGGGTTTCACCATGTTGGCCAGACTGTTCTTAAACTCCTGGTCTCAGGTGATCCACCCTCCTCGGCCTCTCAAAGTGCTGGGATTACAGGTGTGAGCCACCATGCCCAGCCACAATTTCAATTTATTATTTAAATAAACTAACAAACTTTTATGTTTAAGGATGATGTCATTTTCAAGTTTTAGCAAACATATATTATTCGCACACACAAATGGATGCAGATGCACACTTACCCACGAGAACAAATAGTTCCCTGTTCCCAGAATTACTGTTGCCTTACAATGTGTTGCCTTCAGCAAGTTTCTTTCTTGTCTTTCCTCCTCCCCTTTCTTGTTTTCTTTTTTCTTTCTTTCCCTTGTTAATAAACCTAAAATTTGCTCAGATCTGTTTGTTCACATAACTAGCCATTTTAAATTATTGATTTATGTGGCATTTTGATCAAGTCATCTGAGCATGGCTAATTTGGGAATTTAGGCCTTAAACATTCTAATTTCCAGATAAATTTTTAAACATTTTTTTCACTAAAATGTGTCCTTTAGGAACACAAAAACTCAAGATTTTAAGAACACAGTGTAAACCTCTTTTTCTGCTTTTTCCCTTGATCTATGAACTCAATTAGTCCAAACTATAAACAACCCCATTTAATAAATAATTTTTATTATAAAAGCTATAAATTCATGAATCTGTCTGATAAAAATTCTTGACTAATGTGAAAGATCACCCTTTAAACTGTGCTATATCCATGTTATTTCAACTTTGTGTGAAGTTACCCAGCTATTAGTTTATATAACATTTCTGGTTTGGGATATCTACCTTGTAAAAATTCTTCAAATATATGAAAACAATTCTTATCTTCTTTCTAGAGTAACATTATTCAACTCTCAACATTACTGTGGTCAACTCTTATCATTTAATGTGAATTTAATGGATGACAAACTTGGCAGACGTGTCTCTCCCAAGGTGTCAAACTCAGTCTTACTAGTCTGCCACGGAACTTGAGGAGACGAAACAGAGGGGCCGTCTCCCACGCCATGCTGTCTTACAGCTTCTGAGGATGCGTCTTCCTGATGCCTCTGCTTCAGTTTTCACTCGTGCTACTTCTATCCATTTCAGCATCAATTGGTTCCTAGATTTTCGGATTTAATAATTCAGTAAACATTCAAAACAAAAATTAGGATATCAAACAGGTTTTCTGATTTTTGATTTTTAAAGTCAGAATACTAAAATTCACATTCAATTCCTCTCACTTAATATCGCAAAGTGTCTATTATCTATCTTTATTTTTCTAATTTTACTATTGGCTAAAAGACAATTGTTTTTTCCAGGGAGAGGGGAACATATTTGCTCCCTTTTATGTATGTTATTTTTGTTTTCTTTCACACTAGCTTTTTCTTGTTTATCCTTTTTCTAGCAAACAACGTCTTGCTTTTACTCTTCCATGAGAAACTTTTCCTGTCTTACCAGTTTGCAGACTCCCTCCCATGGTGCTTCTCATAGCTGCAGCTATCATAAATAAACAGCTTTATTTATTTATGAAACAGCTTTCATAAATAAACAGCCCCAACTGAAACTCACTTGTTACTGTTTAAGTAGAAAATCTTGGTACTTCTGGAACATATAACGTAGCCAAAATTAACATAAAATAGGTAACACAGAAGACTGGTAGAATGCAATGTTCCAGGAATGTGTATTTTGGGGATATTACAGTGTCCCTGTCTATATATTCAGAATATGCTGTATATTCAGATGAATATAAATGAAAGTTTCGGTCAGTCGAATTTTTGTTAGTCCACGTTTAAAAAGACCAGGGTATCAAGACTTTGGGAGTTGTTATTTAAGCAGATTAGCAAATTCAGTTAGCCAAATATTCAGTAACTTCAAACTTTCTCCAGTTGCACTGAGATTACCTGTGCTAGAGAAACATCAACACTTTTATCTATTATTCCAGAGCTGCAGAATTCCAGGGAAAGTTTAAATGTTTATCATAATATTATTCACCAAACTAATACTATAAACTTCCACACTTAATTCTCTGCCTTTATAGCCCATGAGTTGCCTTTCAGCAAACCGTGCTACAATGATATAGAGTTATTTACATCCGCTTAAGCCTATCAAAAGAGCCTCAGACATTTTGTTCAGTTTGACTGATAGAAAAGCCTTCATCTCAGCACTCCAAAAATATTATTGTGCACACATCTCCCCAGGGCATGTTACTATATGCTGCTAACAAAACGGTAAATAAGGTAGTTAAGGGGCTGTATTGGTCAAGTTTCTATTTTGGAGAGGGAAATATGCAACACACCAGGAAAAAATTAGAGAAAATAAATAGAATAGTTGCGAATTACAGTGAGTTGTTGGAATCAAATAGATAGGTAGGCCTAATTTCTATTGCAGTGTCGACATGTGAGCTGAGAGCTGATGGATGAGAAGCAGCCAGACAGGCTGCCTTCAGGGGAAGAAGCCAGAGGTGCAGAGGTGCTGATGACAGAAAGGGGTGGGGACTGACCTGCGAGATGGTAAATGCAGAGGAGCACGGAGAGAAAGAAGGCTGGGTGCCACGGAAAGTAGGAGCACTCACTGAACAGAGGCTTTTAGATTAGGAGAGTCTCCTTTGAAGACCTTGGCTCACGTCACTGGGTTTATGACTCAGAAATAGCTTCTAGAGCATTTGCTATGTTGAATGCCTTTAGGAACTTGGAATGTATGGAAGAGACATTTAAGAATGAGAAGAGTGTTTTCGGGCGGCAGTTCAGTGCCTTCTGTCCTCAAGGTTCACAAATGAGCTGTCAATGTGGGCTCTTCCCATGAGGTTTAGTTTACAAGAATCTGCAAACCACAGCTGAAACCCTGTGTAACGATCAAGCACAACCCGGGCATTTGAATTTCTGTTATGAAGCCCTCATGGTTTATTTAAACAGTTCACACTGGTTTATTTAACCACAAAAACACAAATTGTTGTAGGGTTTTAGAACTGTACATTTCTTAAGGGTATTATTTAAAGAAAAAATATAATGAACAGTGTTTGAACACAGGAATTTCTATAAAGGTAAGACAAGTGTTGTTTTCCTTCCTTCCTCTCTCTTTTCTTTCTTTCTCTTTTCTCTCTTCCTTTCTTTCTTTCTGTAAAAGATACTTACTATCGATTTATAGTCAGTAAACACGCTTTAACATTTTAGTAAGACATCATCAAACAGCAAATGGGCAAAATACAGTTGTAGAAGAAAATACGTCCTTTATTTGAATATATGTCACCAAAATAGAATAAATGTAGAATGTCTTCCCTGCCCTGCTTTTCTCCTTCTCCACGACAGGTGGCGCTCCTGAACTACCACAGGATGCGCGCGTTGCCAGGCCGCGGCTCCCCTGGGGCCACGTTGCGAGTGTGCAACGTGGTTTCAGTTTGGCATTCTCAGAGAATAGCTGAGACTGGATTTAACCAACTAGTGTTTATGTCACAATGTCCAGGGGAGTGAGACTGCGGTTGATAGGAAATGTGTTTATTGATATTGTCAAGAATCTGGCCAGAAACCCTATCATTACAGATCACCAGACAATGAACACTCACACAGAATGTTGTTCGAACGTTGCAATCATAAAGGAAAAGGAATCCGCTTAGCGTTTTAAATTTTAGGTTTGGAAACTTCTTAGAAATTTCTTTGAGCTGTCGAATCCAGTATCTTTGCTAAGAAGCTAGAAGTATCACAAAAACTAGTTTTTGAATGACTTTTTTCCTCAACTCCATTTATTTTTAAAAATCTTGAAATATCCACATATTATTTTCCCCTTTTTCCACCATTCAGCGATTTAATAACATACATTTGATTCAAAACATGTTTGCATTTTACACTGACATTGTAACTAAATAAGAGATTGGCTGTTTCATTTACAGCCAAGTAGCTCTGCTGTGTTCAGGTGCAATTGTCACAGGTAAAGTGTGTGCCATAACCAGGGCCACTCACAGTTCAACGGAACCAGGGAAAGAGGCAAACACGTTCTGTGACCCAAATGGCAAATCCCTAAGGAGAGCTTGCTGATGAATTAAAATGGCATTAAAACTGGACCCAAGAAATTGGACTGAGAGAGAGTTTCAGTGAGACAGACCTCAGGAAATCAGGAAATTCAGGTGATTATAGAAATCCCAGGATGTCTGAGCACTGATGCTTCCAGGTATTCACCTGCTCCATCATATTCTCCCTCTTAGTTTCTCTCGGTTTCTCCCTTTCTTGGTTTCTCTCTCTCTTATTCGGTCACTAATAAGTTCTTACACAATCTATATAAGATGATGTTTGCCTTCCAGGTAATGTTCTACTTTTCTATTTTCAAAGTTCCACGTCTCCTAATACAGCAGATTGAGGAAATGAATATTTGCCTTCTCCATTGTTTAAATGTCCACTCACTTTTTCATAAACTACTTCCTTACATAAACTGTTCTCTGCTGTGTGGTCCCCTGCTAGCCAATGCCTACAGGCTGTTTGTGCATTGTGTCTTTTCTTATTATACAATTATATTTAGTGTCACATTCGAGGATCTTGAGTGGTTCTAGTTAATCAGCCTTCCCCCAGGGGCGACTTCTCCCCTGCAGCTCGATTCTTGTCATAGATGAGCCTTAGACACCGTCTGATGCTCAAGCACTTTCTTCTGGCAGTGCCCTTACAGGAGGGTTAGTAGGAGTCGGCTGTGGCATGGGCCACACACAGTCGGGGTCAGAAGACTGACTAACCAGAGGACTTCCAGCCAGAGACCATTTTCAATATTTGGGGGACTCTTCCTCCTTCTTACACCTGTATTCAATCCAGGTCAGTTACTAGGGCTTTCTTTTGTGAAGAGGATTTCAGCCATTCTTTAAGGGTAAACTTTGTTTCAAGGCTTATGAAATTGGCATCTGTGCTGAGGTGGCCTTGTCTCTAGGGCAACAGGGGTTTTAGGTCCCCTTGTCATAGAGTTCTGGTAACCCCTGGGCCAGAATTGGAAATCCCCAAGCCAGGTGACATTAAGTTGCTAAGTGATACATAGTGTAGGCACTGTGAGATGTCAAGGTGGCCTTATGGCTGTCATTAATCTTATAGCCACGATATGTCTGTCTCTTATAGTAGACTACACATAGTCGTAACACTTCATCACATTCATTGTACTTACTCCTTTGTCTAATTTTCTATATTGCTTTCTATTGAATTAGTGCCTGAGGGCAGGGACCACATTTAGTGTTTACTGTTGTTTCCATAGTGATACTCAGTACAGTGTCTGGCCCATTGGAGGTACAAATCGGTCTTTGTTTAATTTAAATCTTGATGAATTAATTGCAGAAAATTCAGCAGAACACGTGTGAGGCTCTTCCGAGAGCAGGGGTCCATTCAACTGCATAGGCTGCATACTCGCGATCCTGCACTACTTCTAATAAACTAGAAGTGTTTACTGCAAAGCTCTCCTCGCTGAAAAATTTCAAGTAGTTCTTCTCAGCGACATAAAAACAAATCTGCTTAAACAACAGGATGTTTGCCAAATATGTGCTACTACTTTTCTTTGCTTTCTGGGCTCTCCATAGAGTCCACAAATACTGGCCGTTCATTTGTAGAAATGAAACTTCAGAGACTCACCTTCTGCAACGGCTACTTCTAAACTTGACATAATGTGTTTTTCAGTTTGATTATTAATGACTTTCCCTATCTCACACCTTTGAAGTTCAGCGTTGTCAGTCACCCTGGCATCATTTCTAAATGGAACGTTGGATGTTGAATCTTCTGAGTAAGTGTTTGCTTGTGCCATGTCACTGATTATCTAGAAACATAATGTTCTTGTGAAATAGATTTTCAGAAAACTAAAGCAATCATATAATAGATATTCAATAATAAGCAAAAAAGGAGAGTAAAAGATCATATAGTTTACATGAAATGATGTCTTAATGTATACACTGTTCTTTAAGCTTGGGGAAAAAAACCTGCTCTCTTTTTTCTTCACTTTTTTAAAAGAAGTATTTAGAGTCCAGCCATGCTGTCTTCTGGTGGCTCAGTCACAAAATATCCTCATTTCTAAGGACAGAAAATCAATTCCATGAAATGGTGATAAATGAAACAGGATTCTTAATGTTGATCCCATGCCCTTTTTAGAATGTAGTAAACTGCTTTAATCTCATGGCAGCCTCAGCAATTCCAGGTACATTCTCTTTACTATGGGTATTTTTCTTAATTCCAATAACCACACTTATGTAATCCAAAAACTTGCAGCCCTATTAAGCTTACATTTTATAAATTAAAAATGTGTGTGTATGAGCAATATACAAATTTCTTATTCAACAAATGAATTTGAACAATATCTAGAGGTTCTTTAAAGTGACACATGATATAATGCGTAACTTTTTCACAATAGGACAAAGTGATGGTTTCAGAAGGAAACCATATTCAATCACTATTGAGACATATATGTACGCTTACATTTTCTTTCCGTCAAACCAACCTAAGAAATCTGTGTAACGTTATTCTAGGGTCACCATGTAGGAGTGAATGAAACATTTGTGAAGCTGAATTTTTATTTATCTAGGGTAGGTCATCATTTACTTCTTCATGTGTCAATCTGTTTTTAACCACAATTCATAGGTTTAGGGTCACACAACTTATATTAAACCATTAATTTTTCTAGAATATGTGTTTTATTTTTATTTAACAAATGCACTCTGCCTACTATGCATAGGCTGTTCTAAACATTTTTAAAATATTAATTTGTTTACTTGTCGTAACAACACCAGGATGAAGGTACTTCGATAATCCCTGTGTCATAAAGGAAGCAAAAAGAACTGAAGTAACGGTGCGCACCGGAGCGAAGAATAACTATTCTGAGCTATGCGAGTCAGGAGGGGGTCACCTTAGCGGGGGCAGCGATGGCCAGAAAGAGCAAGGGGAGGGGCTTATGGGTGCTTGCACCCTTGTTTTTCTGGACGTCTGTGCTCAAAATATGCTGAGCTATGCACTTAAGGAGGGGTACTTTTCTCTAAGTATATTAGCATATATATTTATATATACATATTATTTTTCAATACAATGTTGGAAAAAAAAAAGCAGGTCAAATGTCTTGTTCAAGGTCAGACAACATGTAAATGGCAAGGCCAGGATTTGAGCCAGGCTTGTCAAAGTTCTTAATTACCGTGGTGGTAGAATACTTTTTTGAGGTGTTGGTTTTTGTTTTGCTCTTTGAATTTTCTGTCCCAGGTCTCTCCCATTCTGCCTTCTAGACAGCAAGACACTTACTATTTTCCTGCTTCAAGGATCTTTGCTCCCCTGAATCAAAACTTTAGGAAACAACAGTTGTTTATGCTATTTTTCCCTTTACATAAAAGTATAAAGCCACTGATGAGAAGAGAGATAGAAAACATCCTTTCTATAGAACATTCAGCATGATGTTGGCTGTGAGATTGTCATAAATGGCTCTTAATATTTTCAGGTGTGTTCCTTTGATGCCTGGTCTGTTGAAGATTTTATCATAAAGGGATGTTGGATTTTTTCAAAAGCTTTTTCTGCATCTATTGAGATGATCCTATGGTTTGTATCTCACTATAGGGAAGGGAGATAGAAAATAGTGTCTCTGAATGCAACAGAAAAGTAGAGATTTTCCACTATACTGATGAAAGGACAATGAGGTATGATGACCCTTAGAATGTGGAGATGGGTCCTTATAAAGTGTAGTTCCCACACTACCCTGAAACTGAGGTCCCATGAAGTTCCCACAGTACACTGAAACTGAGGTCCCATGAAGTTCCCACACTACACTGAAATTGAGGTCCCATGAAGTTCCCACACTACACTGAAACTGAAGTCCCATGAAGTTCCCACACTTTATAAGGACCCATCTCCACATCATAAGGGTATGTCAATGGGGATGGCAATGGGTGAAACAAAGGTTGCTGGAACCATGACATTCACAGCCTTTGCACAGATCCCTGGGGTAAAAAGGAACAGAGAGCCAGGGGATTTCATGGGACCTCAATGTTGTTGGCCAATGAGGATGTCACCAGTGACCATAATTGGATAAATATTAAATGAATTACATTCATTCTCCAGGCACTGAACATCTAGATTATTTGAACCAGTTTTTCCAATTCTTTGTCTTTAGTTTATTGAAGATCACTTCTTTGAAAAAAATAGAGATTTAAAAGGGGAAATACAAAAGTCTCAGAGACTACTATGAATGACTCTACGCACACAATTAGAAAATCTAGGGGAAATGCATAACCTCCTGGAAACACATCATCTCCCAAGATTGACTCAGGAAGAGTTTGAGACCCTGAATAGACCCCAATATCAACTTCTGAAGTTGAAATAGTGATAAACTATCAACCAAAAAAGCCCTAGACAAGATGGATTTACAACCAAATTCTACTAGATATACAAAGAAGAACTGGTGCCAAGCCTGCTGAAACTATTCCAAAAAATTGAAGAGCAGAGGCTTCTCCCTAACTTATTCTATCAAGCCAGCATCAGCCTGATATCCAAATCTGGCAGAGACACAATGAAAAATGAAAACTTCAGACCAATATCCCTTATGAACATTGCCAAAATCTCCAATGAAATAATAGCAAATTGAATCCAGCAGCACGTTGAAAAGTTAATTCACCACAATCAGGTAGGCTTTATCCCTGAGATGCAAGGCTGGTTCAACATAAGCAAATAAATACATGTGATTAACAACATAAACAGAATCAAAAGCAAAACCATATGATCATCTCAATAGATGCAGAAAAAGCTTTTGATAAAATCCAACATCCATTTATGAAAAAATCTTCAACAGACTAGGCATCATAGAAACACACCTCAAAATATTAGGAGCCATTTATGACAATCCCACATCCAACATCATGGTTCATGAGCAAAAGTTTGAACCATTCCCTTTGAGAACTGGAAAAAGAAAAGGATGCTCACTCTCACCACTCCTATTCAACATGGTAGTGGAAGTCCCAGGCACAGCATTTAGGCAAGAGATAAAAGGAAAAGGCCTCCAAATAAGAAAAAACATAAACTATCTCTTTTCACTGATATGATTCTGTACAAAGAAAATCCTTAAGACTGCCAAAAGACTCCCAGGATAAATGACTTTAGTAGTTTCAGGATACAAAATCAGTATATAAAACTCAGTAGCATTTCTATACGCCAACAAGGTCCATGCTGAGAATGAAATTAAGTGCATAATCCCACTTACAGTAGCCACAAGGACAATGAAATACCTAGGCATACACCTAATAAAGGCGAAAAATCTCTACAAAGAGAATTACAAAACACGGCTGAAAGAAATCAGAGACAATACAAATAAATGAAAAAAACAGTTCATGTGCATGGATTGGAAGAATCAATATCATTAAAACGGCCATACTGCCCAAAGCAATTTAGATTCAATACTATTTTTATCAATCTACCAATGACATTCTTCACAGAAATAAAAAATACTATTCTAAAATTCATACGGATCCAAAAAAAAAGCCTGAATAGCCAAAGCCATCCTAAGCAAAAAGAATAAGCTGGAGGAGTCACACTACCCAACTTCAAACTATACTATAAAGCCACATTAAGCAAAAGAGCTTGGAATGGGTGGGAAAGCAGACACATTAGACCAATGGAATACAATAAAATTTCAGAAACCAAACCACACACCAACAACCATCTAATCTTCAACAAGGCCAATGATAGCAAGTAACAGTGAAATAATTTCTTTAAATCAAAGCCACAGTGAGATACCATCTAATACCAGTCAGAATGATTATGTTAAAAAGTCCAAAAAACAGTAACGATAAAAACAGATGGTAAGGCTGTGAAAAAGGGAATGTTTACACATTGTTGATAGGAATTCAAATCAGCTCAGCCACTGTGGAGAGCAACCATGTGGAGATTTCTCAGTGTGGAGATTTCTCAAAGAACTTAGAACTACATTTGACCCAGTAATTCCATTATCCAAAGGAAAATAATTCAAAAGAAGGCATGTGCACTCATATGTTCATTGTCAAGCTATTCACAATCGCCAGTGGAATCAACCCAGGTATCCATCAATGGTAGATTAGATAAAGAACATATGGTCCATATACACTAAGTAATACTGCATGGCCATAAAAAAGTTAAGTCATGTCCTTGTAGCAGCATGCATGAAGCTAGAGGCCATAATTCTAAGTAAACTAACACAGAAACAGAAAACCAAATACTATATGTTCTAACTTAAAAGTGGTAGCTAAACATTGAGCACACATGAGCATAAATCTGGAAGCAATAGACACTGTGGACTTATAGAAGGTTTGGGAGAGGTGGGTTAAAAAACTACCTATCAGGTACTGTGCTCCCTATCAGGGTGATGGAATCCATACAACAAACCTCAGCATCACACAATGTTCCCATGTAATGAATCTTCCCATGTACCCACTCTGTCTAAAATAAAAGCTAAAAAACAAAACAAAGGAACAGACACAATTTATAAATTTGGAAAAAAACAGAGAAAATGTAAGTATACTTATTTCTGTATGCTCTTGACCTATATAGATGTAGTCTAATCTATGAGGGACAGATAGTTCATCTCAACACAGAGATTAGTTTTGGGATATTTTCTTAATACAAATTACCATGTTCAGTAAGAAGTAGGAAAACGAAATTGTAAATGAATGATCAAAGTATCTGATTTTGAAGTTTTAAAGTAGAAGTTCTCATTTGTCTGCTTGGACTGGGCCTTTTGCATTGACTTGCTTGTTTTATCAAGTTCATAATTTGCATTAGTCCATTGTTCTCATGCTGCTATGAAGCAATACCTGAGACTGAGTAATTTATAAAGAAAAAAGGTTTCATTGACTCAAAGTTCCGCAGGGCTGGGGAGGCCTCAGGAAACTTACAATCATGGCAGAAAGGGAAGCAAATACCTTCTTCTTCACATGGTGGCAGCAAGGAGAATTGTCAAACAAAAGGAGAAAAAGCCCTTTATAAAACCATCAGACGTCATGAGAACTCACTCACTATCATGAGAACAGCATGAGAATAACTGCCCCCATGATCCAATTACCTCCCACTGGGTCCCTCCCATGACACATAAGGATTATGGGAACTACAATTCAAGGTGAGATTTGGGTGGGGGCACAGAGCCAAACTATATCATGAATGCAATGGAATTTCTGGGGCTAAGTACAGATATTTGTTATATAAATTGTTTTTAAGGAAGAAGCTTCCAAATTTCTGCCAAATTTGAACACTTAGTACACCAAAAACAGGTCCCCTGATTTTAAGAATACAAAGAATATATAATACCAACAGAATAAATCATGCTATATTATAGTAAGAATGAAAAATAAAGAGAATGGCCGATTCTCTCAGGCTGCTCCTATTTGCTAGGATATCACTGGGGAAAACCGGAGGTAAGAAACTGTGTTAAAAGGAGATCGTCCTTCACAGATATTGCAAATACCATGACACTCCAGGGCTTTCTCCCAGTGTGTGTACTCAGCGTTGGAGTCTGGGTAATAGTCGCTTTTCGTCAACTAAAGTCAGCAGGACTGTCTGCTGGCTGAGTTTGGAATTAATTATTTATCTCCTGCAGGTCCGGAGCCACTCTAGTATATTCTCATTTTGGCCCAGAGGCATAAAATCGCAAGGGCAGCATCGTGTGGAAAGTGGTAGAAAGGCTCAAAATGGCTCTTGGGAGAATCGCTGCAAACAGTACACAGCTGATTATTTCCTGGTCCTGAATGATAAGCTCTCTGGGTGCCAGAGTATATGCATTGGAATTTGGTCATGAAAAGGTTGTTTGTTTTTATGTTTGTTTTTGTTTTTGTTTGGTTTGCTGCTAGGAGCCAAGGCCCATCAATGAGTCAAAAAGACAGTTTATTGCCAATAATAGGCAACCGTCAAGATCGGACTGGCACCCTTGTTTTCTTCTCTCTGCCCAAATTGTCCTTGGAGCCTTTGCTGTCTCTTCCTATTTCTATCGTTGTCTCTTCCAGCCGAGCCACTGACATTTTAGATTCCTGTGTATCCCTGAGGTTATGAAACCTACAATGGAAGAATGTAAAATGTCTTGTTCTCATAAACAAGAAACACCTGGGATCACAGCACTCCCGGTATATTAGTCTTCCCTTCCCCTATAGAAATGCAAAATATACAAGCAGTACTGTCAGGAATATGAAACTTTTCTTCACTTCTTCCCTAGAAAATAAATTCATGGGTTTTATATATAGGAAGATACTTTTTAGAGAAGAATTTACCATTTGGACTTTTACGGATTTATTATTTTGAATATTACATACAAGATCAAAATAAGTCAAAGAGTTTTTTAAAACACGTAGCTCTTAACTGTCTTAGGGGAAACCACATGTACCAGTCACCTTGGGCTGCAGTAACAGCTACTATAGACTGGACAGGTACACAACAGAAATTCACTTCTCACAGATCTGGAGTCCAGTTGAGAAGGTGCCGGCAAGGGACAGTGCATTCCGCATCTTCTTCCCCTGCCTCGTAGGAAGCCACCATTTCACTGTGTACTCACGTTGCCTCTTCTCATGTGTTGCTAGAGCAAGATCACTCTCTCCCTCTTCCTGTTTTTAAAAGGGCACCAGGGCCAGGCGCGGTGGCTCACGCATGTAATCCCAGCACTTTGGGAGGAGAAGGAGGGTGGACGAGGTCAGGAGTGCAAGACCATCCTGGCTAACACGGTGAAACCCCGTCTCTACTAAAAATACAAAAATTAGCCGGACGTGGTGGCGGGTGCCTGTAGTCCCAGCTACTCGGGAGGCTGAGGCAGGAGAATCGCTTGAACCCGGGAGGTGGAGCTTGCAGTGAGCTGAGATCGTGCCACTGCACTCCAGCCTGGGCGACAGAGAGGGACTCCGTCTCAAAAAAAAAAAAAAGGTACTAGTTCTATCGATTAGAGTCCTGTCATTATGACCTCATTTAGCCTCATTATTTACTAAAGGCCCTGCCTCCAAATACAGTTGTCCTGAGGGTTAGGGTATCAGCATAGGAAGTGGAGGGCGGCACAATTTAGCCACATTATCACATCATAGAGGGGATCGTAGTATTTGTATGCTTGTTCCCTCCAAATCTCATGTTGAAATGTAATCCTCAATGCTGGAGGTGGGGCCTGATGGGCAGTGTTGGCTGGTGGGGGTGAACGCCTCATGAATGGCTTGGTGCCCTCCCCTTGGTAATGAGTCCTTGCTCTATTAGTTCACACTAGAGCTGGCTGTTTAAAGGGCCTGGCATCCCTCTTCTCTCTCTCTCTTGCTCCCTCTCTTCCCAGGTGACATGCCTGCTTCCCATTTGCCTCCCTTCATGATTGGAAGCTCCCTGAGGGCCTCACCTGAAGCACATGCTGGTGCTTGCTTCTTGTACAGCCTGCAGAACTGTGAGCCAAACACACCTCTTTTCTTTATAAGTTTTCCAGCCTTGGGTATTCCTTTATAGCAACACAAATGGACTAAGAGAGGAGGGGATTAGAAAAGAACAAAAAGGCTTGATAAAAGAGAGAATAAAGGCAGCATTGGGCAAGATACGATCTCTACATTCTGTCCCACTGCTTCCTAGTTCCACTCTGTTCACCTCTGAGTTTCCAGGAGCCATTCCAATGGATTATTTTGCTTTTCCCTCCTTCTTCCTATTTTACTTACTGTCTTGGAGAAGTTGACAATGTGGCCACTTTTTATCTTGAGATGCTTTTCTTCCTTCTCATTCCCTTGGTTTCTCTTGCTTCACTTATTCCCTGACTGCTCCTTCCTGCCTCTTCCATAGATTTATTTTTCCCCAACCACCTCTTAAATAGCTCCATTTCCTAGAGTTGAGGACTAGTCCTTCTTTTCTTTCTAACTCAGGTACCATTGTTCCTGTTCATTCTTTCACCTGCTGCTTTGTAATGAGGACTCAAACTGATATTTGTATCTGGTGTTCTCTCCTGCACTCTAGGATTCTATATAAACCCAACCCTTCAGACGTCGCATCTGTTCTTCAGATTCAGTGCTTCTACCATGGGGTCAGGGCATTCCCCTCTACAGTGAGATGCTTCCCCTGCTTTTTGAGATGCTGCTTCTGCTTTTCTTCTCTGATTTTTGGCTCAGTCACCTGCATAGCAGGCCTGACGGCCATCTTACCTGTCACCTCTTTCACTCTTGTATGTTTGCTGCCAGTCATACTGCTAATGCTTCCAAGTAAATCTGATACTTGGTCCCATTTCTGCTGTCTCTGTCCACATTGCCACTGCTTTACTCCAGCCATCCTCATTCCTCATGTGAACCATTAGTCATTCTCACTGCACTCTCTCCAGCCGTGCCTTCTCCAGTCCATCTTCCACATGGCAGTAGAGTGATCTTCCCAAAACAGTTATTTGAAATCATTCCCTACATTTCCAGTTTCAGTGGCTGCCACAGTCTACAATACATGATTTGAATTTCGTGCTATGGTGCACATATGCAGTAGCAACCATGAAAAAAATAATCACGCCGTCTGTTCTTGAAAGGTCGGATTTTGCTCTCATGTTTCTTTGCTTTTGCCTTTTAAAATAGAACAGCTTCTATTTATTCTTTAACCTCACCTCAAGCAGTACTTTTTAGAAAAGCCTTCAAGATTCTACCCAGCAAACTTAGAATAGCCCTTCCACAGGCTGTATTAGCAGGAAATGTGCCCACATTTCCCCACAGAGTGCTCAACACGCCGTGTTTCCTGGTTTGCTGCCACACTCATTGGCTGCCTGGATCCAGGGAAAATTTCATCATTGGTCCCGCTACGTAGCACATAG
This sequence comes from Homo sapiens, assembly GCF_000001405.40. Taxonomy (NCBI): domain Eukaryota; kingdom Metazoa; phylum Chordata; class Mammalia; order Primates; family Hominidae; genus Homo; species Homo sapiens. The sequence continues at coordinate 189,191,035 of NC_000004.12, read as the reverse complement.
TCTTTGTTTAATGAATGTATAGCAAATGTAATAATTAATGAAATGCATTATCAAATATATAGCAAATTTGCTATTAAGTGTTTGCAAGTATGTTCATACATGTTATTACATGTATAGTAAAAAAAGGTATTAAGAAAATTTGTTTCAAAAATGAGCTTTCAAGGATGACTTACATATTTTGAATAGAGATGGGGAGAAATAAAGTTTTTTTCAGATAAAGTAGCACCAGCACTGGCACAGGGGATGTTCAAATCAAGTGAGTTATTTGATGGGAGAAGTTGGGGGAAGTAAATGTGAAGAAAACCATATTGTGGCAAGCCCTGAATGTGTTATATTTTCTCTGATTAGAAGCCAAACAAAACAAAACTTTAGCACAGACTGTGTTATAGAAAGATCTTAGCTGTATTCTACCCCCAAGAGGCATTATGTACTATTTGAAATATGAGGAAATATCCAGGAATACCAGGTGGTTACTTTGCATGTAAAGGACCCTCATGAGGATTCCACTCTCCAAAGAGAGTGATTACAAATAGTTCGATTATCTTTTGTCTTGATCAGAGCTACTCATTTCTTCTTATGTGACATAAAGCAAGCTAGAAATATTTTATCATTGGTGGAATGTGTCTCATTAGAGATATGTGAATGGACTTGGGAAAATGTAAAACACCGCCCTCCTTGCACAGACAAGGCAAGTGTGGTTAGCAAGCTCAGAAATCTCTGCACCTCTGATCACAGCCTTGGCTTAGGGCCCCATTCCACTCTGCCTTTCTGTCACCTGAGTCCACTAAGAAAGTCACCTGAGTCCACCTGGACATATTCCACCTTCCTGGAACTGGAATATTGTTCCACATAAGCTCATACGCAAGATAATTGTTGGAAGGCTAAAAGAGAAGAAAGATTTGTGATATCATTGATCAAATAACACCAGATATTGTGTGACAGGTTGCAAGTGCTGTTGAGGGAAGTCAGGGACCCCGAACAGAGGAACCAGCTGGAGCCACAGCAGAGGAACATAAATTGTGAAGATTTCATGGACATTTATCAGTTCCCAAATAATACTTTTATAATTTCTTGTGCCTGTCTTTACTTTAATATCTTAATCCTGTTATCTTCATAAGCTGAGGATGTATGTCACCTCAGGATCACTGTGATAATTGTGTTAACTGTACAAATTGATTGTAAAACATGTGTGTTTGAACAATATCAAATCAGTGCACCTTGGAAAAGAACAAAATAATGCGATTTTTAGGAAACAAAGGAAGATAACCACAAGGTCTGACTGCCTGTGGGGTCGGGCAAAAAGAGCCATATTTTTCTTCTTGCAGACAGCATATAAATGGATGTGCAAGTAGGGAAGATATCACTAAATTCTTTTCCTAGCAAGAAATATTAATATTAATACCCTGGAAAAAGAATTCATTCCTGGGGGGATGTCTATAAATGGCTGCTCTGGGAGTGTCTGTCTTATGTGGTTGAGATGAGGACTGAGATGCACCCTGGTCTCCTGCAGAACCCTCAGGCTTACTAGGGTTGGGAAAACTCCGCCCTGGTAAATTTGTGGTCAGACTGGTTCTCTGCTCTCGAACTCTGTTTTCTGTTGTTTAAGATGTTTCTCAAGACAATACGTGCAGCACTGAACATGGACCCTCATCAGTGGTTCTGCTTTTGCCCTTTGTCCTGTTCCCTCAGGAGCATGTGATCTTTGTTAGACCCTTATTAGTAGTTCTGCTTTTTGCCCTTTGAAGCATGTGATCTTTGAGCCTACTCCCTGTTCTTACACCCCCTCCCCTTTTGAAACCCTTAATATAAACTTGCTGGTCTGAGGCTCAGGCAGGCATCATGGTCCTACTGATATGTGGTGTCACCTCCAGCGGCCCAGCTGTAAAATTCCTCTCTTTGTACTGTCTCTCTTTATTTCTCAGCTGGCTGACACTTACGGAAAATAGAAAGAACCTATGTTGAAATATTGGGGGAAGATTCCCCCAACAGTGCGCATGCATGTGTGCTTGGCAGAATTAGGTCTGAGACTTGATTTTATTCCACCTGGTCATGGTAGATGTTTATTGGAAACTATCTACCCTACCCCCCCCCCCCAAAAAAAAAACTAATAAATGTGAAAAGCCAAAGTGATTTAGGTCAGCCCACAACACAGGTTAATAACTTGATATTTAATTGGTTAGGACAAGGGAAATCATTGACATTCTTGAGTGGCCAGTGGTTAGTACATGATGCTTTTGAGCCAAGAAAAAAAGTTGTTCTCTGACAGGAAGTTAGCTTCAATTCCTGCTAAAGGTGAGCTTTTCTATATGTATATGTAAATCCAGACTCTATAAATTGGTGTTGATGGATTATCCCTAATCCACAACCATTGCTACTGCTACTATTTCTAATAAAAATCATAATAAGCAAATGTCATACCAATATCTTACATGTTACCACTGGGTTTTTACTTTGATATGGTTGCCAGCGTGCGATCAGTACTTCGCAACTGAATGTTGATTGGGGTTTGTGTGTGTTTGTGTCAGGCTTTAACATTTAGGTTTTTTAAGCCATAATTTTTCAAACTGTTGGCATGAGAAAATCCTTGGATGCTCTTGCACCACCCCTGATTGCTTTCTGCATCGATTGTTGGCGTCTGTGCTGCTCCACCGACACTTAATTGTAGGGCAAGAGCATTAGACAGCAGTTAACTTGTTAGTTTTTTCTCAAAACCTTGGAGACTTTCCCAAAAGTTCTGCTCCAGGAGAGATCTGGCAGCGTTCACCTGAGATGAGTCCTTTCCTTCTGCCACCTTCCCAGGACAGGGCAGGAAAGTTGGACACTTTCCGCCAAACACATGAAAAATAAGGATCAGAATCACTCCTCCAGATGCCTTTATTTCTTGCTATGGTTTTGACAAGTTTAATGAGTGCTAAATTTCTCTGTTGTATAGGAATGAAGATACAGGCATGAATATACCTCATGAAATGATTAGAATTCAATTAAAGTTAAAAGACAGCCTTACATTGTGTCAAAGCTATATCACAATTTGAAATTCATTTTCTTACGTTCTATTAAGCCTCAGATGCAGGAGGCACAGTTTTACCTTTAATAACATCAGGCTATGTTACACATTTGTCTTAAATGTATCAACCTGGTAGGAAGAAAAAAGTGTTTGCAAAAGATGTTAATTTCCCAGTCTCTGACAAGCTGTCGACCAAATGACTTTTCTGTGACAATAAATAGGTTTTGCTTGACATACTTATTTATATACTATTTAATACACCTTGTATTGAAAGGAGATGAATAATAACATGACTCAATGCCAGATTACCTCACTCTATGCAATGAGAAGCTAATTTCAAGACCTCTAATATCAAATGACACTAATCTGTTCCAAATTCTCTGTGACTGCCTTCCTTTCTTAGGAAGAAACTGTAGGAAAAGGGAGTACTGTTCCTGTTTTCTCTTATGACTAGAGAACAGTAAATATAATAAAATTATGGAATTAACTGACTAGTATAGCTTTTTCACTTTCAAAAATTTACAAATAATAAATGTATCAGAATATAATGATGGAAGTTATTTTTTATACCTCCCAATATCCTATTTGGGAGAGTTATTTAAGGTTTTTAATCTTTTAGAATTCATTCTGAAGCTATAGTTAAAGACTAGCAACTGAATATTTAAAATTTACCTTGTTAGGCTGGGCACGGTGGTTCATGCCTATAATCCCAGCACTTTGGGAGCCTGAGGCAGGTGGATCACTTGAGCTCAGGAGTTTCAGACCACCCTGGCAACATGGGGAGACCCCATCTCTACTAAAAATACAAAAATTAGCTGGGCATGGTGGCACACACCTATAATCCCAGCTACTCTAGTGGCTGAGGCACAAGAATCACTCAAATCCAGGAAGTGGAGGTTGGATGGAGCCAAGATCAGGCACTGCACTCCAGCCTGGGCAGCAGAGCAAGACTCTGTCTCAAAAAGAAATTACATTATTAATGATTTAATTTTTTCAGAAATACATCTTCTTGTATATAATAGGGATTGCTTTTGTAATTCAAAGCCAAACGATCTGAGTATATACTTAAATGTATCCTAATTAAGGGCTTTGTGAAGGGAAATTTTAGATTTTTAATTTGGTGACAATTTTAGAATCAACTAAAATATTAACTCTCTAACAGCCTAAGAACCGCACGTCAGCCCTAATATTAACTCTCTAACAGCCTGAGAACCGCACGTCAGCACCATGCTTACAAGTGATTTTATTCAATAAACATCTATACAAGCCTGACTTTTTGGTGCACGTATTAAAGAAAGGGCTTCTGGACTGCAATTGCTAGCAAAACTCTCAGGGATGGACAGCTCATACAGTGCTCAGAGCATCTGCTGTACCCACCACCTGGGTCTCATTCTACTCAGACTCTGGATAGAAGGTGAAAGATTAAACAGGGCACCCACATGGGCAAACTGAGACCTTAGCAGTCAGTTAAATATAGGTAATAAAACCTCTGCAACTACCACCCTTGTGCTTTATCAATAAATTTATTTTGGCAAAACAAACTAAGACCAATTAGTACTTTATGGTACAATTATATTTTAATATTCCCGGTCTACTCAAAGGCAAAGCTGAGGCACAATATATAATTTCAAGAGTTGACCTGAGCCAACGTGAGCACAGCTACCCAGAAGACTCAGACCCGGGTCAGCGTGGATATGAGCTCTGTGTGGCCTCTGTTACAGGCAGGCTTTTAAAACAAAAAGGCAGGCAAGGAATGGGCTGACACAAAGTTGCTGGTCAGGAATTCTCACTGGTTTACAGAAATAACAACCGTTGGTGATTGGCTCTTTGTTGTAAGGATTAGGGATCAGGTGTGTGGCATTGTTAGGTTAATTGACAGCTACTTGTGAGAGAGCAAGCAGTTTCAAGAGCTGATTCCCTAGCCCCAAGAAGGAAGGGGGATGGGACCGGGGTCTTACTCCCTGTCTCTCTGGACCTCATCATTTCTGCAGATACAAAGTTTCCTTTCTTTCTCTTCCTTGAGAGAAGGGTAATCAAAGGAAACCTCAATTGTAACATTAAGGAAAGAGAAAAAGTGGAACTAGTCACCTGCCTCCCTGGAGAACCTTAGGTTTTGCTAGGGTAGTATCACTCTTGTGTTTGAAAGTTTAGTGTGAATATTTACAAAGCAGCATGCCTTTCACAGGCAGCCCACACGTATCTGCGGTCTCCTTTATGTCCTCTTCAAGAATTTCTCCAAATTATTGCCTAATTCAAATAATGAACAATGGGGTTATTTTCACCAGTATGTCAGGTTAATGTAGACAAATCCCATCATTACTTCCTTTGTGACGGTTTGTATCAGCACAAAAATATTCATTCAGTTTTTGTTTTGTTTTTGTTTTGGTGTGTGTCTGTGTATGAAATTTGGGTAAATGGTAAGGAAACCTTTCTTAAAATTACCTCAAGAAAGTATAGCATTAGAAATTCTGGAAAGCAATATGATTATGAATTGATTTCAGGAGTCCCAACTTTATGACCTTGATATCAATTCTCATTAATAGAAAATAGAATTCATAGATAACATGGGCAGAATGCAGCACATTAAAATACACTTTTAATCCAAAAACTGTGGCTCATTTGCCGTTGGTGGCCGCATTGAGCTTTGCATTTTTCTCTTGCCACTTCATAGCACTGCAGAGTCCTGGAAGTTGCCTTGTGTCACAATTGTGAGCTGTCAACATAAGTAAAAGTAGGTATGAAACCTGATAACTTTGGTCAATTACAGAAACTCTTTTCTAACTGCAATAATGTAGTCAGCAAAGCCCTCCCAGCATTGGTTCAAAAGGTCCAGTCTAGACTATTAGAGGCCCTCTGTCCTGTGGGGGGACTTCTATGCCACCAGGTGGGCTTCTGAGCTCGGATCCTCTGTCCTGTGGGGGAACTCCTGTGCCATCAGGTGGGCTTCTGAGCTCGGATCCTCTGTCCTGTGGGGGAACTCCTGTGCCATCAGGTAGGCTTCTGAGCTCGGATCCTCTGTCCTGTGGGGGAACTCCTGTGCCACCAGGTGGGCTTCTGAGCTGGGATCCTCTGTCCTGTTGGGGGACTTCTATGCCACCAGGTGGGCTTCTGAGCTCGTATCCTCTGTCCTGTGGGGGACTCCTGTGCCATCAGGTGGGCTTCTGAGCTCGGATCCTCTGCCCTGTGGGGGACTCCTGTGCCATCAGGTGGGCTTCTGAGCTCGGATCCTCTGCCCTGTGGGGGGACTCCTAAGCCACCAGGTGGGCTTCTGAGCTCATATCATCTGTCCTGTGGGGGAACTCCTGTGCCATCAGGTAGGCTTCTGAGCTCATATCATCTGTCCTGTGGGGGAACTCCTGTGCCATCAGGTAGGCTTCTGAGCTCATATCATCTGTCCTGTGGGGGAACTCCTGTGCCATCAGGTAGGCTTCTGAGCTCATATCATCTGTCCTGTGGGGGGACTCCTATGCCACCAGGTGGGCTTCTGAGCTCGGATCCTCTGTCCTGTGGGGGACTCCTATGCCACCAGGTGGGCTTCTGAGCTCGGATCCTCTGTCCTGTGTGGGAACTCCTGTGCTATCAGGTAGGTTTCTGAGCTCTTATCCTCTGTCCTGTGAGGGAACTCCTATGCCACCAGGTGGGCTTCTGAGCTCGGATCCTCTGCCCTGTGGGGGACTCCTATGCCACCAGGTGGGCTTCTGAGCTCGGATCCTCTGTCCTGTGGGGGACTCCTATGCCACCAGGTAGGCTTCTGAGCTCGGATCCTCTGTCCTGTGGGGGAACTCCTGTGCTATCAGGTAGGTTTCTGAGCTCGCACTCATCCAGAGTGACAAGGCCTTCATCTTAAATTTTTCCCAGGGCATCTCCATTTCAGCCGACACACTCACAGAAAAAGGTCCATCTTTATAGAAATCAAAGTAATTATGACTGGCTGCTTCTGCACTGCAGTGCCGTAGATCAACATTGTGCTATGTTCATTACTGACAAGTACATGCCTTAAACTGTGAGAATTCAAACTGTGAGACAGATCCAGAAACAGTTTGGAAAAAGCTTCCTTCCTAATAGCATTGCCGTTATATGCAACACCAAATGCAGAATTCTAAAAAAGAAGCTGGACATACGTGCACAATATTGACACTCCTCTTTGCTTTGTATGACAGTGTCTTTTGTTACTGCATTAAAGTAACAGTGAGACAGCTTTTTTCCCAAATATCTCTATGTATTGTACATTTTAAACATTCTTAACATTGAGTATATCTTTCAACATGAAGACGTGTACATTTTAAACCTCTACCAATACTTTCCTCCGATAATTAATCACAGGGCTAGCTGATCAGCCTGAAGTTAACTTGAAGCTGTGTGAGGCATTTGAAATCCTTCAGCTCCCAGTTGTGCCAGCCATTAGTAACACAGGGCTGTGGTTTGCAAATTATCTTCATCCACACGTATTCCACCCCTTCTGTACAACAGTGTAGATGTTGCACTCAAGTTGTTTATGGCTTTATTTGTTTAATAAGGAAATACGTTATTTTCAGGCATTTGCTGCAAACTGTTTCATAGGAAATAGGGAAATGTTTATTAAAATACTATAGCATCAGAGGAACTTTTTGTATTTTATTTTAAGAGAAACTATTTCTCTTACGGCTTACATATGATTGTGTTAACAGGTCAAACACAAAGGTAGATTCGTTTCATCTAGGTATTTTTAAGGGAAATATTTAACAAACTTTTTCCATTTTTGTATCTATATGCATCATGTATTTGATTTCTCCAATGATTCCAAACAATGCCACAATATGTTTTACAAATCTCTTTCTTTTAAAGGGCAAAGTAATTCATTTGTATTCTTGCAGTTCTTGAATGACCCTCAAAAAACCAGTTTCAAGTTTCTAAAGGGTAGTTAGTTATAAATAATGAAAGAAAAAGAGTAATTTTTTCATGCTGTGGGAAAATATGTTGAAAGTAACCTTTTTAGTTTTGTAGAACATAAAAATCAACGTTTGGTTATATTCTTTCCGGCTAAGTGTTCTTGCTGCTTGTTTGCTACATGGGATTATTTCTACATTTTTTTGTTTTATTTTGCCAGCTAGTTCTTTGGTGCTACCCATTCAAACTGTGAAAAGAATATGTTTCTTGATAGCAACTTTCTTGTTGAGCTGGCTTTACACCTTTACATGTTCAAAACTATGATTTGTTTCCACACATAATAGGACTAAAATGTGCCACAATTCCCAGAGTAATACACAAATGAGCAATAAACAAGATGAGTAGATTCAAATGCCTATTGATGCAATTCATAATTCTTAGAGTATTGAGTCATAAATTGCTATGTTATATAAAAATATATAACATATTTAAGGTATATTCTAAAGCAAGTTACAATGATACTTGGAAAGAAACACATCAAGTAATTATATTACTTTAATATACTAATAGAATGATACAGCATTTTAATATTTATTGCATTGCATTCTTATTGCTTTCTACAATCTTCCATATATTATCCATGTCAGGGAAATTGTACACATTATATGCCAAAATAGGTGGTATAAATCTTCTAGCCATGAGACCAATAAATGGAATTATTAGTCATCCACTTAGAATATATAAATAACTAAAATACTTCAATTAAAGGATGAAATACTATTCTATTGTTTGTATCTAAGAATAAGATAAGGAAACTGACACATCTATTTCTTAAATATTAACCTGACCTCAGTTTTTCTGAGTGTAAAGCTAGATGTGACAGTGAAATCCTGAGGTCAGGTTAATATTTTAGAATAGGTTCAAACCATCTAGGCCAAACCTAAAGCCAGGGCTGAGCCATTTAGGTTTCATCTCTAGCTCTATGGAAGTGACTCCACATCAACCCAAAGGCTTCTTCCGGTTTTCACTGGGAGGCTTTAAGCAGGTTCTCAGCTAAGACCCGCTGTTGGACTTTGCTCATCTGCAGCTCTTATTCAGGTTTCCTGTTGGGTGCGCGATGGTAAAGTCACAGAGACCTGTCAGGAACCACCAAGGCACTTAGCTGCCAAGACTTCCCCAAACATCATTTTCAACCAGCTTCACAAAGGCCAATGAAGACCACTGAAGCCACGTCCAAGTGTTTCAAATGGGAAAACGAGTCTCAATGTTGCAATTTCCTAGACTTAGATATATTTAATGAAAGAACTCAATTTACTCACAGTTAATGTAGTAATGAGTAGAAAAGAAATGAGGATAGGTGGAGCAATCCCATTTTTGAGTGGTTTATGTGGTTTCTTTGGAAAAAGAAAGAAAGAGGGAGACAAATTACAAAGGAAAGCATGACCAAGCAGAGAAGCCTTTAGAGAATTAACCAGAAATGAGAATTAGAAATCAGAATTAGAGAATTTCAGTAATTTGCCCAGAACCACCCTGAGAGTTGGTAAAAGGGCAAATGTTTGAACCCTTGTACTTCCTCTGTGAAGTGGAAACTAGAAAAACTGCGCATTGTTCAAAAGACACAACAGGATCCACACAGAACTGGGATTCCAAGCACATGCCAAGAATGATAGAGTCCAATTTCACACGATATGGATGGGAGAGAATTCCTAACGAGAGGTCGTCAGCATAAAAACAGGAGGCCTATATTCCAAAAGTGAACTTCTGAAGAGATTTGAAATATCAAAGAGAAAGGAAAAAATATAAAATAATAACAAGATTTTCTTAAAAATACAATTTCGTGTTTTAAAAAATCAGATATTTTACACATTATATAAATTGAATAAAGTATTAGTGGGCTTAGTAAATTAGTGGACTTAGTTAACTGAGATATAGACAAGAGGAAATGACTGAATATAGAGACCAGTGAGGAAAAGAGATAGAAAATATGAAAGAGAATTTGAAAAGTGGAGGAGAGAAGCCAAGGCTCCAGCCATTATCTATTCGAAGTTCAAAGCAGGGAATTGAGACAATGGTTAAGATGCAATCTTCTAAATAAATTTGATGAGAGTTTTCTAGAATTAAAGAAAGATGTGAGTGCTCAGACTGAAGATTTATATTAAGTTTCAAGCAGCACGAATAAAAGCAAATTCCCACTTAGACACACTGCGGTACAGAGTTGAACCATCCAAAACAGAGGAACACTGCAGGTTACTTGCAAAGGAACAAGACAACAGATTTGTCTCTGGCATTGGTAAATGTCAGGTGGCAATGCAATCATTGTAAGGAAAAACAAAGGCAATTTCAGACATGAAAGACTGAGTTTACCGCTCACAGAGGCTTGCTGAAAATTCTCCCCAAAGATGTGCTTCAACAATGAAAAACCCAGAAGAAGAAATAGATAGAAAGTAATTGTATACATAGAAGTTGGTAAAACTTGTTACATTTAGATTGGTATTGATTGGAATTGAAAAGAAACCTTAAGACAATTTTGGTGAAACTTTTAGAAAAATGAATATTAAATTCTACATCTCAAAAATATGGAAGATGAGAAGAGTATAGAATTGTATTGTTTGGGAAGATGACAAAGATACTGAGCCACTTTAGTCTTTCCAAAGATAAGCATGCATGTTGACCATTTCAGGGTAAATATAAAAGTATACTGCTTTAATTTCAAACCGGAGAAAGCCAGTATGGGAATTAAGAATTAAGGAAATGCAATCTATACAACAGTGGGCAGAGGAAGGAGAAATAGAAAACAAAGTAAAAATATGAAAAATTAGAACCCACAAAACCAGGTCATAGAAACTATATTATTTTACAATATTAATAAAAAAGAAAATAAGTCAGTCTTATTTTAAGACAGAAACTTTCAGCATAAATAACAATAAACCATCTTTGTGAACAGTATGAAGAACCTATATTTTATCAATAAGAGGACAATATAAAAAATTGTAGTACATTTGTAAGATAAAGTAGTATATAGTATTGGGACTCAGAAAACAATAACCCAAAATGAAGTCCTCAGAAACAAATGTTTTTCCCTGTCTCCTGCCCACCTATCTCAGTCTCATTCTCCCCTGAGGCCAGCCATAGAAACTGGAATCCCTCTTCCACAAAGCAGGTTATAGAAACCAGAATCCCTTTTGCCCTATGCCAGCCATAAAACCTAAAATATTATTCCAGCTTTGCCCCCTCAATTCCATGCAAAACTGGCAATAAAGACACTCTCCGACCGACTTTGACTGCAGGTCATGAGACCCCATTGCAGAGAGGGCCCTGCCCCACACCAGAGGGGAGGGATGATGCCCAGAGAGGCCAGGAAGAATCTGCATGTCAGGCCTTGCTGGGTGCCCCCACTCAGTGTCTCAGTCCACCCAGTGTCTCAGCACTAGATCACACCCTTTTTGTTTAATCCTATTTCCACACAGCTGTCCATACGTTGTTGAACCTAAGCATAAAAATGGACAATTTCCCCTGCATCTCTGGGTCCGCAGTCTGAAGACTCCACTAAGATCAAATAAATTTGCCTGTCTTTTCTCCTATTAGTCTCCTTCGTGAGTTGATTTTTCAGCAAACCTGCAGAGCATAAAGGGGAAGCTTTCCCCTGGCCTCGACAACAGGATGGCCTGGGTCTATGACACCCACATAGACAGGCCCTGGAAATAAGTTAGAGAGAAAAAGGTGAGCTGAGAATGGCACACATGACATGCCTCCTCAGTGAATAAAATCCCGACTCCCGAAAGCGGCCTGCGTGGCATCAGGGGATCCCTGCTGTCTCCAACTCTGCAAACATCTTCTCTTGCCCATCTCCCCCTCAATCAATGTGAGCTGTTTACAACTGTCTTTCTTCTAGCAACCTGACCCTGTGTTCATAGCAGGTCCCTGCACTCTGCCTCAAGGGCTCTTCCTCCAGATCTGCACACAATTTGCTTTGGAACTTTCTGAGATCTCTGCTCACAATCACCTTTTTGGAGAGGTTCTCCTCACCACTGTCTCCAAAATGTCAGCCTCTGTTGTGCTCTGTCTCCTCATCCCTTCCCATGGCCTTCAATTACTTATTTACTATGTCCATCCTTCCCAGGTCAGTCTTTTCCATTCGCATGCAGGCTTCATAGGGACAGAGCCTGCCACAGACCGGTGCTCAATGAATTCGATCCGTTGGATGAATGAATGCATATGATGTTTTATTATGTGTTAATAACCATAGGTTTGATCTTGTTTAGAGATGCGGACATATGTAGGGAAGAGTGAGAAGGAAAATAGCAGAGCTTCTTTCCCTTTTCCTCCATCACAGGGTCTCTCTAATGACAGAGGATACAGAACCCTCCACAGAGTCATGAAGGGTTCTAAGCCATCCAAGGTTACACGGCCTCTGAAATGGCCTTCAAAAAAATTATGTCCATGAGAAAATTATGGCAGTAAGGGAGGTCTGATCTTGCCAACGCCTCCTTTTGCCTCTAGCTTTCCAGTTGCCTTAATTATTCCTGGGCCTAGGTAAATTTGGAAGACAATTAGGTTATAATTTAAATGATAACAGCCTTTCCTCAGAACTCAACCATCTTTGTAAAGCTAATGAGAGACCATTGGGCTAGTGGGAGAAAAAGAGCTTAAATTCTGCTAAGGTATAGACTGGTCACAAGATAAACAACTTCCCCAATTACTCCTGCAGATACCATCACTATAGTAGACTGGACTTTTGAAATGGCTTTTCAGGTTTTTTGCATGTCTGACACAGATGGCTCCAACTGGACCTGCCAAACCACCCATGTAGCACCCACCACTCAGGAGCAATTCAGCTCAAGAGGCAGCTTCAACTGCTTACGAGTTCATCTCCACCCCAACCAATTAGCAGCAAACATCCATTTCCTAGCCACCGCTGCCCCTTCTAAACTGCCTTTGAAAAACCCTTAACCTATGAGAGCCTTCAAAGAGATTGATTTAGGTAATAACTCTGTCTCCCACATGGCCTGGCCAGTCTCACATCAATTAAACTCTTTCTTTACTGTAATAATGTGGTCTGTCTTTGTGCAGCAAGCAGGAAAAACCCATTGGGCAGTTAAACCTCTTTCCCTGGTAATAACAGAAACCCCTCCTTTGGATTGGCAGGACACACCTGTTAGCCTGAGATAACACTCCTAGTTGTCCACAGTGTGAGTGGAATGTGTGGGGTTCCATGTGCCCTGGTGATCAAAGCAGGGGTGCTGAGAGGACAGTGAGCCCTCAGGGTATGACCAGGAGCTTGTGGAAAAGAGAAACGTGGGAGCCAGAGGCAGACGCCAGACAGGATCAGTGGCACATCACCACAGGCCAATCTACTGACAAGAGCAGCCTCTGTGGCTCAGGCCACCGATGACCAGAGCCCCTAAGGCAGACTGTATTATGCAAAAGTGGCCACAGGGATATTTCCCATTCCACATGCTCTTGCAAAGGGATCTTGACAATATTTGCACTGAGCATTCTGAATTATGTTCCCTTCCTTTGAATCTGAGTGAGCCTGTAACTTGCCTGTAACCTGGACAGTGCAGCAGAAGTAACTTGTGTGCTTCCCTGGGCTGGGTCCAGAAAGGTGATGACCACGGGGATACTTGCTTTTGAAGAGCTCGGTTTTCATGGAAACAGATTTCTGCCTTCAAGCACCTTCCCCATTAGCTGGGGAGGAAGCCCTAACTAATCCATGCAGAGAGATCAGATAGAGGTGCCTGGGTGCCTGGCCAGGACGTAGCCATTCCTTTCCTGTGGTCTCAGCTTCAGCCACCACCTGTGGGCAATTCATTGAGAAACCACAAGCCAGAGGAGCTCTTCCGTCTTCAAAGCGCAGATGCTATGAGACACAATACAGTCACTGTTGCTTTACTCACCACATTTTAGAGTGACTCGTTAGCAGCATTAGTGACTGGAATAGGCTCCCCTGGGCATAGTTACAGGGAAGGTTAGGCACCTGGTAGACCCATACACCACTAAGGGGAGAAAAAAGAGGAAGAGGAAATTAGAAAAAAAATAGTCATTTATTAAAAAGAGATTTCTTTAATAAAAATATATTTATTCTAAACAGATAGAATAAGAGAATGTTTAAGCCAGAGGAATTTGAGACATGTTTAAAACTGGCATTTAAAATAGTTCTTACTCCAGTACTTGTTGTGGTAAGATACCTTTGGGGAGATCAGACTCAGAAAAAGTAGAAAGCTAAGTGTAAAATTACACACAAAATGTTGAATGTGATCATATAAATATAAAATATTTAGCATAGAAAAAGGCACATAGTGGATATTAAAGGATTAATATTATTACCATTGGCATTGTCACTACTATAGTTAATAGCTATTCATCTCCTCCTGATGACAGCCACATATACATGGACAAGGGAAATGCTGATCTGGAATCCATTTATAATAAAATTTAAAAACTAAGGGAATGTTCATTCTGTATGTCTACTTGAATCCTTAGAAGAATTAGTATCTATTTACAAAAAGAAACATACTTGCAATCCTCAAAACTCTAAATAAATAAACCCACTAGGTAATTAATTATTACTAGAAAGAGGAATCATGGAAAAACTCATGCATTTTTGGTGTAGCAATTGCATACTGATTAGTATAGTTGCTTGTAGTCTCTTACATTTCAACAACATTTCAAAGCAGCCAGTGAACCTGTACTCTGAAATTGATAAGGCAAAATGCTTCTTTATGAGAAGTAAAATGATTTTGACAATAACATCTTTAAAGTCTCAACCGACACCATCATGCCCACTGAGCTGAAGGAAATACTGAATTACAGAACTTTGTAAAAATACCGTCAAAGGTACTTTTCTTAACCTGTGAGAATACTGATCCTTACCTTCGGTTGGCAGTGCATACCAGTGGTCAAGTTTATTATCTGGGAAAGTTCTTATTGCAGTGCCTTGTCATGGCAAATTTGAGTGTTATTAATCACGTGATTTAACATCAAATGTATCTCACTGACGATGTCTCTTAATAGGATTAAGATATACTTCTAAATTTTTACACCAAAATATTCAAATTGGCAATTTATGAAGTGAGATATAATATTGTTATCACAAATGTATGTACATTTTCTTTAGCTTGAGTATTTAAGCTATCTCCCTTCTATAATGCAGTTCTGAAGGATGCTACATGAAAAGAGAAGAGTCATATGACTTTTGATGATTACTCTTGCATACACTGTTTTAAAATGCATATTAAACATTTATTGAATGCCCACCATTTGTACAATGCTACCCTAATAGAAACTTATTGTATATACACGTGTGTGTGTGTGTGTGTGTGTGTGTGTGTGTGTGTGTGAATGTATGACAGGGGTGAGGTGACAGAAAAACCCAAAGAATGATAATAAGTGGAAAGGACACATGAGGAAGGGGATGTGAGTAAAGATACGATAATCTTTGGCAAAGCGTGGGATTAACCTACCATGAGGACCTAATCTGTGCAATTAAAGTGAAAACATCAAATAATTTTAAATATTAGAATTGTCATGGCTCTACTCATGTCTGGGAGTAAGACTGAGAGCTGTTAAAGAAAATGTTTTCAAATCCTGTGTTGGTAACTTGATTAATGGAAGATACTCAAGACAGCAACCAATTTATTTTTTAAAATAAGCCAACATAAGTGGACACATCAGTGAACAATGACAAAATGCTCTCTAATAGCTATACCTTTCCTCACTGTGAATAAACTGTGCAGACTGAGAGGCTCCTTGTACGGCCCAGGGTAATAGCTGATTTTGCACCTGACCTATGGACTCGTTGATGCTGAAAGCCAAACCTGCTATGGACGTACTGTTCTAAGACTGCTTGAGGGAGCCTCACGTTCACCACAATACATTTATCGATCAGCTGGATGCCTTCACTCATTACTTCATTTATATTTCTCTAGCTACAGACTCATGCAGTAAATAAATGGAGTAAGGCAGTAAGATGCAGTGCAACCAGCAGGGACTGGCTAAGTCATTCATTCTTCTCAGTGAGAATGCGTCTCATATGCCAGGCTCCGGAACGACAGTTGATAACTAGCTGGCTGTGTTCTAAGAGAGGAGGCTGACACATAAACACACGTGGGGAATCTTGGGATGAGAGCTGCACAAGAAATGCTCCTGCAGAGTGCAGTGGGAGCCCGGTAGATGGAGAGACCTACATTTCTGTGGGCTCCAGAAAGACTTCAGGAAATGATATAACTATGAACTGCTTGGGGTGAAGAGACAGTACGGTAAAGCCACAGAGGCACAAGAAAACATCGTCACAGTTGAAGATCCTTCAAAAAAATTAATTTCAGGCAATTGAATATGTTAATCAAAATAAGGCAATTTTGGCCGGGCGCGGTGGCTCACGCCTGTAATCCCAGCACTTTGGGAGGCCGAGGCGGGCAGATCACAAGGTCAGGAGATCGAGACCATCCTGGCTAACACGGTGAAACCCCGTCTCTACTAAAAATACAAAAAATTAGCTGGGCGTGGTTGCAGGTGCCTGTAGTCCCAGCTACTCAGGAGGCTGAGGCAGGAGAATGGCGTGAACCCGGGAGGTGGAGCTTGCAGTGAGCCGAGATCGCCCAACTGCACTCCAGCCTGGGCGACTGAGCCAGACGCCGTCTCAAAAAAAAAAAAAAGGCAATTTTGTTGCTTTATGATGTCATTTTTAAGGGAAATATTTTGGTCTTCATTAAAATTTTCAATGTGCTGTGCACCATTTCACCTCTTACAGTAACGTGAAGATGTTTATGTGAACGATTGTCACAGTCACGGAAGACAAGGTGATTCCACGCGTGTAAACCATACTTGTTTTTCAGATCGATCTCATGTTTTTCAGTGTTTCTCTCCTTTCTTGCGTTCATATTTTTCAAAAGCAGAAATGTGCACAGCTGATTAATGATTGTTCTCCTTTTATTATTTACAATAATCTCTTCCCCATTGCCTATCAGAAAAATTACAGATAATCATTATGAAATATTTAATTAATGGCAAATAATTTAGATAAATGAAAATTTGCTGATATTATCATCAATTTGATGCATAGTCTTAGAGCCGTTATCCCCAACCAGATCTATTCTCACTGATTGAGAAGACAGAGAAAAGCTGGATAGAGACATCACCATTGACATGGAGGAAAGGAGAGAAACGGATGCAAGGAGCTCTTACTGTCACCAACCCACAGAATGACCTTGGGTTTACAGCCTCTCCAGGCATCACATTAACCATGGGTAATGCAAGAAGAAACAGCAGTCCCAACTCTCACCGCATATTTCATGGAGATGAAGGGAGAGTTAATGAGAAAATGTTAGTAAAACATTTTAAGCTCCTTTGTAGGAAGACACTATATAAATACAGAGCAATAGTATCAGTCATTTTAATGGGTTGGAGATTTTTACTGCTTGAGAAAGATACCTAGTTTGAGTTATGCTGGTCTTGCATTGCTGTATATCCTTTGCTTTATAACATAGCACAGGTGTGTTAAACTTCTAACTTTCTATTATCTCTGCATATTGGGGATGTGGCTTTCTCAACCAGCAGCTCTGCACTTAAAATTCCAAAGGGAAGGTTCGATACTGAATGGCTTTTGGATTCCATGGTGATGGGCCGTGTGCTGAGAGATGTATTATTTATTACCACTATGCATAAAACAAAATCACAATAAAAAGGCAAATGCTGACTGGAGAATATAACCTGTCAGCCAGGTTGGTGGCTGCAGAAATCCCAGGGCAAGCATTCTTACTGCAGTAACTCAGCGGTCCCACTCCCCTTACTCTCTCAAGCAATAAAAGGGCAAGAAATCATTAGAGGTTCAACCAAGGAGCCGGGCTTTCCAGGATGACAATGCACTGCTCACTTCACATAACTGCAAAGAGTTATGTTGGAGCTCTGACTTGGAAGGCAGTGTTATACATTTCTTGAGCAACTACATTTTACCAGTGTTTCAAACAGTACAATTTCAGACCATAGTCTGTGTGAATATGTCCAGAGGGGCACCCCTCGTCTTTTCTCTGCCAAATAGACCCATGTGGGCAGTGCTGCTAGAAAAGAAAGCTTTGAAGTAAGAACCAGTTTTATTTACATCTGCTGCAAGGCACATTAGTAATCAGCACTGGCCTTTGCGAATCTCCCTGTTTGAATCACATTGGAAACATAACAAGCAGCATAAGGACCGCCTCATGTTTCCCCTGCCTGTAAGGTTTCTCAGGATATGGCACCAACTTCCTTCATGTTGTCATTGGTCACGTCTCTCTATCACTTGGCTCACTCTTTGTTTTTCCCATTCCACCTCCTTCTGTCCTCCTGGTTCACTCACAGTGTCCACCCCAACCGTGATCACCCCTGTCTCACAGCCTTGCTCCTCCTGACTCAGAAACTTCTTCTTCTTCTGTTGAGCTTCTCTCCTGACAGAATCCCACAGCACATCATCTCTCAAAACTGCTCAGTCTCTGAAACTGGACATGCTGAAATTATTTTCCTATTCCGTCTCTTTCCTTGTCTTAGCATCCTATCCCTCAGCCCTTCTCCCCTCCTATGCCTTAGGCTTCTGTTACCATGGCCTTTCTTCACTTGATTCTGACCTATTCTTGTAGTCCTGGGCCCCCCTGTGAGTTAAAGTCCCTTCCCGCCTAGCCTGGACCTCGCAGTCTGGTAAGAGTGCTCTCACCAGTGCCCACCATTTTCCTGTTTCTCATGCTCCCTCAGCATGTTTGCTTGGTCCTTTCCAGCAGGTGATTTTTAACATGCGAGTGCCTGAAAATCAGAGACATGGGCTTCCCTAGCTTCTTTTACATCAAGCTCCAAATCTATATTCACAACTTTGATATCCAGGGTGATATTCAAAATATTCAGCAATTAGGGAGGAATGGGCACTGAGTGATCAGAACTAGAATGCATGTTTTCCGAGGCCTTCTGCTGGGAAGGACGTGGGCTGGAATGGCAGATACGATGTGGAGAGAGCTCGGCGTGTGAACCCTCAGAGCCACATACACCACAACCGTTGTGACAGCACTGCAGTATTTTAAACACAGGCATGACTGAACCACTGGGCACTGGATGAGTGTCAGCTTCGGGGAATTTTTTCTCCCGTTACAGAGAAAGACCCTCCTCCAAACACACCTGCGCACACCTCTGTGGAAGGCTCACTCTTGCTCTGGGCTTTTGTTAAGTGCTCCCTCCCTCATCCTCTGGGCCCAAAAATCTACCCACCTACCTGTCTGTATACCACTCATGATTTTCCTTGTCCTAAAAGTAATATTAACTTCAGCACTGTCTTTTTATTTTCAGCCTCCTCAGAAGAGTTAGTCAGATGAGTTGATCTTTCAAAGGCAAGGTTAAGACTTTACGTTTAATTTCAACTCACAACAGCGTGGCCTCCGCTCGTCCTTCTCTGAAGAAACAGCTCCAGCATGGCCACCTGTGCACCCCCAACTATTAACTCAAGGCTTCCATTTTCAGAGCATTCTGTCTGACACGTTGGGAATGTTTAACCCTGCGAATCCTCTTCTTTCCTTGGTACTTTCTCTTTTTTGGTTTCTGTGACACACTTTCTCAGACTTCGTTTTCCTCAGAACATCACTTTCTTGTCTCCTCGTATGGCAATCCTTTCTTCATCTATCCTTTAAAGGTGGGTGTTCCTGAAAGGTGTGCTCTCAGCCTACCCTGTGTGTCCTTCACTCACTTCTGGGCTTATGGTGTCCAAGGCTGCAGCTCCGGGCACGCTCCCAGCCCCGACGCCAGCACACACAACAACGTCCCTGCTTCAGGAGCACACTCACGCCCCACCACAGTTCCTTTGCTCCTCTCCCCTCCTTCTCAAATGTCGATTAACTTAGCCACTTCACCTGCCTTCCAGCCCCACCACTTTAATTCAGGCCCTCTTACACCTTCTGATACTTCAGCTCCTTTCTGCATTAATACCTCATCTCTCCTGCCATTGTTTTCATTTCTAAAACTCATAATTATGCACTGTGGGCAAACCTTTCAAACCTTTCCATTACCCGCACACACACACAAAACCCTTCAAACGTAACATTCAAAAGACTAGCTTTCAACTTACTTTTCAAACTTCCCTGACCAATATTCTAGCTAACCTTCCTTTCTTCCTGTTCCCCACATACATACATCTGTGTGTTATGTGCCGAATTGTTCCCTCACAATTTATATGTTGAAACCTTAACGTTTGTTTGGAGATGGGGTCTTTTAATAAGGTAAATAAGGTTAAATGAGATCGTAAGTATGGGGCTCTTGTCTCACAGAACTAGCTTTCTTACGAGAAGAGGCAGAGACCCTAGCAATGCTCACACAGAAAGGAAAGGCCACCTGGGGACAGAGAAAGAAGGCACCTGTCTACAAGCTGAGAAGAGAGGCCTCAGGAGACACCAGCCCTGCCAGCACCTTGATTTTGGATTCCAGCCTTCAGAACGGTGAGAAATACATTTCTGCTGCTTAACCCACCTGTTGGTTTTTTTTTATTATGTCGACACTGGCAGACTACTGCACTGCGCCTTTGCCCATGCTCTTCTCTTCAAAAAAGTGATACATCCCTTTTTAACTTGAGAACATCCTGTACATCCTCCAGTGCCCAGGTTCAACATAGTTTCTGGGGCAAAGCCTTTCCTCACCTCCCCTCAGCCATCCTTGGAAGGCTGGTAATTCTGGTCACAGCACCAGTGTTTTGGTGATGGTGGGGTATTGACTTAGCTCATGGGTAATACCCATGTTCCATTCTAGGTGGTGAATTCATAAGAAAAGGTATTGGGTCTCATTTAGGCGTGGAATGCTGGGATAGGGAAAGAGAAACACATAGGAGGAGAATCTCAGGATTTACACTTTGAGAGACAGAATACTTTTGAATGATGACGTGGTCTGGGATGCGGCCGTAAGAAGTAGGTTAACTGAAACAAAAGAAAGTTCTGAATTTCCAACAGCAAAGCTTTCTGAAGCCAGTGTGGTGCAATGAAGAATGTATTTTGGCCGGGTGCGGTGGCTCACACCTGGAATCCCAGCACTTTGGGAGGCCGAGGCGGGCGCATCACGAGGTCAGGAGATCGAGACCATCTTGGCTAACATGGTGAAACCCCGTCTCTACTAAAAATACAAAAAATTAGCTGGGCGTGGTGGCGGGCACCTGTAGTCCCAGCTACACTGGAGGCTGAGGCAGGAGAATGGTGTGAACCCGGGAGGCGGAGCTTGCAGTGAGCCGAGATCGTGCCCCTGCACTCCAGCCTGGGCGACAGAGTGAGACTCCATCTCAAAAAAAAAAAAAAAAAAAAAAATATATATATATATATATATATATATATACAGAGAGATAATTAATGAAGAGAAATGGTAGTTTGGAAGAAACAGAAAAAAAAAAAACATAAAAGTAGGCTGGGTGCGGTGGCTCACACCTGTAATCAGCACTTTAGGAACCCGAGGAACACCTGAGGTCAGGAGTTCAACACCAGCCTGATGAACATGGTGAAACCCCATCTCTACTAAAATACAAAAATTAGCCAGGCGTGGTGGCAGGTGCCTGTAGTCCCAGGTACTCAGGAGGCTGAGGCAGAAGAATCTCTTGAAACTGGGAGACAGAGATTACAGTGAGCTAAGATCGTGCCACTGCACTCCAGCCTGGGTGACAGAGTGAGACTCAGTCTCAAAAAAAAAAAAAAATGTATTTTTAAAATTTTATTTGCAGATTATTTGTTTCTAGTATAAGTAAACATTATTAAATTTCTTTACTGATTTTTGTGGCTTGCTAATTTGACTTGTTAGTTCTGCTAGCTTGTTTTTAGATTTCTTAATATTCTACAAACAAGATTGTATGTCATTGATGACACTTTACTTTTTCTCTCCCCACTCTATTATGAGTTTTGTTTCTTTTTCTTGCCTTATTGTCCTGACCAGAACACCCAGTGAAATATTAAACAAAAGTGGTGAGAGTGAAAATCCTTGCCTTGTTTCTGATATTGTATCAAGCATTCAGTATTCGACTATTAACTCTGAAGGTGTCCATAGGAATTTTGTAGATTACTTTTATAGAGTTCTTTCTCTAGACTGCTGAGAACATATTTTTAATGAGGCTGAATATCTCCCGTGTCTTTTCTCTGTATCAATGGAAATGATCATATAATCTCCTTTATTTAGTTAATATGGCGAATTGCTTTGATAGATTTAGATATTAAACCAATTTTATACTGCAGAGATAATGCTGAGTTATTCAGAATACATTAAAGTTGATATGTATTGTTGGATTTATTTTGTTTACATTTGATTAAGAGGTCTTGCATATATGGATCTACATGGTTTTTAAAAATTTATTTGTTTGGCTTTGGTATTATGGTAATATTGGACTCAAAAAATAAATTGGAAAGTATTACTATTTATTTTCTGGAAAACTTTGTATAGAGGTTTCTATTATTTCTATAAGCAGCAACAATGAAGTGAATTTCTATGAAATTTATAAAAAGCTGTAAATTTACCTCTAAGTGCTGCTTTATCTATAGGACAATTTTCCTCATGTTTTTATTTTCCTTCGGTTAAATGCATTTTAATTTCCTTGAGATTTCTCCTTTGACCAGTGGATAAAAGTATGTTGTTTAGTTTTCAGTTGCTGGGCAATTCCACCAGTTTATTTGTTATTAATATCTACTCTTTTTCTCTGTTGTTAGTGGATATATTCTTTATTATATTAATCCTTTTAAATTTTGAGATGTGTTTTACAGCCCACCATATTGTCTATCTTATGTCAATATTGTATGTGTGCTTGGAAGAATAGGCAAAATCTTGTCTTATTGCAGGGAATATTTTCTAAGTATCAATTAGGTTAAAGAAATTTATATTCTTGTTCAAGTCTTCTGTATTCTTATAATATTTTTGTACTACTTTTATCGATTCCTAAAGTATTAACATTTTTAATTTTTTCCCTTATTTTAATTATGTCATATTTTGTTGTAATTATTTTGGATATCTGTTTTTTGGTGGAAGAAAATTTATAAATGTTGCATCTTCCTTCCCTGAGACTCTTTTACCATTACAAAATATCTCTTTGTCACTGTAAATATTTCTTACTCTTAAGTCTATTTTCATTGCTTAAAAAAATCTAATAATGTTTGAAGTTTGTCTGGAATATTTAGTCCGTTTACATTTAAAATGATGGTTAGTAGGGTAGTGAGACTGATATTTTGTTATTTGTTTTCTATTAGTCTTATTTCTTTTTTTTCTTCCTCCTTTACTGCCCTTTTCAGTATTGAACAGACACTTGTAGTGTATCTTTTTAACCCCGCTACTGAGTAGTTAGCTATATATCTTTGAATTTTTTTCAGAGTTGCTCTAGTGATGACAATATTATTTTAACTTATCAAAATCGACTTTAATTTAATGTTGACTTATTTCTTACAGAATATAGAAAATTTGCTTCATTCAATCTGCCTTTTTATTATATTCAAATGTTGTATACAAACACATAAAATAAACTGAAAAAGAAACACTGTTGTAACATTTGCTTTATACAATCATATGCTGTTTAAAAATTAAGAGATAAAAAGAATGTATATACAAACATTTATGTATGAATATGTGTGTGTGTGTGTGTGTGTGTGTGTGTGTGTATAATATTTTGTGTTTGCCCAGATACTTACCTCTTTCAGTGCTTCTATTTTTGTTCATGGAAGGTCTCATCTGGTACACTCTTCCTCAGACCTGAAGGACTTAACTGGATCATTTCTTGTATGTAGGGCATGCCTGTTAACAACTAATTCTCCTAAGTTTCTGATAAGCTGGAAATGTCTTATTTCATGTTCATTTCTGCTAGGTAGTATTCTTGAATATGGAATTCTTGGTTGATTTTATATCATTCTAATGTTTTCTGTCCACTGTTTTTTCTGAAATTAACCATTATTTATTGTTCTTTCCTTTATATGTTATATATTATTTAATTTTTTTCTTCATTATCTATGGTTTACAAGAGTGTGTCTGTGTGTCTAGTCATAATTTTCTTTGCATTTATCTTATTTGGGGTTTGGTGAACTTCTTTGACCTACAAATTGAAACTTTTGTAAAAGTCAAGAAGTTTTTGGCCATAACTTAAATTTGGTTTTCTGCTCCCTATCTCTACTGTCTTTTGGGAATTTTAATTATTGCTTTATTGAAGTTAGCCCTCAGATTACTGAAGCTCTTGTTTTCCTTCATCTTAAAAACAATTTCATCGTATTAGATTATTTCTATTCATCTAAATCTGGGTTCCTTTATTCTTTCTCTAGCCATCTCAAATCTGCTGTTATAGCCTCTAGTTATTTTTTTTAATTCCATACATTGTCCTTTTTAAATCTCTAGAACGTCTACTTCTTTTTCAATATTTCCATTTTCCCATTGGGAGTACCTATTTGTGTATTTGTTCATGGCTAGCTTTCTGGGGTTTTTAGCTCTACTGCTTAGTGATTATGCAGTTATTTATGCAGAGGCTATGCTGAAACACCCCAAGCCAGAAAGATTCCCACTCTCTGTCACTCAGGCGTGGTTCAGATTAAAGAACACAGTCAAAAATCAGCGAATTCACAGTTCTTTCCAAGGATTCAGTTTTACTGTGCTTTCTATCATCTCCACACACATGCATCGTTTAGTAGTTGTGCGATGATCTGTTTAGTGTCTCATCCCTTTTATGGGGCTTCTCTATGTGACTGAGCCTTTCTTATTTCAAAAATATCATCCTTAAATGTTTAGCTGCTTTATTGGTTACCCCAAACCTCGTCTACCACCTCTAACTGGTAAAGTCACTGGCTTATACTGCCTACATTGGGGCAAGTCGGGAATATCCCTAGGCAAAACCCCCAAAGCTGACCTTTTTACTTGATGTGGTAAAGCAGATTTTCATAGCAAACATTTCTCTCATTGTTGCTGGCCTTTGGTCATTTTCCAATGCCCTCAAATGATTCTTTCTACTATTTTTGTCCTGTTTTCATATTTACACTCTATGGATTGGAATTGCCTGACTTCTTTATGCTACTCTTAAAAAAGGAGAACCCATTAAAAAAAATAGTCTTCAACTTTAGTGAAAATTTTTTCTAAGAAGCAGAAGTGGATTCCCTACTTTCCGCCCTTACCACTCACCATTCCCTAGTAGTTAAAACTAAAATTTTAATTATTATGACTAGCAAAAATGGTAAACTGGTTACACTGCAAATATGAAAATACATGCAAGATATCATTATTGATTATTCTGAATTTTATGTTTTAAATTTTACTTGCCTATTTAAAGGATCCTTTGCAGTGCTGACTGTTCTCTAAAGAGCTCCTTTTGAGTTCTTTGACCGCGTTAATTCACTCAAAGCCACAAAAATGACCACTTCTAAGGAGCTTTCCCTTCCTTCCATTGGGCATTTCCACAGCTCATGCCTGCTTTAAACATGTAGCAGCTCTGAATTACGTTTTTTAATTCTGAGGGTTGTTAGAGTTTTGTTTTGTTTTGATTTGGTTGCCTGAACTCAAACTGCAAACCAGTGAGCTGCCACCAATGTCTCATATCAGACACTTTCAGTATTTTAATATTTCCGATATTTCAAGATCCCCTGTCCTGTCAAAATTAGCTCCTTTGAGCAAAGAGCATGGGGTCTTGTTTATATTTCTAAATTGTAGCATAGTGCTAAAAAAGAGAGAAGATGTTAAATTAGAATCTTTTTGACTAAATGGATCTTTGCTTTCACCTGGTTGATCTATCAGCCTTTTTTTCTATTATTTTACTCATGTTGTTCATGTTCTACATTCATCAGCAGAACAAAGTTCCAAATAGAATGTTCTAGTTCTAGGAGAGGAGAATAAGAGATGTTGGAACATACGTCCTGATGCTTGGTTTGGAAACCATGCTCACTTAACTATTATTAAGTATTGAAAAAAAAGTTTAAAAAACTATAAGCTATTTCAGATTTTACAAGCTTAGGAACTCTGCAGTAGCATAACAGAAAAGATCTTCCATTTTTATGATATTTTATGTCTCATTCTACTTGTAACTAAACAAAAGGATTTCTTATCTAATTGCGATGAAGCAGTATTTTGCATTGTCTGAGCAGAACTCACATGGGAATCCTCACACATATTTTCAGAAAAAGAAATCTCACAATGGTTTGTATCATAATCTGCAGCATTCTTGACACAGTTCTGTTGAATCTTTAATCCTCCAACTTGTTTCTAACTTGTCAGTACGTATCTGTTTTGTACTGTTTTTCTTTGGAAAACAAAAAAGGCAGCTTTAGCAAGGCAGTACATTATTTTGGTAAAATTGCCTTCTGGTAATTAACTTTTTATTGTATTACAAAAGGTAGTTATTGATACACAAGCATATTTCTTTGTGTTTCTTCTTTCAATATTAAAGCAATCTAAGGAGTCTTGGTTGTACTCTTCATGCTAAATTTTCTGTGAACATGTTTCTATTAAGATCAATTGCAGTGCCTTTCTCTTAAAAGGATTCCAGATAAACAACAGTAAATCTGCAGGTAACTTTCCGATATTGCAAATCTGCATAGGAATAACAGTAAACAGTATACTGAAAACAGGTCTCTGAAACTCTGGATAGTAAAATCAATTCAGAGGACATGCAGTAATGAGCTGAGCTGCAAAGCTAGGATTAGTTAAGGATATTTTTGCCTGGGAAATATATCGGTCAATTTTCTAGATTTATTTTTATTGCAACACGGCTGAAAATTTTATTTCAAAATATCTACCAAAATACAACTGAACATGCCCCATATAAAAATATAGCAGAGACAAATCAATGCAAATACATATTATCTCAACCTAGTTAAGTGAGAAATTCTTCTTTTAGGTATAAGTAAAATAAAAACACTTACATTTATTACTCCTGCTTTACACAAGTTTTTTCCCATAGAAATCATATTCAATTACTGCTATTTTTTAAGTTTGACATTAATAAACTACTAAAAATGGGCATGTATAAAACAGGAAACATTATTTTGTTTCTTACACACTAAGGCCAATTAATTAAAGACATTTTATTCGCTCAGGCAATTTTGGCCACTGCTTTAGCTCCATGTCACTTTCTTAGGTTTTTGTTCATATTTTGCTGGAAAAAAAATTACCCACATTTAAAAACTGAAGTTAGCATCTTTTCCAACAAAAATTCATTCAGGTAGTGCCAAAGATAACATTGCAACTTTTAAGAAAAATGGAGAAATGTAATCTTTAACGGTAAAACAGATAATTCCTCAGACTAAGTGCCAAACTTCTTTCACTGTAGACCAAATTCAAATACATTCCAAAGAATAATAACTCCATAATGAATGCTTTATAAAACTATTCACACTATTAGGTAAGTTAAAATTAGCTCCCAAGGTTGGATTCTGAAGTTACTGCAGAGTTCTTTTTAATGTTAAAAAAGCCAGCTGGTCAAGTGGAGATGGCTGCAACTGCTACAATCAGTTTTATGATGTGGCTAGAAAATTTATTTTATTTGGTATTAGCAGCTCTCCACAATGCTTGGAGGCTGAAATGAGAAGACACTTCTTTATTATTAAATAATCTCACAATTCACAACTATTCCATAATGCAGGGTTATAGATGATCATACAAGTTTAGTAAATGAATAAAACTTTTGAAATTGTGAGATTTCACAGTGTTACGACACTCAGGGTCTTATCCCTGATTTACCATCTTTCCTATACAAAATTTCACTGTTTTAACTAGAGGCTGATGAGAAAACCCAGATATGTTGAAAACAAATTCCAACTGAGCAAAGGGAGTTCACACTGAATGATCAAATGTGTTTGTTTTTCTATCAAAATCTTCTTACACTTGTGATATGAATAGATATTATACGAGAATTTTCCATTAGCCAGACATTCTTTATTCTTTACCTCCCACTCACTAGAAGTAGAT
The DNA here is from genome assembly GCF_000001405.40 of Homo sapiens. Taxonomy (NCBI): domain Eukaryota; kingdom Metazoa; phylum Chordata; class Mammalia; order Primates; family Hominidae; genus Homo; species Homo sapiens. The sequence continues at coordinate 189,163,278 of NC_000004.12, read as the reverse complement.
AGATAGATAGATAGATAGATAGATAGATAGATAGATAGATGATAGAGAAATAGATAGATGATAGATTCTAAAATTTAACAAATATAATGTACCCAGGGATTCCAGCTGAAACATTTTTAGTTCCTTTGGAATTTGTATTATAAACAAAATCACCACAAACTGTAATCACTGGCCCTAAACCACAGGGAATCTTTATATATGCCTGAGTGACTGCTTTAATGTGTATTCAGTTTTGTTTTTTTTCCTTATGGTCTTACATCTGTGACTACATTATTCTCTCCAGCTAGTGTTTTACTTGTTCATAGCATCATTTCTAGAAATAGTGCTACAGGTGTTTTCAGTCCTTGAATAACATGTTTACAAAAAGAGAGTATTTTCTGGTATGATCACTTTTCTGGCCAGAGTCTAACAATAAACATTTGTTTTACTCTTGATCCACTGAACAGGAAGATGTCTGCCAAAAAATACCTTACACTGAAACCACCTTTGCAAAAATTACAACAGTGAGAAAATTATGACAGTGAAAGAGGTCTGCACTAATCCACCCCCCACCTTGCCTTTCCCTTAATTATTCCAGGGCTATTGGGCCAGGATGCCATTGGAAGTCATTTAAACATGATAATAGGCCTTGGTGGGAAACTCAACTGCTTTTTTAAGCTAATAAGAGGCACTAGGTGGAGGAGAGGAGCCTGAGGCCTGCTAAGGCACAGAGAGATGATTGCCAGCCATTATTCCACAGGTTATAAGTTATGCAAATTCCCCAGTTACTCCTGCAAATAACATCACTATTGGAGAACCAAAGACTGGAGTTTAGAGACATCTTTTCAGGTTTTTTGCATGCATCACACCCATCGTTCTATCTCGACCGGCCAACCTCACTCCTGCTGCCCCCCCCAGCCATGATTCAGCCCACAGGACAGTTTCCACCCCCTGTGATTTCATCTCTGTCCCAACCAAGCAGCAGTCGGCACCTATTACCTGGCCTTTCCCGCCCCTTCCCCTAAACTGCCTTTGAAAAAATCTGTGAGCTTTGAAAGAGATGATTTGAGTACAAACCCCATCTCCCAAGTGGCGGGGCCGGCCTTGTGTCTGTCACTCTCTTTCTTTACTACAATCCTGTGGTCATTCTTTATGCAGCAGGCAGGAAGAGCCCCTTGGGCAGTTACAAGACCAGAGCTTCAAAATGCAGGAAGCAATCCTGACAGAATTAAAGAAACAAATATAGAACTTAACAAAAGTAAATATTTGAAGTCTTCAATATCCCACTTTTAATAATGAATGGAGCAACAAAGGAGAAAAACAACACGAAAATGGAAGACTTGAAAGACACCGTGAATCAGTAACAGAAGGAGTTTGGAATACTTACAAATACGTGGAAATTAAACAGCACACTTTTAAATAACAAGTGAGTCAAAAGAATTCACAACAGAAATTATAAAATATTTTGAGGTGAATGAAACAAAAACATGTTATAACAAAACTTACAGAATGCTGCTACATCAGTGCTTAGAAGGGAATTTAAAACTCTAAACATCTGTATTAAAAAAGAAGAAAGACCGAAAATCAATAATCAAATATTCCGTTTGCAGAGAATATAAAATAAGAAAGAACTAACCCCAAAGCAAGTAGAAGGAAGGAAATAGTAAAGATGTAAGAAGAAATAAATAGAGAATAGAAAAATAATTTTAAAAATTAACAAAATCAAACCTGGTTCTTTGAAAAGATGAACAGAATTAACAGGTATTTAGTTAGACTGAAGAGAGTGGGGAGAGAAGGCTCACATTATTATCACATTATTAAATCAGAAAAGAGAGAAGGGGTTGTTGCTATCTTTTCAAAAATAAAAAGGTTTATAAATGATTATCATTGGTAATTGTATGCTAATGAATTAGAAAACATGGACAAAATGGCCAAATTTTTTAAAAGCTCCACAAACTTTCAAAACTGATAGTTTTCATGGAAAACCTGCATAGACCTATAACAAGTAAAGAGATTGAGTTAATTATCAAAAACTTCTCATGAAGAAAAGGCCTCCACCAGACAGGTGGTGAATTCTCCCAAAGTTTAAAGAAACATGAGTACCAATTCTTTATAAACTCTTCTAAAGAATAGAAAGGGAAAGAACACATTGTAACTTATTCCATGAGGTTAGTATTATCCTGATAACAAAGCCAGATAAAGATACCACAAGAAAACCACATATCAATGCCACTTGTGAGTATTGAAAAACCCTCAGTAGAATTCTAGCAACCAATAAGGCAACGTATAAAAAGATTTCTGTGACATGACCAAATGGAATTTATCCCTAGAATGCAAGAATGGTTCAAAATATGAAATTCAATTATTATAATATACAACATGAATAACACAAAGAAAAAAGATCATTTCAATAGATGCAGAGAAAGCATTTGACAAGATCCAATATATTTGCATTAGAAAAAAACTTAAACTAGGGATAGGAAGAAATTCCTTAAATTAATAAAAATACTATAAAAAATTCCTAACTAACATGATACTTAATGGTAAAATAGGAGTGCCTTCTTCCTAATATTAGGAACAAAGAAGGGTGGCCACTCTGACCATTCCTGTTTAGTGTTGTGCTGTCGATTTAGGAAGGAAACTTGGCAAGAAAAAGAAAAAAAAACACTCAGATGAAAACGAATATAAAAATCTATGTCTATTTGCAGATGACATTATCTTACATATAGAAAGTTCTAAGGTCACTCTCAAAACATTATTAGAGCTAATAAACAAATGTAAGGTTATAGAATAAATGATTAATATATAAAAGCTAATTATATTCTATACCGTAACAATGAACAATCCAAAAGTAAAATTAGAAAAGCAGTTCAAATTTCAATAGCATTAAAAAATAAGATATATAAGGATAATTTAATAAGAGAAGTTCAAGGCTTGCACATTGAACACTACAAAACATATTTTAAAGAACTTAAAGATGACCTAGATAGAAGAAAATATATCTGTGTTTAAGAATTAGAAAACTTAGCATTGTTAATATGGAAATTCTACCCAAGTGTATCTATAGATTCAAACAATTTCTACAAAAACTCTAGCTGGTTTTTTTTTTCAGACATGACACCTAGTCCTAAAATTTATGTAAATGCAAGAGGCCCAGAAGAGCCAATGCAATCTTGAGGAAGAAACATGTTGGAGCACTTATACTTCCCGATTTTAAAATTTAACACAAAGCTATAATAATCAAGACTGTGTGGTACTAGTATGGAGATAGACATAGCTCAATGGAATAGAATCGGGGGTCCAGGAATAAACCCACACATTAATGGTCAATTGATTTCCAACAAATGTCAAGAAATTCTAGTGCAGAAAGAATAGTCTTCTCTATAGGAGGTGCTGTAATGACTGAGTTTCCACTTGCAAAAAAAAAAAAAAAAAAAAATGCAGCTAGATCCCTACTTCACATCATATAGAAAAATCAACTTGAAACGGATTGAAGACGTGAATGTAAGTGCTAAAACCACACAATTCTTAAAATAACACATAGGTGTAAGTCTTCATTATCTTGGGTTAGGTATTGTTTTCTTAGATAATAAAAACACAAGAAAATGAAAAAAAGTAGATAAATTGAACTTCATCAAACTAAAACTTTTGGGTTTCAAAGAACACTATCAAATAAGTGAAAAGACAACTGAGACAGTGGGAGAAAATATTTGCAAATCATTTATCTGATAAGGGTCTGGTGTCCAGAATGTATAAAAAGAACACTTACAACTTAATAAAAAGACAGAATACAACTCAAAAATGGAAAGGATTTGAGTAGCCATTTCTTTAAAGAAAATATTAAAGTTGCCAACAACAGATGAAGAGACACCCAACATCATTAACCAGAGGGAAATGTACATCAAAGCCACATTGAGATACATTTGACTCCCACTGGGACAGCTGTAATGAAAAGATACTTTGACATGTTGGAGAAGTTGTAGAGGAATTGGAACACTTTTACATTCCTGGTACAATGCAAAGTGATGCAGCTCCTCACATGATTAAACTTAAGAGTTCTCAGATGGCCCAGAAGCTCCATGCCTCAGTATATATCCAAAAGAATTCAAAACATTTGGGCAATGGTTGGATATGGTTTGCTTGTTCCCCCCAAATCTCAATTCCCAATGTCACCTGTTGGGAGGGGGACCTGGTGGGAGGTGTTAGGGTCACGGGAGGAGATCTCTCATGACTAGCTTGGTGCCTTTAGTGGTGGTGAGTTCTTGCTCCCACAAGGCTGTATTGGTTCTCCGGCAAATGACTTTGTTTCTATGATGGTGGCTTCTTATAAAGCCAGGATGCCCCTGGGTTTGCTCCCCCTTCACCCATGCCCACTTCCCCTTTGACCTTCTCCATCATGCATTGCAGCTTCTGCAAAGCCCTCACCAGAAGTTGAGCACATGCTGGTGCCGTGCTTTCTGTAGAGCCTGCAGAGCTTGAGCTTAAAAAAAATAAAATCATCTTTCCTTCGTAAATAACCCAGCTTCACATACTCCTTTATAGCAACACAAATTGGACTCAGACAATGTGTTGACACAAAAACTTTTGCATGCATGTTTCAGCAGCCTTATTCATAATAGCTAAAAAACAGAAGCAACTGAAACGTTCAGCAGGTGAATGGATAAGTAAAATATGGTATATTCCTACAAAATGTAGTATATTCATACAAATATAGTATTCAGTCATAAAAAATGAGGCATTGATTCATACGACAACATGAATGAAACTTGACAACTAATCTATGTAGATGAAGCCCAAGACAAAAGGCCATGTATTGTATAATCATAATACTCACATGGAATATCAAGAAGAGGCAGATCCAGAGACTGAAAGACACAGGAAAGTTAGTGCTTTCCAGAGCCAGGAGAGGAGCAAATGGTGAGTGACTATTAACTGGTGTGGGTTTCTCTTTGAGATGGAATATTCTGGCACTAGATACTTGTGATGGTTCCACATGTTCATGAATACACAAAAAAAAGCACTGAATTTTTCACGTTAAGAAGTTGAATTTTATAGTATGTAAATTATATTTTCAAGCTTTTCTTGATGATTTGGTCATTTTTCATCTAAAATTGTGTCGAGTACATAATTTTTTTTCCTTGTGGGATAGTCTTCTTAGTGTAGCGTGATGGAAACTGTAGACCATTTTAGTTTTTAAACGTCTGTAATAGTAAAGTAAAAAACATAGCAAGATAGGAAGAAACAAGTTTTATCAATTTTATGCATTTATGTGAATTTAAGTGATGAAGGATTTAATGTAAAGGACAGAAAATTGGCAAGAAAGAGCTGTACATAATCATAATCATTGCGATGTTTGAATATTTTTTCTACACTCTTACCTTTAATTTTGATGATGCTAACTTTTAAAATTTTTATTTCAGAATATTTCCCCAAACTCTGGTGATATAAAATTATCCAAGGTTCTGATTACTAATTTTTAAATATTCTTGCATTTTAAAAAAGGTATTTGGATTTATTTCTAATCAAATAATAATATACTCGACAAGAAACTAGATCATTTAAATGCAAAGCTTCAGGCAGTTTGATTAATCACATAGTCCCATGAAGCAAGCAGGGCATGTAAAAGGGAAAAGCCACTAGGAAGGCATAATAATCCTAAATGTGTGTGCACCTGATAAAAGACCTTCAAAATATATAAAGCAAAGCCTATTAGAAATAAAACAAAATAGTCACATTCATAATTGTAGTAGAGAACTTCAAGTTTTCTGTATCAATTGACAGAACAAGTAGAAAGTTAGTTAGGGTATTGACAATCTGAAAAAAACTACCCACAGATTGAGCATTTATAGAAAATGCGTTTATAGAACACTCAACACAAGAGCAGAATAATATACATTCTTTTAAAGTGTGTATGGATTATTCACCAAGGTAGACCATATTCTGGCATAAAACAAACCATAATAATTTTTTCTAAAATTAAAATAAACTATGTTCTCTGGACATAATAGAATTAAGCTAGAAGTCAGTGGTTGACATACAGGTGGAATATCTGAAAATATTTAAAAATTAAGCCACTCTTTTATGAATAACACGTGGGTGAAAGAGGAAGTCAAAAAGACATGAGGAAATATTATGTGTTGAATAAAAATAAAACAAAATGTTTCACAATGTATGAGGTGCTGATAAAACAGTGCTTAGAGGGAAATTTGTAGTGTCAAAACTTCTATAAGGAAATTCAGATATTATTGATTAGATTCCACCTTAAAACTGGTAAGAGGAAGTAAATTGAACCCAAAACAAATAGAAAAAAAGAAATAGTAAATATGAGAGAAGAAATTAATGAAATTGAAAAAATATAGAAAAATATCAGTGAAACCCAAAATGCTTTGTTTGAAAAGATCAATATAATTAATCAATGAGTCAGATCAACCAAGAAACAAAAAGAGAAAAGATAGAAACTATCAATATCAGGAATAAAATATGGGACAATTCTACACACCTTGAGGTCACTTAAAGAATGAAAAATAAATATTAGGAACTATTTTATGCCTTATGTTTTATAACTTAGATGAAATGGACAAATTCCTTGAAAGCTACAAAGTACTAAAGCTCATGAGGAAGGAATACATAACTCAAATAGTCTATGTATATTAAAGAAATTGATCTGTAGTTAAATAACTTCCAAAAAAGAAAACTCTATCCACAAGCGACTAAATTGTTGAATTCTAAAAAAGAAAAAAATACTTAAGGAAAAAATATTATAAATTCTACACAAACTCTTTCTGATAGTAGAAGTAGAGGGGGATACTTCCCAACTCACTTTGTGAGATCATAATTATCCTGCTACTAAAACCAGAGAAGGACATTTAAGGAAAAGCCAACTATAAGACCTTATATTATCCGTCTTGAACATGGGCACGACACCTCTCAACACAATTTTTGTAAGTAGAAAAGAGTGATACATAATATGGATAATAGATCATCACAAAGTGTGTCTTATCCTGGCCAAGCAAGGTTCATTTAACAGTTAAAACTAAAACAATGTAGTTTGCTATATGAATACGCTAAAGAAGTAACACACACGATCATCTCAATAGATGCCAAAAATTATCAAAATTTAACCCCCATTCATTACAAAAACTATCAACAAGCTAAGAATATAAGGAAACTTCAACCTCTCAAAGTGCATCTGCGAAGGGTTCACAGTAAAGTATGTTTCTCCTTTTAGCAGTTAAAAAAAAACAGTGTTTCCAGTTTTCAACAATTATGAATAAAGTTGCTATACACAGTCACACACGAATGTTCGAATGTACATAAATGCTAACGTCTCATGGCTAGGTATCTAAGAAAGGACTGCCTGGCACACACGACAAATGCATGTTTAAGTTTGTCAGAAGCTGTCAGAGTGTTTTCTAGTGTGCCCTCCCCCAGCCGGCAACGTTGCCTCACCTGGTGGGTGCGCCTCCCCTCCCTGCAGCCTTGCCTCACCTGGTGGGTGCGCCTCCCCTCCCTGCAGCCTTGCCTCACCTGGTGGGTGCGCCTCCCCTCCCTGCAGCCTTGCCTCACCTGGTGGGTGCGCCTCCCCTCCCTGCAGCCTTGCCTCACCTGGTGGGTGCGCCTCCCCTCCCTGCAGCCTTGCCTCACCTGGTGGGTGCACCTCCCCTCCCTGCAGCCTTGCCTCACCTGGTGGGTGCGCCTCCCCTCCCTGCAGCCTTGCCTCACGTGGTGGGTGCGCCTCCCCTCCCTGCAGCCTTGCCTCACCTGGTGGGTGCACCTCCCCTCCCTGCAGCCTTGCCTCACCTGGTGGGTGCACCTCCCCTCCCTGCAGCCTTGCCTCACCTGGTGGGTGCGCCTCCCCTCCCTGCAGCCTTGCCTCACGTGGTGGGTGCGCCTCCCCTCCCTGCAGCCTTGCCTCACGTGGTGGGTGCGCCTCCCCTCCCTGCAGCCTTGCCTCACCTGGTGGGTGCGCCTCCCCATCCCTGCAGCCTTGCCTCACGTGGTGGGTGCGCCTCCCCTCCCTGTAGCCTTGCCTGCACCTGGCAGGGGACGCTCGCAGCCCTCCCATGCTCTGCTGTCCTTCAGTGCCTCAACGAATGACCTTTAGATCTGCGCCTCGGGGATTTTTAACTCCCCAGGAGGGGCCTTTCTACCCTGTGGCTCTGTGAGGTCTGGATATTCTTAGGGGTCTGTGGAATTCTGTGGGTCTCTTTCTATGTGGCTGCTTGTAGGGTTGATCTCAATTATGGGCGAGGCTGTATTCCTGTCCCTTTGGAGAGCTCTGTGCTGTTTTCTCCTCTTTAATCATCTAATATATTTTCCCATATGATGACTTTCAACAGTGTTTTTTGGGTGTAATTTAATAATGTATAATGAGGAGACTTAGAAAAAACTGTTTCGACAGGCTAGTGATGGACAGTTCTAGTAACAGCCACAGCCTCGTCTTCCTTCCTTATCACTTGAAATGACCACTTACACTTCTGCCAGATATCACCTGTGAAAGGCAGGGGTCTCCTTCCTCTGGATGTGTTTACTGATTTCCTGGAGGTCACCAGGTCGTTGTTCACTAAGAACAAGAAAGAGCTTCTGCCGTGGTTTCCACTCTCTTCGCAAGACGGAGGATCTTTCTCCAGGGGCCTCCACGGACTCCCAGGGTGTAGAATATTCAGATCCTCAGATCCCTGTTTATGGTAGAATCAGAAGACCCTGCAGAACATTCGCAGATAAAACAAACGGTGGCATAGAGCACGGCCCTTTTCCTTCATGGAGAAGCGTGCACCACCCGCTCTCAGAAACCTTAGAGAACTCAGTGTAAGTATTGTAAAAATTACTTCATAACACATTTGACTTTTGAGGGGAAATTACACTGTAGCCAGCTCTTTTGCATCTGTTTTTTTTTTTCTGAAGATAAAATTATTCTCTCACTATTAAATTACAAATCTTAAGGGGTATAATACTGCTAACCACATTTGTCTACTAGATATTTCTAATATTGCTAGAGACTGTTGAATTTAAAACCTCTAATTATATAGGTGTTAAAACCTAAATATTCAGTAGCCGAAAACTAATGGAATTTTTTCAGGATTGTTCAATACTACCTGAGTCTTTTGAATTATAAACTACTCACATATGTATAAAATAAATATGTTCAGTAGAAAAAATCCTGATGTGACATATGTTTCTGGATCAAAACATGTCATCTTAAAAATTTGGCTGTGACCTTTTTTTTTTTTAAATTTAATGGAGTAACAAAGACTTGCGAAATGGACAGAGAGGATGAAGGGATATTAACAGTAGCCTGTTTAACCCTCCATTAATTTTGCCTTTCACTTCTCCTACACAGCATAAGTCTGGGCTTAAATTTGAATAAAAACCCACGGGTAAGAGCAAAAGACTAGAAGAGGAGTTATTTTAACAAGCTTTTGATGTAGAATCAGTTGCCTTTAAAATTTTTAAATGTAATCATACTTCAGAAGGTGATCATGCTGTGGTGAAATGAAAATAGAACAAACGTGAGTCGGTTGCAGTGTTACAGAGCGGGGTTGGAAAGCTTTTCTGTGATTAGCTGGGAGTCAATATTTTTATTTTAGGCTATGTAGGCTGTATGGACTTGATAGCCCCTGCACAGCTTTGTCATGTGGTGTGAAAGTAGCCACAGACGAAATGAGTGGTGTGGCTGTGTGGCAATATGTTTATTTACTAAAGCAGGTGGTGGGCCAGGTTTGGTCCTTGGGCCATCGTGTGCTGACCCCTGGAATAAAATAACTAGAGTAGGCTTCACTGAAAAACTTGAAGAGGAGTTGACTGCTTATGAAAACATTTATTTTTGTATTTATGTAAATAAGAAAAGTTTATCATGCTTTAGCCATGTTTTTAGGGTTTGTTTGCTTGTTAATTTAGTTTTGTTTTGCTATAAAATCTAGTATTTCTTGAACCAATGCCACTCCCATAGCTTCAGATCATCATCTATATGCAGATAACTCCCTAATGTGTATCTCTAGCTCTGTCCTTTCTCCCTAACTCTAGACTGCTGTGTCGAGCTGCCTACCACCCGACAGGCCTAGTTGGATTATTACCCACATCTCAATCTTCACTGAATGTTTGACTTCAATCTTAAAACCTATTCCCACCCCAACCCCTGTCAGACTTTCCCATCTGAGTTGATAGTAACTCCACCCTTCCAACCTCTGAGACCCAAAGATTGCAGTTCCCTTTGACCTTTCCTTTCTCATACTAACATTGAGGTCGTGAGGGCATCCTGTTTGCTCCACCTTTATAGTATCTGCAGAAGCCAGCCACGTCTTACTCCCTCCATTGCCGCCATCCTGATCCAAGCCTGCTGACCTGGGTTGATGATCTTCTTACCTCTGCTCTTGGGTCCCTGTAGTCTTGTAGCAGACAGTGTTATCCCTTTAAGACAAACCTCTGCTCAGAATTCCATCATGGCTCCCAAGCTCACTAAAGCAAAATTCGAAGCCTTCGCCATGGCCCATGCAACGCTACATGATTTGGCTCCCTGTGACCTCTCTGATTGCGTCTCCCAACATTTTCCTCTTGCTCACTCTTCTCTAGCCATGATGGCCCCCTTGATATTTCTTAGACACTGCAGGCCCCTTACCAACTTAAAGTTTTTTGCACAAGCTCTTCTCTCTGCCTGAGATGCTCTTCCCAAATAGTTGAATGGCTGATACCTTCATCTCTTTCCAGTCTCTAATCAAATATCACCTGCTGAAATCCCCCTATTTAAAATTCTAACACCACCCCTCAGAATCTCCTATGCCCTACTCCAAATTTGTCTTTGCTCATAACATTTCCATCTTTCAAAATACTGCAGTATTTACTCACTGTTAGATTTCCTTCTTTCTCCCACATTAGAAGTTAAATCCCTCAAAAGCAGAGAGGGACATTTTTCTCTTTTGTGCTTATGAGGGTAACTGGCACAAAATAGTGCTCCAAAATTACTTGTTGAATGAAGATAAACGGCTTGAAGATGATATACAAAGGTGGTCAGTCCATCAGTTCTCTCTGAGACTGGACTGGAAATAGAAGAGTCCGGAATGAGAAACAGTGGGAAGGTTGTTTCTACCTCGGGGCTTACCCTTTATAATCAATACCTTCTAATGCAGTATTGTTGACAGGAACAGGTTTCATGTATATGTACTGACGTTTATTTGTAAATGAGTTCTTCAAAGCATTGGAATGTTTTGTGGTTTGAAAAATTAAGTGCCTTCGATTAAATTTAAAACGTTCTCATTTCTGGGTTTGTCAATAATAGAGGAACACAATGTTTTATATTATCTCAAATTTTTATTTTTAAACATTAACACAATAGATATCAAAAGTACGTTTGCAACTCTGTAATGCCAATATTTCTTTTCAGAAATGTAAACTGCCAGTAGCTATGTAGAAACATTCACATTTAGGCTAAGTGAATTACCCCATGCTGTATACAATCTCCTGTTAATTATTAGTTTCTGTTTTATATTCATATAAAAAGAGCTCAACCAACATAATGTTTTGTTATTAATTGTAATAAAATGTAAACATATAAAAATTTAAAAGGATATTCTTAGTCCAATAAGAGCATTCATTAAGAAGTTTGTTAATTTGTAAAATGTCCACATTATAAATATATTAAAAGTCTCAGACAGGGAACCTTTGTGACAGTATCATAGGTAAATGACAACAGTCATGCTTCATTTTCATAAGTGCTAATAAACTATTTTTCAAATATGAAAGCCCTATAATAAAGTGTTACATATTTCAACAACCAAATTACAGTGTATAAGTTTCTAAGTCATATAGCTTTTTCAATAGAGTAGAAAAAACCTATATCAAATACATCTTATATGTTAGGAATGCAAAATGCTTGTTCCCCAGTGCCACAAAGAAATAGCACTTGAACATAAATTTAATTCTCTCAGCAAGGCAATTTTTACTTTCTGCAGAAAGGGTACAGTCACCAGCAGTCTTGCTGTGAGAGCACAGCAAACATAGGAAAAGCAGGCATAGTTATCCTGGATGCATTTGGGTCCTCCCTACTGCTGTGTTCTGCATCCATTGGCTGGAGCCGAACCTCACAGTGTAAAGTGATACCCGATTTGCCAACAATCTAAAACTTCCTTAAATAGGCAAAGGCAAGGGGGAACAAAGGAAAGAAGGAAGTTGGTTATGAAAGATTTAAAGAAGCAATAACATTTCCACATAAGGAAGGGGCATAGGCTGTGAGCTGGAACATGCCTGTGAGCATGTCCAACAGCTACATAGGATAGGGCTTAACAAAGAGTTATTAGCACAAAGCAAGGAAGCTTGAAGAAAGTTAGTTTTTAAAAGAAACTATTATTTCAAACACTTATGATTTATTCTTTAACAAGAAGGGAAACTTTGAAGAGGGAACTTTTTACTTTCTACATATATATATTTACATGACATTAATATATTGACACAAATATTTTCCTTAAAAAATGCATCCTATTGCTAACGGTAGTAAAAATGAGCAGAAAATGGTATTTAATAATTGTGTAACAAAAAGTAATTTGAAGAATACTTCCACTAATGAGCAATGCATGATGAATTTACAGATCACTGATTTCAAAGAGTTACAGTGAAAGCAGGTGCTTCACATGCATGAGGACGTGCTGCAAAGATGATTGGACAGGACATCAGGGATTCCAGAAATTACCTGTGGTAATGCTGCTAACTAGCTCCCTTGATAAATGACTTAATCCTGTGATCTTTAATTCTTTAGGGGTGAAATCACTGTGGTCATTCTCAAACCTAAAATGTTATCCCAATCAGCACTATTCAATATAAATGTAATGCAAGTAACACATGTAATTTAAGTTTTTATCCTAGCCATACTGGAAAAGTTAGAGAAATGAATAAAATTAATTTTAATAATATATTTTACTGTATATATTCAAAATATTATGTTAACAGGTAAGCGAGAGAATGATGAAGATATATTGCATTTTATAATACTAACTCTGAAATCTGGTGTGTAGTTTACATTTACAACACACCTTAATTTGACCTAGCCACATTTCAAGTCCTGAGCAACATGTGGCCACTGATGATGATATTAGGCTGCATAGACATAAACATGAAAATAGTCTTGTTATTTCTTGTAAAATAGACACAGAGAGAGAGAGAGAGAGAGTGGGTGAGTGTAATAAAATGTTGAGAATTCTCAGATCAATAACTTTGACATTTTTCCATGATGATACTGTGGATATTTTTTATGTGAACAAAGAATGACACAGACGTGCACACACACACCCCTCCAATGTTGCACAGAAACAAATCATATCCAAACTCCACAGTTAATTGATAATTCCAATGCAATGCAAGCTTTTCTATCTTAGTTATAAATGGATTTTAAAAATTAACCATGATATATTGAATATAGATTTTAAACTGTGTTCTTGTCATCCTTTGCTATTAAACTATATTTATTCAGTAATTACAACAAAATTTGATTTGGTCATACCTGATACTCTACCTTTTATTCTCATTTACTTTGAAATAGAAATTGCATACATACAGTGTGGAGCTTGTTAAGTTTAAGCAAAAATTATCAGATAGTTTAGTTTATTAACAACAAATGTCTGTTCAGCATTTTCTGTGTCATGTAGAACAGAAATGATTAAAACAACAAGCTTACGATGTTGTAGGGAAAGATGATTTAGGGTAGAAATCATTAAATGCAACTCAAAGAAAACACAATTTTTTGTTTCTTTTTCGGGATGAAGTCTCACTTTGTCGCCCAGGCTGGAGTGCAGTGGCGCCATCTAGGCTCACTACAGCCTCCGCCTTCTGAGCTCAAGTGATTCTCCCATCTCAGCCTCCCGAGTAGCTGGGTTTACAGGTGTGCACCACCATACCCTGCTAATTTTTGTATTTTTAGTAGAGACAGGGTTTCACCATGTTGACCAGGCTGATCTTGAACTCCTGACTCAGGTGATCCACCCACCTCAGCCTCCTAAAGTGCTGGGATTACAAGTGTGAGCCACCACGCCTGGCCCAAAATTCTTTTTTAAAATGAATTTAACTGGCTAAGGAATGAGACCTCAAAAAAACCAAACAAACAAAGAAAAACCATCTGATGACTCGCCATGCCTGGGTGTAAAGAATGAGACCTCAAAAACAAACAAGCAAACAAACAAAAACAAAAACCATCTGATTACTCTCCATGCCTGGGTGTAAGGAATGAGACTTCAAAAACAAACAAACAAACAAACAAAGAACAACCATCTGATCACTCTCCGTGCCTGGGTGTGGCTCCCCCTTCTTCCAGGTATTGGCTTTATTCTCATGCTCCATGGCGGTGCAAGACAGGTTGGCAGCTCCATCCGCCATCCTCCCAAATTCGATTGCAGAGAGAAAGAGTCCTCCACATTTTCCTGGTATCGCATCAGGACCTCATCACAGGCTCTGCCTGGGGCATGTGGCCATCTCTGACTCAAGCATTGTGGCCGGGAATTACTTGGTCTGTCTTCTAGCATGCCATTTTCAGTTTAGAATAGACAGGGAAATTTATAGACAGTATCTCCCTTTACGCCATGAGCATAAGAATCCAGAGTGGTTCATTTCTTCACCTCTGTGTCTCCTTTAAGCAGAATCTACCAGTGTGGATCCATGTGCATATGTTATATTGTTTGATTCTCTATTAATCCAAATCCATTTTATTCTATACTCCACACATTTCACAACATTTCAGATTCCCCGATGCTACCCTTAATTACTCTTTTAAACTTTTATTGATTTTAAAAAATATTGTTCATGTACATCATTTCCTGAGAGTGTTCAATGGGAAGGGAAGTATATGTAGGTTCTGAATATATCATCTTGAATCAGAAATTAAAACAAATAAATTTGTACAACTGGAGGGCAGGACTAAAGGAGAGGTATGACAGTGGCCAAAAAAATGACTGTGATCAATGTTCAAGAGTTACAGAAATAAAGAAACCACATCCATAAACCAATGAACACACACATATCATTTTGTTTTAATGGAAAATGAAGTTCAAACAACAGACAATATATTCCAGAGGCTTCTGCCTGTTGTTCTAAGAAGCATACCTCAGATGATTTATTTTCTAGTGTTAGACACTGAAATTTCAGAATCATAGAAATTATCCTGATAAGGTTTAAAATGTGATTCTAACCTATGATACTGCCACACCAGCAGATTTGTGGACCTCTTCCCATTTTGTTAACGCATTATATATCTATTCAGAACTTTTTTTTTTTTTGAGATGGAGTCTCGCTCTGTCACCAGACTGGAGTGCTGTGGTGCAATCTCAGCTCACTGCAACCTCAGCGTCCTGAGTTCAAGTGATGCTCCTGCCTCAGTCTCCCGAGTAGCTGGGACTACAGGTGAGTGCCACCACGCCCAGCTAATTTTTGTACTTTTAGTAGAGATGGGGTTTCACCATATTGGCCAGGATGGTCTCGATCTGTTGACTTCGTGATCCACCCGCCTTAGCCTCCCAAAGTGCTGGGATTACAGGGGTGAGCCACCGCGCCTGGCCTATCCAGAACATTTTGGATAGTGAGACCACAGCGTGCTGGCTGCTTCCCAGGCTTGGATTCACAGTCCTGGACGTGAACCTCGGTGTAGCTACTTACAGCGATCTGAGCTCGGGAAATCTATTTAAACTTTCTGAACTTCAGTTTCTTTCTCTATGAACTAGGGATACTAATATTTACTTCACACTGTTGGTTTTGGACTTAGAATTAATGTTTGTGAAACAGCCCGTGTGCTTGCTGACTAGAGTCTGCACATGGGGCCGCCAAGCCGAGGCCCACACTTGACATGGCTTTGCAGCCTGTTGGTCCAGCGCCCCACAGCTGGGGAAAAGCAGAAAGCTGCAGCGAAGATCCAGGAAAATGCTAAGGCAATAACAAAAATAACATCACATAAAATAACTGTAATGCATTCTCGAGGGTTTTTCCTCTGATTTTGACATTTTTTGAGAAGAATAACAAAACTAACAGCTTCATACCGCATCTTACCAATGATGAGAGCATTTTGGATGGAATAGACGTGCAATGCTCATTTGATATCGTCTGAGTGACGTTTTGGAACGTGTCACAGCCACGAGCCATGTGCAAACCTTTCTGTTATGCAACTGGGAAGACTGACAGCAATGAAAATAAACAAAAAGTTAATCCTTAAATAAAGCGTTTAACCAGAGACATTAGCACATAAGGGAGGAAACTGGAAGATATTTCACCTATTTTTTTAGGCTTCAGCACACTCATTTTTAAATGAGAATTGAAATCAGAATATTCCAGGATTATTTAAGTAACTAGCTCATTCAGTTAAGGCCAAACCGTTTTTCGTTTAGCTCTTATTGGTACGTGAAATCTATGAAGTAGGATGTGCTGCTTAAAGGCAGAGGCGTGGGTAGAATATATCACATCTGTCAACTGACATTTCTTACTTAGACTAGCAAGGTATTGTACGAATTTTCAAAACATTTTCCTTAAAATAATTTTAATCACAATGAGGATAAATCCTGTTTTCCTCCTTTCTCCTTGCCTGCTTTCAGAAATCATAATTACTATAAGCCAGTGTTTTTCAGCCTCCAAAGTGTTACCAATTACTACAGTATAGACTTTCTTTCCAAACTGCGGCAGTGACTGATTCAAAATATCTCAGGATTACTGTGCCGTAAGAAATTATTTAATGTTATCCTTCGTAAATGTAATTAATTAATTAGACCTTATTTGTTGAGAATTCTACTTGATACCCAATTCAGTAGTAATTAGGGGGAAGTAGATGGAAATCTTATACATGTAAAGACATTACATTTCATTTATCCTCTACTTCCAAAATAGATATATATATATGAATGCAGTTAAGATATGACAACAAAACCATAGCAGTATAAAACCAATTAATATGATAAGTGAAAGAGATATACCTCATAATCTGTTGTTCATATTCCTTATCTCTGGTGAATTTTGGACAATTTCTTCAAATATATTTTACAATTCATTAATTCTCTTTTTGTTGTTTGGAATTTAATATTTAATGAGCCCCATGCTTTTGATTTCTTTATCCAAGTTTTTTATATTTTCTACATTGTTTTTCAGTTAGCTATTTTTAAAAATTTTAAACCAAGAGAAAAATGGAAAGAATAATAATCTGAAAGGTATATAAATATAAAACCTTCATGAGGGTTCACCAGTTGGTAATATTTTTTACATTTTTGCTCTTCCTCTCCCTACACACAAACACACACACACGTGCAGGTGTATAAACTTTGTTTTGCTGATCCTTGTTAAAGTTGCAGACAGAGATGCTTTACCCTTACATCAGCATGTATCTCTGAAGAGCCTGCACAATATCCATCATTACCACATTAACGTCCTACACTCCAGAAATTAACATTGCTATAATAATATTGTCCACATGTAAGTTGACCCAATTGACCTCAAATTATCTTTTACACGTTTTTCTCCTCATCCGGGTCCACTCAGGGATCCTGCATGTTAATTGCTTTCTCACAGCCTGTGACAATACTGACAATAAATACTTACAGTAAGACGGCATGAGAACATTTCAGCAGAGGGCATTTCTTTCTTCCCAAAAGAGCAGAGGCTGTGATCCTCAAATTTCCCCGTTATTTCCCTTTTCAGGCAAGCATATCATTTTTTCTAGTGTCTCATTTCATTTCACTGAGGGGATCCTCCAGGCACCTATCTATGCCTTGGCAGGTGGGTCTTACAACCAGTTAACAGAAAGGAAGACACTTGAGCTTCGCTTATACATGGGGCCAACAGAGGCATGTTATCCAAAGCATAGACAGCTGCGTGCTACAGCTCTGTCCGGAGCAGCGCGGAAGGCAGTGGTGAGTGGAACCATCCCGGGGAGCCGGGCCTCACAGAGCACCTGGCACGGACGTGGTGCAGCAGGAGAGGCTGGAGTGAGCAGGTGGAGAGCTGGTTAGAGGCGAGTGGGTTGGTCAGGAAGGAGCCATCCAGAAAGATTGGGGTCAGGGGGTCCAAGGTAGAGGCGTGCAAATGGACTTAGAGGACAGAACAAAAATCATGGGCATCTTTTTTTTTTTCCCCACAAAAATCCCGTTCAGAAAGGGCATTGTTAAGTGTCGTGAAATTGCCCATCAGAAAGCATCCACCCTACAGGGAGATGGGAGAGAGAGCGTGGCCTGCATGGTGTAGGAGCGCCTGATGCTTTCCATAACCGTCCTGTTTGGTAGAAAGGACGCCAACAGAGACGCTGCGGCAGGAGGGATGGAGACTAAGCCTGCAGGTGACTCCCTCAGAGTCCTCCAGCCCTCCGAGGGTGACAGCTCATCCTCCAGCACTGACTGTCCTCACTGCCTGCTGGTCAGCACCACCCTCCGAGGGCTTACAGACAGGCTGTTTGAACTGGAGTCCTACCTAAATCTCCTCAAAGAAGGAACCTCCTTTATAATTAAGCAGGTGTGGCATGACCACGGTCTGCTGGTCTTTCCATTGACCACACCACCCTGAGCAGCCAGTGTAATAGAACGCTCACCTGGCCTATGGGACACTCATCTACAGTGACCACTCACAGACAACACCCTGTGGGGCTGGGGTGCTGCCTTAGAAATGAGGTACATGCAGCGAATCAACACCCATTATCTGAAGCAGTGTCCCTATGGAAATACTCGGGTCTGGAAAGCAAGCCATGCATGAAGGTTTGGCCCCATTCACCATCATTGCAATGACCCACTTGTGGAATGTGTGTTTTCTTCCAGCAAACGTAGGTGCTGCTGGAATAAGGGGTCTGGTTTCCAGAGCATGCACCTTGAATCAGGGGACAGAATAAATGTCACTGATCCTGAAGCTGAACCACCACCCTGTCATCTCAGTCTTCCTGTTGTAGTGGGCCAGTGGGAGAAGAAATGAGTTACCATATTGGAGGCATTAATTAAACTCTGATTACCCTGAAAACCAAGTGATGCTACTATGCAAGGAGAGTCACAAGAATAGGTCAAAAATCAGGGGATTCACTGGACTATTTCTTGGTACTTAGTGGACTATTTCCACTAATAACCATACATGGGCAACTGACGCCACTTTGGCTCGGCAAAGGTTAAAGCAAATAAGAGCTTTGCTACTTTGTGGATGATGGTCAGTGTCACCTATCAGGCAAGTAACCTAGACCCACTGCTGAGTGTGGAGCAGCATCAGAAGGCACGTTAGAGGAGGGAGAGAGTGAATATCAGTCACGATTTTGAGACCAACTGCAGCGGCAGAGACTATCTTACTACAAGCCTCTGATTTTGAATAATTTGTGGAGTTCAGGGCTATTTATGGGAGATTGTAATTAACCCAGGATATTAGCATATCTAAGTGGCGCAAGAGAGGAATTGTGCTTAGACATCTTCTATGCTGTGTCTCACATACACTTGGTCTAAAGTTTTGCTCCAGGTCTGTTGCAGCAAGCACATGCACACGTTAGCCTGACAGCACCTTGTCTCAACTGCAATAGGAAGCTGTTCCTTGCTAATGCCACTGTATGGACTCCTGTAGGACTTCTCAGACCTTCTGATGCATGCACAGACCTCAGAGGAGGGGGAATAAAACACTTTCTGGAAATCCTTGTCTAATGGGGAACTAGTGGTTAAACAAAGCCATTCTTCTATGTCTCAGACAGACAATAATGAAACACATTTTATATGGTCTCTTTGGAGTTCTCCCAGAGGGAAGGACTCTAGTTGCCCCAGGTAACTAGAATTACTCAGCTTAGCAGTCATCCTCGCGTTGCCTTTTCTCCTTGTCCATTTCACTCTTCCTATTTCACCATCACTTGCCCCTGTGGTTTATTTCCCACAATAAACTACACACCAGCAAACCCTTGTCTCAGGTTCTGCCTCAGGGTAAGATGGAATGAATCCAAGCTGAGATATCTTTGAACAGGGTGGCAACGTAATGCATGTGATTCATCTAGTAAACAAGGACTTTCCCAGGCGAACCAGGATGTGTGTTCACTATGCCTAGGCAGGCTAAATATCAGGTGTAAAAAAAATCATTAAAATTTATAAACTCAATATTATGGGCATAAAAGTGAAGAAAATCATAGATTCAATGAATGAAAGTTCAATGTAATAAAACATTAAAAAACAGTGTGTTAGTCTGTTCTCATGCTGCTAATAAAGACATACCTAAGACTGGGTAATTTATTTTTTTTTTTTTAATTTTTTTTTTTTTATTATACTCTAAGTTTTAGGGTACATGTGCACATTGTGCAGGTTAGTTACATATGTATACATGTGCCATGCTGGTGCGCTGCACCCACTAACGTGTCATCTAGCATTAGGTATATCTCCCAATGCTATCCCTCCCCCCTCCCCCGACCCCACCACAGTCCCCAGAGTGTGATATTCCCCTTCCTGTGTCCATGTGATCTCATTGTTCAATTCCCACCTATGAGTGAGAATATGCGGTGTTTGGTTTTTTGTTCTTGCGATAGTTTACTGAGAATGATGGTTTCCAATTTCATCCATGTCCCTACAAAGGACATGAACTCATCATTTTTTATGGCTGCATAGTATTCCATGGTGTATATGTGCCACATTTTCTTAATCCAGTCTATCATTGTTGGACATTTGGGTTGGTTCCAAGTCTTTGCTATTGTGAATAGTGCCGCAATAAACATACATGTGCATGTGTCTTTATAGCAGCATGATTTATAGTCATTTGGGTATATACCCAGTAATGGGATGGCTGGGTCAAATGGTATTTCTAGTTCTGGATCCCTGAGGAATCGCCACACTGACTTCCACAATGGTTGAACTAGTTTACAGTCCCACCAACAGTGTAAAAGTGTTCCTATTTCTCCACATCCTCTCCAGCACCTGTTGTTTCCTGACTTTTTAATGATTGCCATTCTAACTGGTGTGAGATGATATCTCATAGTGGTTTTGATTTACATTTCTCTGATGGCCAGTGATGATGAGCATTTCTTCATGTGTTTTTTGGCTGCATAAATGTCTTCTTTTGAGAAGTGTCTGTTCATGTCCTTCGCCCACTTTTTGATGGGGTTGTTTGTTTTTTTCTTGTAAATTTGTTTGAGTTCATTGTAGATTCTGGATATTAGCCCTTTGTCAGATGAGTAGGTTGCGAAAATTTTCTCCCATGTTGTAGGTTGCCTGTTCACTCTGATGGTAGTTTCTTTTGCTGTGCAGAAGCTCTTGAGTTTAATTAGATCCCATTTGTCAATTTTGGCTTTTGTTGCCATTGCTTTTGGTGTTTTGGACATGAAGTCCTTGCCCACGCCTATGTCCTCAATGGTAATGCCTAGGTTTTCTTCTAGGGTTTTTATGGTTTTAGGTCTAACGTTTAAATCTTTAATCCATCTTGAATTGATTTTTGTATAAGGTGTAAGGAAGGGATCCAGTTTCATCTTTCTACATATGGCTAGCCAGTTTTCCCAGCACCATTTATTAAATAGGGAATCCTTTCCCCATTGCTTGTTTTTCTCAGGTTTGTCAAAGATCAGATAGTTGTAGATATGCGGCATTATTTCTGAGGGCTCTGTTCTGTTCCATTGATCTATATCTCTGTTTTGGTACCAGTACCATGCTGTTTTGGTTACTGTAGCCTTGTAGTATAGTTTGAAGTCAGGTAGTGTGATGCCTCCAGCTTTGTTCTTTTGGCTTAGGATTGACTTGGCGATGCGGGCTCTTTTTTGGTTCCATATGAACTTTAAAGTAGTTTTTTCCAATTCTGTGAAGAAAGTCATTGGTAGCTTGATGGGGATGGCATTGAATCTGTAAATTACCTTGGGCAGTATGGCCATTTTCACGATATTGATTCTTCCTACCCATGAGCATGGAATGTTCTTCCATTTGTTTGTGTCCTCTTTTATTTCCTTGAGCAGTGGTTTGTAGTTCTCCTTGAAGAGGTCCTTCACATCCCTTGTAAGCTGGATTCCTAGGTATTTTATTCTCTTTGAAGCGATTGTGAATGGGAGTTCACTCATGATTTGGCTCTCTGTTTGTCTGTTGTTGGTGTATAAGAATGCTTGTGATTTTTGTACATTGATTTTGTATCCTGAGACTTTGCTGAAGTTGCTTATCAGCTTAAGGAGATTTTGGGCTGAGACGATGGGGTTTTCTAGATAAACAATCATGTCGTCTGCAAACAGGGACAATTTGACTTCCTCTTTTCCTAATTGAATACCCTTTATTTCCTTCTCCTGCCTGATTGCCCTGGCCAGAACTTCCAACACTATGTTGAATAGGAGCGGTGAGAGAGGGCATCCCTGTCTTGTGCCAGTTTTCAAAGGGAATGCTTCCAGTTTTTGCCCATTCAGTATGATATTGGCTGTGGGTTTGTCATAGATAGCTCTTATTATTTTGAAATACGTCCCATCAATACCTAATTTATTGAGAGTTTTTAGCATGAAGGGTTGTTGAATTTTGTCAAAGGCTTTTTCTGCATCTATTGAGATAATCATGTGGTTTTTGTCTTTGGCTCTGTTTATATGCTGGATTACATTTATTGATTTGCGTATATTGAACCAGCCTTGCATCCCAGGGATGAAGCCCACTTGATCATGGTGGATAAGCTTTTTGATGTGCTGCTGGATTCGGTTTGCCAGTATTTTATTGAGGATTTTTGCATCAATGTTCATCAAGGATATTGGTCTGAAATTCTCTTTTTTGGTTGTGTCTCTGCCCGGCTTTGGTATCAGAATGATGATGGCCTCATAAAATGAGTTAGGGAGGATTCCCTCTTTTTCTATTGATTGGAATAGTTTCAGAAGGAATGGTACCAGTTCCTCCTTGTACCTCCGGTAGAATTCGGCTGTGAATCCATCTGGTCCTGGACTCTTTTTGGTTGGTAAACTATTGATTATTGCCACAATTTCAGAGCCTGTTATTGGTCTATTCAGAGATTCAACTTCTTCCTGGTTTAGTGTTGGGAGAGTGTATGTGTCGAGGAATGTATCCATTTCTTCTAGATTTTCTAGTTTATTTGCGTAGAGGTGTTTGTAGTATTCTCTGATGGTAGTTTGTATTTCTGTGGGATCGGTGGTGATATCCCCTTTATCATTTTTTATTGTGTCTATTTGATTCTTCTCTCTTTTTTTCTTTATTAGTCTTGCTAGTGGTCTATCAATTTTGTTGATCCTTTCAAAAAACCAGCTCCTGGATTCATTGATTTTTTGAAGGGTTTTTTGTGTCTCTATTTCCTTCAGTTCTGCTCTGATTTTAGTTATTTCTTGCCTTCTGCTAGCTTTTGAATGTGTTTGCTCTTGCTTTTCTAGTTCTTTTAATTGTGATGTTAGTGTGTCAATTTTGGATCTTTCCTGCTTTCTCTTGTAGGCATTTAGTGCTATAAATTTCCCTCTACACACTGCTTTGAATGCGTCCCAGAGATTCTGGTATGTGGTGTCTTTGTTCTCGTTGGTTTCAAAGAACATCTTTATTTCTGCCTTCATTTCGTTATGTACCCAGTAGTCATTCAGGAGCAGGTTGTTCAGTTTCCATGTAGTTGAGCGGCTTTGAGTGAGATTCTTAATCCTGAGTTCTAGTTTGATTGCACTGTGGTCTGAGAGATAGTTTGTTATAATTTCTGTTCTTTTACATTTGCTGAGGAGAGCTTTACTTCCAACTATGTGGTCAACTTTGGAATAGGTGTGGTGTGGTGCTGAAAAAAATGTATATTCTGTTGATTTGGGGTGGAGAGTTCTGTAGATGTCTATTAGGTCTGCTTGGTGCAGAGCTGAGTTCAATTCCTGAGTATCCTTGTTGACTTTCTGTCTCGTTGATCTGTCTAATGTTGACAGTGGGGTGTTAAAGTCTCCCATTATTAATGTGTGGGAGTCTAAGTCTCTTTGTAGGTCCCTCAGGACTTGCTTTATGAATCTGGGTGCTCCTGTATTGGGTGCATATATATTTAGGATAGTTAGCTCCTCTTGTTGAATTGATCCCTTTACCATTATGTAATGGCCTTCTTTGTCTCTTTTGATCTTTGTTGGTTTAAAGTCTGTTTTATCAGAGACTAGGATTGCAACCCCTGCCTTTTTTTGTTTTCCATTGGCTTGGTAGATCTTCCTCCATCCTTTTATTTTGAGCCTATGTGTGTCTCTGCACGTGAGATGGGTTTCCTGAATACAGCACACTGATGGGTCTTGACTCTTTATCCAACTTGCCAGTCTGTGTCTTTTAATTGCAGAATTTAGTCCATTTATATTTAAAGTTAATATTGTTATGTGTGAATTTGATCCTGTCATTATGATGTTAGCTGGTGATTTTGCTCATTAGTTGATGCAGTTTCTTCCTAGTCTTGATGGTCTTTACATTTTGGCATGATTTTGCAGCGGCTGGTACCGGTTGTTCCTTTCCATGTTTAGTGCTTCCTTCAGGAGCTCTTTTAGGGCAGGCCTGGTGGTGACAAAATCTCTCAGCATTTGCTTGTCTATATTTTATTTCTCCTTCACTTATGAAGCTTAGTTTGGCTGGATATGAAATTCTGGGTTGAAAATTCTTTTCTTTAAGAATGTTGAATATTGGCCCCCACTCTCTTCTGGCTTGTAGGGTTTCTGCCGAGAGATCCACTGTTAGTCTGATGGGCTTTCCTTTGAGGGTAACCCGACCTTTCTCTCTGGCTGCCCTTAACATTTTTTCCTTCATTTCAACTTTGGTGAATCTGACAATTATGTGTCTTGGAGTTGCTCTTCTCGAGGAGTATCTTTGTGGCGTTCTCTGTATTTCCTGAATCTGAACGTTGGCCTGCCTTGCTAGATTGGGGAAGTTCTCCTGGATAATATCCTGCAGAGTGTTTTCCAACTTGGTTCCATTCTCCACATCACTTTCAGGTACACCAATCAGACGTAGATTTGGTCTTTTCACATAGTCCCATATTTCTTGGAGGCTTTGCTCATTTCTTTTTATTCTTTTTTCTCTAAACTTCCCTTCTCGCTTCATTTCATTCATTTCATCTTCCATTACTGATACCCTTTCTTCCAGTTGATCGCATCGGCTCCTGAGGCTTCTGCATTCTTCACGTAGTTCTCGAGCCTTGGTTTTCAGCTCCATCAGCTCCTTTAAGCACTTCTCTGTATTGGTTATTCTAGTTATACATTCTTCTAAATTTTTTTCAAAGTTTTCAACTTCTTTGCCTTTGGTTTGAATGTCCTCCCGTAGCTCAGAGTAATTTGATCGTCTGAAGCCTTCTTCTCTCAGCTCGTCAAAATCATTCTCCATCCAGCTTTGTTCTGTTGCTGGTGAGGAACTGCGTTCCTTTGGAGGAGGAGAGGCGCTCTGCGTTTTAGAGTTTCCAGTTTTTCTGTTCTGTTTTTTCCCCATCTTTGTGGTTTTATCTACTTTTGGTCTTTGATGATGGTGATGTACAGATGGGTTTTCGGTGTAGATGTCCTTTCTGGTTGTTAGTTTTCCTTCTAACAGACAGGACCCTCAGCTGCAGGTCTGTTGGAATACCCTGCCGTGTGAGGTGTCAGTGTGCCCCTGCTGGGGGGTGCCTCCCAGTTAGGCTGCTCGGGGGTCAGGGGTCAGGGACCCACTTGAGGAGGCAGTCTGCCCGTTCTCAGATCTCCAGCTGCGTGCTGGGAGAACCACTGCTCTCTTCAAAGCTGTCAGACAGGGACACTTAAGTCTGCAGAGGTTACTGCTCTTTTTGTTTGTCTGTGCCCTGCCCCCAGAGGTGGAGCCTACAGAGGCAGGCAGGCCTCCTTGAGCTGTGGTGGGCTCCACCCAGTTCGAGCTTCCCGGCTGCTTTGTTTACCTAAGCAAGCCTGGGCAATGGCGGGCGCCCCTCCCCCAGCCTCGCTGCCGCCTTGCAGTTTGATCTCAGACTGCTGTGCTAGCAATCAGCGAGATTCCGTGGGCGTAGGACCCTCTGAGCCAGGTGTGGGATATAGTCTCGTGGTGCGCCGTTTCTTAAGCCGGTCTGAAAAGCGCAATATTCGGGTGGGAGTGACCCGATTTTCCAGGTGCGTCCGTCACCCCTTTCTTTGACTCGGAAAGGGAACTCCCTGACCCCTTGCGCTTCCCAGGTGAGGCAATGCCTCGCCCTGCTTCGGCTCGCGCACGGTGCGCGCACACACTGGCCTGCGCCCACTGTCTGGCACTCCCTAGTGAGATGAACCCGGTACCTCAGATGGAAATGCAGAAATCACCCGTCCTCTGCGTCGCTCACGCTGGGAGCTGTAGACCGGAGCTGTTCCTATTCGGCCATCTTGGCTCCACTCTGTCCACTCACTTTGAAGTGAAAAGGGAGCATGACTCTTCCCATAAGGTTCTAGAAAGAACAAGTCACATATCAAAGACTGAAAGTCATGATGATTCTGGACTTCTTATTAACAATACTCCAAAAGTCCATGGATAACTTCAAAATCCTTATCTATTTTTCATAGCAGATCTTAAGAACTGGCTCGGAGGGTCCTACGCCCACGGAGTCTCGCTGATTGCTAGACTGGGTAATTTATAAAGGAAAGAAGTTTAATGGACTCATGGTTCCACGTGGCTGGGGAGGCCTCACAATCATGGTGGAAGGGCAAGAGCCATCTTACATGGCGGCAGGCAAGAAGAGAATGAGAACCAAGCCAAAGGATTTCCCCTTATACAACCATCAGATCTCATGAGACTTATTCACTACCAGGAGAATAGTGTGCGGGAAACTGCTCCCATGATTCAATTGCCTCCCACTGGGGCCCACCCACAACACGTGGGAATTATGGAAGCTACAGTTCAAGATGAGATTTGGGTGGGGACACAGCCAAGCCATATCAAACAGTAATTTTTAAAGTGACTGAACTGTAATATTGTATTCCTTCATCCATGTACCAATGTCCACTTAAATTTGTTTCTCCTATGCTCTTAGACAGACATGTAACTCAAAGCCCTCATATTCTTCAGGCATTCTGGTTAGTGGTAGATTTTCCTTTATAATGACAGAGTAGCCATCATAGTGAATATTTAAACTTAACCACTGACTCAGTAGTCCCTGCAATCCTTTTGTGCTCAGTATTGAATTATAGGACTTGTTCTTATGAAAACGTCATTCCTTGAGAAAAATTGCCTGTCCTGCTCCCTCTTAACCACAAAACTCTTTGAAAAAAGGGGCTGTATATTTAATTATTTGTATGTGGAGGGAATTTTAGAAGGTGCAATTGAAGTTTGTTTAGGATAGGTTATTAGACACTCTATTTTCATGATATCCTGGTACACCTTATGTGAGCCACAGTGATGAAATATATCGGAGATGGCAACCAATACTTAGCATTAAACTCTTTATCACATCCAGAGGCAGTGGATAAGTGCTACTTACCTCTTTCTCTCTAGTAACTTTCAGAGAGGAGAAAATCTTTATGGAGACAATAAATCAGGATATGCAGGTTTGTTTGGGTAATACTGGTGGGGTATCAATGGGCTGAGGTTGTTTCTGCCCTCTCACCAATGCAAATGTGTATGTGTGTGTGTGTAGAAGAAGCTAGAATAAAACTAGTAGCTATTGTGTGTCAATTTCAGGGATGGAGATAATGTGTATGGTAAGTGAAAGGATGTTGTAACCAAGCCACAACAGGAACAACTACCACCTGAAGTGGTTGTATTAGCTTGTTGGAAGGGAATCCCATCGGGTTATGGGAACGTCCCAGGAAGAACAACATAAATATGGGAAGAGGAAAACTGTTATGGTCCTGCAGAAAACACGTTTAATAATTCAGGGCTCCTCAGAGAGGAAAGGGGCTTGGGGAGATAGAGTTCTTACCTTTAAACTGGTAGACCCTCAGCCAGAGGACAGTATTACATGTACCTGGAAAATACATGTTAATACCAGGAACTCGGCCAAGACTTAGCGCTGTGTGGTTCTTTGTACGTAGTATATGCTTATAAACACTTGCTGATAATGCAAGTACTGGGGCAAGCTTAGCGCAATTAAAAAAAGAACCAATAAAATGACTTCCAGGATGTGTACCAGAAACAGAAACACTGCTTAGGAGGCTGTTTCCCCAGGTCCTGCCAAAGTGGGCAGGAGTACCCTAAAATACTTTGATAATTAAAAAAGAAAGAAAAAAGAACTTTGGAATTAGTAAGATGTTTAAAAATGACAAGAATAAGAAAACCAGAAAATATTCAATAAACACATTCAGAATGCATTTCAAGGTAAAATGACCATGCTACCTGTATTTTATGCGCATCCCAAGAAAAACATTATAAAATTACTGTGACTTTTGTGGATTTTGTCCATGCAGGGAAGAGTGGGCCTAGTGCCACCACTGGAACAAGATAATGTGTCTCATTCTTAATCTACCAAGGGGACACTAGAAATTCAAGTTATATTTGTACCAGGGGTTGGAAGCGGGCAAACAAAAGATTGCCAAGTATAATAACTGGAATTTTTCTAATGACAAACTAATAGATGCTCAGAAAATTGTTGATTGTCTGGCATACCAAATCACAGCACAATGCTTGTGGCCAAATTAGTAGCACAAGGTGGGGCCGATCTGTTCCCCCATCTCCCAGATTTTCGCATTCTTCCTTTTTGACAGATATTTAATGAGAAGTAGTGCATACAAATACATCTTTATAAACTATTGTTAACAAAAGCAATTCCAGGATTTTGAATAAGATGAAAATGAGCTGATCAGATTCAACAAGTATTCCTGTTAAAAATATTAAGCTGTTTTGGTCATGGTTTAGCATTATAATTATACGATGTCTATTTAATTTTCTATCTTAAATTTTTATGTCAATAAATTGAAGTCCCTGATGTAGAATTTCTCCTCCATAATTATTTCTAATTCGCCCTGCATATGTTTTATTTATGATAAATGCCATTTGCTCTCCTTTTAGTTTCTGGATTACAAATTCATCATGATTAGCAGCAAAATTTTCGGAAATATTTTTTACATGACATTTTTTGACTTGTATACAAAGCAAACAATCCTCAAAATATTTCACAGTAAAAAAGAAAACCACTATTGTTAGCAAGCTGACCTATTTAGGTTTGGACTTTTCTATATTTTAAGGTATGCATTCCTTGGAATGGGGCTAACGTCTCCTAAAACCTGCTCACCTATTTCCCTGCTGCCACCGGGAATTTATAAAAAACTTGAGCACTTTAAAATGTTGACATCTCTGATACCGTCTTCATTCAGAGTTACTTCAAGCCCAGCAGCAAAGGGGCTGCAGCGGAACCTGGTGGCTTCACACTCCTCGTTTACTACCATGACTAAAACACACACACACAGCAAGAGAGAGTGCGTAATCGCCCACCATGTTTAAGACCTTCCCCAGGGTCTACCACTGCATGTGTTGTGTGGTGTGAAGAGTGTGAATTCTGGAGTCAGACTGCCAGAGTCAGAATCCTGGCTCTGCTATTCGCTGGCAGACTGGCCCTGGGATACTTTCTTAATCTCTAAAATAGAGAGTTTCAAATTGTAAAATGAGTATGAAACACATACCTGCCACATTAAATTATTTTCATATTAAAATGGTCAATCATTGTAAAGAAAGTATCAGGGCAGTGACTGGAGCACTGTAAATACTCAATAAGTGCTAGCTATTATTACTTCAGGAAATGACTGGGAAATATCTACATATTGACTTTAGCATACTTTTTATTTTTCAATTTCAACTTTCATTTTAGATTCAGGAGTTACACGTGCAGGTTTGTTCCATGGTGTGTTGCATGACACTGAGGTTTGGGGTAAAGCACACATTTTCAAAGTAAAAATGTTAAGTGTTAAAAAGAAAGGAGGAAGCAGCAGTAAAATGTTGGATTCGGAGAGACTGTGGAGCACGACTGTGTGTGAGCGGTGCTGGTGGGTATAATATCTCCACTTCTTACAATAGCAGAACATTTTTTTTCAAGGGAAATGTACCTCATATGGCTTAAGTAAAGTGATGCTGCATACCATCTCTTCCCATACTCTGGGGAGTTGACATATAGCTCAGGTGTGAAACAGAGCCCCGACTTTCTCACCACTGTGTTTACGTCAGAAAAGAGCATATGGTTCAAATGCAGCTGATAGTTCTCAAAGATGAGATATGTAGATTTGGGGTATCAGAGGCTGCATTAGTTTGTTTTGTATTGCTATAAAGGGATATCTGAGACTGGGTAATTTATAATGAAAAGAGGTTTACTTGGCTCATGGTTCTGCATGCTGTACAGGAAGTGTAGTGCTGCCATCTACTTCTTGTGAGGCCACAGGGAGCTTCCAATCATGGCGGAAGGCAAAGGGGGAGCAGTGTGTCACATGGCAAGACAGGGAGTGGGAGGGACAGGTGCAAGCCTCTTTTAAACAACCAGCTCTTGTGTGAACAAATAGTGTGAAAACTCACTCATCACCAAGGGGATGACAACAAGCCATTTATGAAGGATCCACTCCCATAACCCAAACACCTCCCACCAGCCCCACCTCTAACATTGGGGTCACATTTCTATGTGAGATTTGGAGGGAACACACATACAAAGTGTATCAGAGGTAGCCTTTTCCTTTGGTATCAAGAACCTGAAGGACATATTGAGGGTCAACTTTTTCACCAAATGTGGAGCTACTTAAATATAATGCTAAAAGATCAATAGTTCCCAAAATGGAGTGACAGAAAAAACTCAATGGAATTCTTTAAGCACCTGGATCTGATTGTGCCAGAAGCCATATATACTCCTGGACTATGCAATTTTGTGAGTCAATAAACCAGTATATTTTCCCCCAAGTTTTTCAGCGTTAAATTTCTGTCATACACAATCAAAAGACCATTGGATTAACATCTTGGGCTGCGATGCAGAATAATGTTATAGAGAAAGCTCTAGAATTGGAAGAGAAGAAGGAATTTCAAGTGTTGACATTACTTATGAGTATTAAATAAGAGGGAATAATTTAGATTCTTACCACTTTCATTATTGTAAAATAAAGACATCAACCTCTGCTTATCTCGTAAATCTTGAGGAAGTTCAGTAAAGCAATGTGTGTGATGGACTCTGCTATATAGGGTTACATTTTGTAGTCAAAATAACAGATAGATGGAGTACTGGACTTTGTACTTTTTTTTTTCCAAAGCCTCACTCCGTTGCTCAGGCTGGAGTGCAGTGGCGCGATCTCAGCTCACTACAACTTCTGCCTCCCAGGTTCAAGTGATTCTTCTGCCTCAGCCTCCCAAGTAGCCGGGATTACAGGGGCACACCAGCGTGCCCGGCTAATTTTTGTATTTTTAGTAGAGATGGGGTTTCACCATGTTGGCCAGGCTGGTCTCAAACTCCTGACGTTGTGATCCACCCACCTCGGCCTCCGAAAGTGCTGGGATTACAGACGTGAGCCACCATGCCTGGCCTGGAGTTTGTACTTTCCAACACTGTTGAGAAATACACCTGTAAGCTATGAGTACCCACCTGCCTTTACATGTAAACATCACAAACACATTAGTCAGCTTATGAATAGGATAGAATAGAAAAGGATAGGTGAAATCTTTCCATTTATAATACACACATCTGATTGTTTATTGGACATATAATTGCAAAGTTTTCTTAGCAGAGTGACTGATCACAACCTTTAAAATTGTATACTCTGCAAAATTACCAGTGCTTTATTGCTACTGAGAAGCACACTAATGCAGCTCGAAGGAGGGAATCCTGAGGACGTTGTTAAATCTCCTGCATGGACTTCACGGACTAATTCAGTGACTATTAGCCCTTCTGTTGCATTGTTATTGGTTCTCACCTGCCCTTGAATTATTGAACTTGCATACATATGTTTGCATATGTGTAATGCAGATAGCAAAGAAAACAAATGTATTATTCTTTATATTTGATTTTTATATTATATAGCATATTGGTAACTTTAGTCTTCTAGAAAATGTTTAAAATGTGTTGGCATTCAACTAGAAGCAGTAGCTGAATTTTCCGTTAAAAATTCAGACTCTAACATTGGTTTGGGTGATGCGGTGATTAGTAGTGATATCTGGAGCTCTGTCCCAGTTCCTAGAGTGCTGAAGTTAGAGCTGCCTATGCCATGTTCACTGGCCTGTAAAATGAGTAGCTGGGCATCTGTCTGAGTTCAGCGATCCACAGCATAAGTAGCATTAAAGCTGAAGCCATGACTGTAATATTTGTGGTCTTGTCAGAAATGGCCTAAGTGGGTCAGGCATTGAAATTGATCCACTTTTCTCCAAGGCAGAGTTGAGACACTGATATAGAAATACGGCCCAGATGATGTCTTAAGGGCTGGAGCTGATCTCATTTCCATTTCCGTTCCTCAAAGGTATCCATGTAATTCCTTTAAATTCAGCCAAAAAAGAAAGATCTCATTCGTTTTCTTCTTGATCTTCTTCTTGTCGCAGGAAAGCACTTAAGAACTGAAATTACATTCTGTGCATGTTGAGAGTTGGTCCGGTTGGATCAAGTGTAATATGATTGCAGGCCCTGAGCGATCTGAGGCCTGCAAGAGGAAGATACTGTCAAGACTCAATTTTCCACAATCGTCTCCAGCTTTGTGCTGTGCCCGACAGATGGGAGGGCGGAGAATGCTTTATATGCTTTATCACCCTTCATAAAGTCAGCAGCCACAGAACTGTGCCAGGGTTGTGCACTGCTGTTGTGAGGTAAAGCTCGGGAATTCAAGTGAGAGATGCAACCGTTAACACACATCTTGACAGCACTTCAATCCAAGCAGGAAGTCTGACATTTTAAGAGAGATATTCAGTAAGGACTTCAAAACACATTTCCACAATTACCTACACAACTCTGTAATTGTCTTGTTTTCAACTTTTTTTTTCAAATATACTGTCAAAATAAATGCCATTGTGTGTGTGTGTGTGTGTGTGTGTGTGTGTGTAGCTAGCTAGCTAGCTAGATAGTAGATATAGAGAGAGATAGATAGTAGATAGATAGATATTTATATAATTTTAAGCTTGTGATATTATGGGATTTTATTCTTCAGTAGTTTGAAAAGAGAAGCTGTTTATTGCATATATTGAAAAAATCTCTTTTAACATAATCCTGCATCCTTATAAAGCCACAGGTAGTATTTTGGGGGAGTGGAGTTTGTTCCAGTGAAGGAAGATAGAGCATGGATTTACTTCTCAGAGACTGATCTTCCTTCATAAAGGATCTTTAGGCTTTGCTTACATCATGCTTTGAGATGTTTTATTTCATTGATAAGAGCTACTATCTGAAATATGCCTTACTTTCTTGATAGTTTCTCAAGTTAAGAAGGTTTAAAAAAATAGGTATGATGATGACAGGAAAGATTTTATATATATATATATTTATATATATATATATTTATATATATATATATTTATATATATATATTTATATATATATATTTTTATATATATATATTTATATATATATATTTATATATATATATTTATATATATATATTTTTATATATATATATTTATATATATATATATATATATATATATATCCTTTTATTTAATCAATGAACCAAAATGATATATGTGATATTATGGGATTTTATTCTTCAGTAGTTTCAAAAGAGAAGCTGTTTATTGCATATATTGAAAAAAATCTCTTTTAACATAATCCTGCATCCTTATAAAGCCACATGTAGTATTTTGGGGGAAATATATATATATGTATATATATAATCTTTCACATTTCAATGCCTTTGGCTCAATGACTTGAAAACAACTTACTACTGCTTCTAAAAGATTAGACAGCAGACATTTACTCTGGAAGTAAAATAGTAGCTTAGCAACCATGGCTTTGTATTTGTTTCAAGTCATTTGGAAGCTGGAGAATCATTTTCCACCCAGGAAACATTTTACTCATTAATGAAGAACATTGATTCATTGCACATTGTAGACCTTTTGGCGTTTTGTGTTAGACAAATAAACTTAGGCTCAATTTGACGGAACGAGAGTTATGGGTAGAGATGCTACTTATGATCAAGTGTGACTGGTGCCATAAGAAAGAATAATTTGTCAACCTCGCTAAGAATTAAGAATCTGGGCTATTAATTCTGAGACATGACAGGACTTGAATTACATGTTACTTAGAAATATGGTTGTTCAAATACGATTCAAGCATCAACTACTTCTTTGAGGTTCTCGTTTTGATACTCTATAAATGATTCATGTTTGGGATTTTACACCATGCTTTTGAAAAGCACAGCGTACATTCTTTTACCTATTGCTCCTTACGTAATAGGCCAGCAAATATATATCGGTCTCCACTACAGATCTGCTTTATGCTGAGCCTGGAAGCGTTGCACATGCTGGGACTCTGGAAGTTTGGTGTTTCCATTATTATAGTTTACAGTTCAGAGCAAATATTTGGTTGCACAAACATTTTCACTTCTAAAAATGGCAGTCACTTCATTTCTGCACCATTATTGAACATATACTCAAGGTAGTTTTGTTGCCAAATGAACTGAATTAAATTGCTTACAATGAGGTGGTTGCATGTTAATATTTAATACTTTGTCCAATACCATCACATTTGTGTTATTATGAAAATTACATACATGACGATTATACTTTCAGAAACTGTTTGCTTTCTTCTGCTTTTTCTAATATTCTAAAATCAATTTAAATATACTAGTTTTGCAAAGTCTATAAATTGTTTTAGTAAACAACAACACAAAAATCCTGCCCCACCTACTTTCTCTCTCCCACCTACAAAATCAAAGCCAATGTTATGGGTCAAGCTGGCTTGTGCATGGGGATGGTGGTTCCTTTTGATGTCTCATGTATTTTGAAACATGCGTTGCCTGCACCAGTTCTAACTATGACGTTCTATTCAAGTGTGGTTTGAGGTTGCTCATACAAGTCCAGGCATGATGCTCAAATTCGACCGTTTGTTATGTATGACAAAAAGCCAAGTGTGTATGCTTATTGCTTTGGAAAAAATGGATTTAACACTTGCTCAGCAAAGCTTTATGATATTGCTATTTCAAATCATTTTGGTTCATTGATTAAATAAAAGGCAATTTGACTTGTTTAGCAATATTTAAATGAAAGGGATATGTACTAATTTTTATGCAATTATACCCTCTATATTTTTAATTTTACAGTATAGACTGCACACTGATTTGAACTATCAGTGTACTAAAGATAACTCTTACCCATGATGCCTTTGATTTATTTTCAAGTTCGAAGGCTTTGAAAATAATTTTATTTTTATAATTTTAGGCAATAGGTATATACTGTGTATTCTCCCTAAGAGTAGATAAAATCTTTCTATATCCAAGTGCAAGTCTGATTGTAGATTGTCCAGTGAGGTTTAAGTAATGGTAGAACAGAAGCTAGCAGTTGGTTAAGCCAGTGGATCTTATAGGTTTACAGTTTCTGCAGCCCAACTCTGGCTCTCCACTTGTAAGTGAAATACAATGAATGCAAAGGGCATAGCCAAACTTGGGCTCGGATCCCTGCTTTTCACATACCAGGCGACTGATCATGATCAAGCTACTGAGTCTGCATAGTAATCTGTGTCCTAATTCATCAAGTAGGAGTGACAGTTCTTATAAAATAGCTGCACATAATAGATACTCAAAAATGTTTCTCTTCTGATGGTTTGTACAGTACTTTATAAATTAGTACAAATTCTCTGTCTTAAGTAATCTTGAATACTTGGGGAGCAAATTTTGATTCAAGGAGGAAATATGAAAAATGACATAAAGGAGTTCTATTTCTTATGTCCTGCTGTGGGCAGAAAAGAGAGAATCAAGAAGATTTTGAAATAATATGATAGAGAACCCAGAAATAAGGCTGCACACCTACAACTATGATCTTCAACAAAGCTGACAGAAACAAGCAATGGGGGAAAAATTCCCTATTCAATAAATCATGCTGGGATAACTGGGTAGTCATATGCAAAAGATTGAAACTAGACCCCTTCCTTATACCATATGCAAAAATTAACTCAAGATGGATGAAAGACTTAAAAATAAAACCCAAAAGTATAAAAACACTGGAAGACAACCTAGGCAATACCATTTTGGACATAGGAATGGGCAAAGATTTCATGACAAAGACACTAAAAGCAATTGCAACAAAAGCAAAAATGACAAGTGGGATTTAATTAAACTTGTTAGCTTCTGCACAGCAAAGGAAACTATGAACATAGTGAGCAGACATCCTACAGAATGGAAGAAAAATTTTGTAAAATATGCCTCTGATAAAAACCTAATATCTGGCATTTATAAGGAACTTAAACAAATTTACAAAAAACACCCCCCAGCAACTCCATTAAAAAGTGAGCAAAGGACATGAACTGACACTTTTCAAAAGGAGGCATATATATGGCCAACAATCATATGAAAATAAGCTCAAAATCACCAATCGTGAGAGTCATGCAAATCAAAACCACAATGAGATACCATTTAACACCAGTCAGAATGGCTGTTTGATATGGTTTGGCTCTGTGTCCCCACCTAAATCTCATGGCAAGTTGTAACCCTCAGTGTTGGGGGAGGGGCCTGGTGGGAGGTGATTGGATCATGGGGGTGGACTCCTCCTCCCTGTTCTCATGACAGTGAGTGAGTTCTCATGAGATCTGGTTGTTTGTATCACTTCCCCCTTCACTCTCTCTCTCTCCAGCTTCACCAGGTGAAGGTGTGTCTGCTTCCCCTTCGCCTTCCACCATGATTGTAAGTTTCCTGAGGCCTTCCCAGCCAGGCTTCCTGTGCAGCTGGTGGAATCATTAGCCAATTAAATCTCTTTTCCTCATAAATTACCCAGTCTTAGGTAGTTCTTTATAGCAGTGAGAGAACAGACTAATATGCTATTATTAAAAAGTCAAATATAACAGAAGCTGGTGACATTGCAGAGAAAAAGGAATGCTTATACACTGTTGATGGGGGTATAAATTAGTTTAACCATTGTGGAAGATAAAGGTGATTCCTCAAAGACTTAAAAACAGAACTAACATTTGACCTAACAATCCCATTATTGGGTATACACTCAAAGTAATACACATCATTCTATAATAAAGACACATGCACACATATGTTCATTGTAACACTATTCACAATAGCAAAGACATGGAATCAACCTAAATGTTCATTAATGCTAGAATTGATAAAATAAATGTGTTACATATACACCATGGAATACTATGCAGCCATGAAAAAGAATGAGATCATCTCCTTTGCAGAAACATGGATGGAGCTGGAGGCCATTATCCTCAGCAAACTAACGCAAGAACAGAAAACTAAATACTGCCTATTCTCAATTACAAGTGGAAGATCAATGGTGAGAACTCATGGACCCAAGGAGACAAACAACAGATACTGGAGCCTATCAGAGGGTGGAGGGTGCGGAGGGAGAGTATCAGGAAAAATAACTAGTGGGTACTAGGCTTAATACCTGGGTGCTGAAATAATCTGTACAACAACCTCCCATGACACAAGTTTGCCTATGAAACAAACCTCCGCATGTCCTCCTGACCTTAAAATAAAAGTTAAATTTAAAAAATACAAATTGGAAAGAAAACATAATGTGATAGATTGCTTCACAACCATAGGATTTCCGGAAGAAATATGAATTGGAAGCATCAGTGTCTAAATGCAGTTAAGAAACTCATGCTATCAGAATCATCTCTTGGTTGTTTTCCCTCCCAGATTGTCTTT
This sequence comes from Homo sapiens, assembly GCF_000001405.40. Classification (NCBI taxonomy): domain Eukaryota; kingdom Metazoa; phylum Chordata; class Mammalia; order Primates; family Hominidae; genus Homo; species Homo sapiens. The sequence goes on along the minus strand of NC_000004.12, from coordinate 189,125,732 downwards.
TCTCCCAGGGACTCACTGACAGTGAACAGCGATCATGCCTAGATTTACCCTGTATCTGCCCTCAAAGCTGACGTGGAGTCAAATGCCACAAATAGACTTGATCATGCAACCTTGATTCTCTTTCTGAAAAATGTAATTAGTAACCCTCCTGTCTATCATATATTTACAGAAATACTGATTAGCCTTGGTGTAAAGCTTCTAATAAACAGTAGGCATTGTTAGAAATTTAATTCATTCATAGGGTTTTTTGAGCCTAGCGATACATTTGCTGCACTGACACATAATTTATCATTTTAGAACTCTTGGTTCATGCTTTTTAATATTTGAGACATGGATATCCTTTAGCTCTGTGAGTGATACTGAGGAAGGAAAGGGCAGGATGTGCATCATGAAGAAAAACTATGATCAATTTAAAACAGGCTATCAGGGAAAACTTCACTGAGATGAATGCGTGGACAGGCCGCCCAGTTATCAAAACAATTATTGAAGAAATCATTTCTATTGTTCTAAGAGGTAATGTGTGCCTCAGCTCTTCCATCCACTCAGTTTTTACCAAATCTTTTTTTTTTTTTTTTTTGTTCTAGGCCCACCCTCTTCCCGGATCAACAGGGTCCAAGAGCAGGAAAGTGGAATTGAATACCTGGACTAAGACCAAAGAATGCCGCAGTGCGAGTTGGGGGGGATAAATTCCAGGTATTTCTTCTCACTTCCAAATGTAACTGAATCTCTTTTATCTGGAAATACAACCTGAGATCATAGGAAAGAGGAATCAGGCCAAAGCCACTTTTTGGCATTGGTACGTCAGAAATACCATAGGCACAGCTTTTCCACAGGGTGGTATTTCTTGTTTGGACATCTTGCTGATCCACTGAAAACATGCATTTGTGAGAAATGCATGGGAACCATTTCTTTTTTATAAATAAGGAAATACTTTAGTAGAGGGTTAGTATTGGATTCTTACTTTGTGTATTTTCTTTTAGCAATAACACCTTTTTCCTTTCTTTGCTATGTTAGGAGAGAAAGAAGACTCCTGTTTATTGTACAAACACAGTTGCTTTTACATTTCAGTGTGCTGCTCTTAGAAAACAAACCAGAAAGCCACACATATTATTTCTACATGGTTTCCTACCCTGTGGGAAATCAGTGTTTTGAAACTTCAGCATATTATGCATAAATAAACATACCTCATTGGTCTCACATATTTTGGATAAATGATTTAATAAGAGAGTAAAGCAACAGACGAAAGCTTTGCCTCTAAAAGATTGTTCCGTTATAAGCTATTTCCCTTTGCTAAGATACTGTTTTAACAAAATATTTCTCATTTAAATTCTGGACACGCGGGTATTTTAGGTTTTGAGCTGTTGCTCTAGTCGGTCTGCGCCTGCAGATGGCAGCGCTCCTTCATCGTTGCAGCGATGTGGATTGAAATGCACTGGAGCGTCAATGGAAGGTGAATTTATGAAGTGAAATCAAACTTCAGAAATCTATTTTCAGGTATATTCTTCTAGTTTTATGAAACCATAAGCTTATGTTGTTTAAAATGCTGTTATAAATAGAAGTGAACCTCAGCCACCAGCCTGAAGGCTGTCCTTTCTGCTCTTGGGTGTGGAAGATGTCTCATGGGAGTGCATCGTCTCTTCTCAGTATGTGAAAAACAAAGTGGCCGGGCGCGGTGGCTCACACCTGTAATCCCAGCACTTTGGGAGGCCGAGGTGGGCGGATCATGAGGTCAGGAGTTTGAGACCAGCCTGGCCAATAAGGTGAAACTCCCTCTCTACTAAAAATAGAAAAATTAGCCGGGCGTGGTGGCGGGCACCTGTAGTCCGAGCTATTCAGGAGGCTGAGGCAGGAGAATCGCTTGGACCTGGGAGGTAGAGGTTGCAGTGAGCGGAGATCACACCACTGCACTCCAGCCTGGGTGACAGAGCAAGATTCTGTCTCAAAAAAAAAAAAAAGAAAAGAAAAGAAAAACAAAGTGACTGACCCACTGAGAAACATGTTCTCAGACCTCAGTTCCAGAAAATTATGAATGGCTAAGCATTACTGTAGAGTAAATCTGTTTCATTTTTCCACAGGTTGGTCTGTAGATCACATTAGGGAAAGGCTGGGCAATTCTGTCTTTATAAAATCCACACTTTCATGAGTGCCATAATAATTCTACGGACACCTTCAGTGGGGCTTGTTAGAACACTGCTGCTGATGCTCCCTAGACTTCTTTTTCAAAGAACCATTGGTTTAATCAAGAAAACAGAAATCCTTGACTGGAGAGATTTATTAAGCATTTAACATTTTTTTTTTTATAAAAAGCACTTAACTTCATTTTAAGGAGTCAAAAATACAAGAGTTGTGGAGTAGAATTTCTGTAAATTAAGTAACCAACTGGAGCTCATGAGCCTGTGCTAGATTAGCTGGGAGTAAGAGTAACTGATCATAGTTGGTGTGTGATGACACTGGGCCAGCCGCTGTGCTGAGGTGTTTGGTTGTTTTAACTCACATAAATCTACATAGCAACCCTACTATTTTCTTTCAGTTCTATGATGCTTAGTTTTTCATATTTTAACAGTTCTAAAATTAGGATATGTTCTAAAATAGATGACTTCTGACAATCCCTATCCATGAGGCAGAAACTGAGGTACTATTTGTTTGTTTGCTTTTGTTTATTATTATTATTATTATATTATTATTTCAATAGGTATTGGGGGAACAAGCGGTGTTTGGTTACATGGATAAGTTCTTTAGTGGTGATTTCCGAGATTTTGGTGCCCTCATCACCTGAGCAGTGTACACTGTACCCGGTGTGTACTCCTTAATCCCTCACCCCTCTCCCACCGTTTCCCTCAAGTCCTCAAAGTCCATTGTATCACTAGTATGCCTTTGTGTCCTGATAGCTTAGCTCCCACTTATGAGTGAGAACATACGATGTTTCCTTTCCCATTCCTGAGTTACTTCACCCAGAATAATGGTCTCCAATTCCGTCCAGGTTGTTGCGAATGCCATTATTTTGTTTCTTTTTATGGCTGAGTAGTATTCCATGATATATACACACCATATTTTCTTTATCCAGTTGTTGACTGATGGGCATTTGGGCTGGTTCCATATTTTTGCAATGTGAATTCTGCTGCTATAAACATGTGTGTACAAGTACCTTTTTTTGTATAATGGCTTCTTTCCTCTGGGTACATACCCAATAGTGGGATTGCTGGAAGAAATGGTAGATCTACTTTTAGTGCTTGAAGGAATCTCCATACTGTTTTCCATAGTGGCTGTACTAGTTTACATTCCCAGCAGCAGCGTAGAAGTGTTCCCCTTTCACCATATCCATACCAACATTTATTACTTTTTTATTTTTTGATTAAGGCCATTCTTGCAGAAGTAAGGTGGTATCTCATTGTGGTTTTGATTTGTATTTCCCTGATAATTAGAGACGTTGAGCTTTTTTTTTTTTTGAGACAGAGTCTCACTCTGTCGCCCAGGCTGGAGTGCAGTGGCGCGATCTCGGCTCACTGCAAGCTCCGCCTCCCGGGGTTCCCGCCATTCTCCTGCCTCAGCCTCCCGAGTAGCTGGGACTACAGGCGCCCGCCACCACGCCCGGCTAATTTTTTGTGTTTTTAGTAGAGACGGGGTTTCACCGTGTTAGCCAGGATGGTCTCGATCTCCTGACCTCGTGATCTGCCCGCCTCGGCCTCCCAAAGTGCTGGGTTTACAGGCCTGAGCCACCACGTGCAGCCGAGATGTTGAGGATTTTGTATATGTTTGTTAGCCAATTGTACATCCTGTTTTGAGAATTGCCTGTTCATGTCCTTAGCCCACTTTTTGATGAGGTATTAGTCCTTTATCAGAAGTATAGTTTGCAAATATTTTCTCCCACTTCGTGGGTTGTTTGTTTACTCTGCTGATTATTTACTTTGCTGTGTAGAAGCTTTTTAGTTTAAGTGCCATTTATTCATCCTTGTTTTTGTTGCATTTGCTTTTGGGTTTTTGGTGATGAAGTCTTTGCCCATGACAATGTTTAGAAGGGTTTTCCGATATTAGCTTCTCAAATTTTTATGGTTTCACATCTTAGATTTAGGTATTTAATCCATGTTGAGTTGATATTTGTATACGGTGAGAGATGAGGATCCAGTTTCATTCTACATGTGGCTGCCAATTATCCCAGCACCATTTGTTGACTAGTGTGTCCTTTCCCCGCTGTATGTTTTTGTTTGCTTTGTCAAAGATCAGTTGTTGTATTTGGCTTTATTTCAGGGTTTTCTGTTCTGTTCCATTGGTCTATGTGCCTATTTTTATACCGGTACCATGCTTTTTGCTGACTATGGCCTTATAGTACTCTTGGAAGTCAGGTAGTGTGATGCCTCCAGATTTGTTCTTTTTGCTTAGTCTTGCTTTGACTATGTGGGCTCTTTTTTCATTCCACATTAATTTTAGGATTGTTTTTCTAGCTCTGTGAAGAATGATGGTTGTATTTTGATGGGAATTGCATTGAATTTGTAGATTGCTTTTGGCAGTATGATCATTTTCACAATATTGATTCTACCCATCCATGAGCATGGGATGTGTTTCTATTTGTTTGTGTCATCTGTGATTTCTTTCAACAATGTTTTGTAGTTTTCCTTGTAGAGGTTTGTCACCTTCTTGGTTAGATATATTTCTGCATTTTTATTTTTATTTTTTGCAGCTATTGTAAAAGGAGTTGAGTTTTTTTATTTGTTTTGGTATATAACAGTGCTACTGATTTGTGTGTATTAATTTTGTATCTTGAAACTTTTCTGAATTCATTTGTCAGTTCTAGGAGCTTTTAGGAGGAGTGTTTAGGGTTTTCTAGGTATACAATCATTTTATCAGTGAACAACAACACAGCAACAGTTTGACTTCGTCTTCACTAATTTGGATGCCCTTTATTTCCTTCTCTTGTCTGATTGCTCTGGCTAGGACTTTCATTACTACATTGAATAAAAGTTGAGAAAGTGGGCATCCTTGTCTTGTTCCGTTTCTCAAGGGGAATGCTTCCAACTTTTCACTGTTCAGTATAATATTGGCTGTGTGTTTGTCATAGATGGATTTTATTATCTTGAGGTATGTCCTTTCTATGCCAATTTTGCTGAGGGATTTATTCATAAAGGGATGCCGGATTTTGTCAAATGCTTTTTTTGTATCCATTGAAATGATAATTTGATTTTTATTTTTAATTTTGTTTATGTGATGTATCACATTTATTGACTTTTGTATATTAAACCATCCCAATATCCCTCATATGAAACCCACTTGATCATGGTGGATTATCTTTTTGATATGCTGTTGGATTCAGTTAACTAGCATTTGGTTGAGGGTTTTTGAATCTCTGTTCATTAGGGATATTGGTCTGTAGTTCTCTTTTTTGTTATGTCACTCTTGGTTTTGGTGTTAGGGTGATACTGGTTTCACAGAACGATTTAGGGAGGATTCCCTCCTTTTCAATCTTTTGGAATAGTGTCAATAGGATTGGTACCAACTCTTCTATGAATGCCTGATACAATTCAGCTATAAATCCGTCTGGTCCTGGACTTTTTTTTCCTTCATAATTTTTTTTATTACCATTTTAATCTTGCTGCTTGTTATTGGTCTGTTCGGAGTTTCTATTCCTTCCTGGTTTAATCTAGGAGGGTTGCATATTTCCAGGAATTTTTCCTTCTTCTCTAGTTTTTCTCATTTGTATGCATAAAAGTGTTCATAGTACCCTTAAATGATCATCCAGCCTTAAATGATTTCTGTGGTATTGTTTGTAATATCTCCTATTTTCTTTCTAATTGAGCTTACGTGGATCTTCTCTCTTTTTTTCTTGGTTAATCTCACCAATGGTCTATCAATTTTGTTCATCTTTTCAAAGAATCAGCCTTTCATTTTATTTATCTTTTGTATTTTTTGTTTGTTTGTTTTAATTTTCTTTAGTTCTGCTCTGATCTTTGTTATTTTTTTCTTCTGCTGGGTTTGGGTTTGGTTCATTATTTCTCTAGTTTCTTGAGGTGTGACCTATGATTGTTTATTTGTGCTCTTTTGAGCTTTTTGATGAAGGCTCTTAATGCTTTGAACTTTCCTCTTAGCACTCCTTTTTCCATATCCCAGAAGTTTTGATAGGTTGTTATCTCTATTATCATTCAGTCCAAAGAAATGTTTAATTTTCATCTTGATTTCATTGTTGACCCAATGACCATGTGGGAGCAGATTATTTAATTTGTATGTATTTATATGGTTTTGATGGTTCGTTTTGGAGTTGATTTCCAATTTTATTCCACTGTGGTCTGAGAGAGTAATTTTGATTTTCTTAAATTTATTGAGACTTGTTTTGTGGCCTATTATGTGTTTTGTCTTGGAAAATGGATGAGTACTGTGTATATTCTGCAGTTGTTGAGTAGAATGTTCTCTAAATATCTGTTAAGTTCATTTGTTCTAGGGTATAGTTTAAGTCCATTGTTTCGTTGTTGATGACTTTCTGTCTTGATGACCTGTCTAGTGCTGTCAGTGGAGTATTGAAGTCCCCAACTATTATTGTGTTGCTGTTTATCTCATTTCTTAGGTGTAGTAGTAATTGTTTTATAAATTTGGAAGCTCCAGTGTAAGGTGCATATATATTTAGGATTGTGATATTGTGATATTTTCCTGTTGGACAAGGCTTTTTATCATTATATAATGTCCCTGTTTGTCTTTTGAAGTGCTATTGCTTTAAAGTTTGTTTTGTCTGATGTAAGAATAGCTATTCCTGCTCGCTTTTGGTGTCCATTTGCATGGAATATCTTTTTCCACCCATTTACCTTAAGTTTATGTGAGTCCTTATGTGTTAGTTGATTCTCTTGAATACAGCAGATATTTGGTTGGTGAATTCTTATCTGTTCTGCAATTCTGTTTTTTTTGTTGTTGTTGTTAAATGGAGCATTTTTAAGTGGAGCATTTAGGCCATTTACATTAAACATTAGTATCGAGATGTGAGATACTATTCTATTCATCGTGCTAGTTGTTGCCTCAATATCGTGCTTATTTTTCATTGTATTACTGTTTTATAGGTCCTTTTAGATTTATGCTTTAGGGAGGTTCTATTTTGGTGTATTTTGAGAATTTGTTTCAAGATTTAGAGCTCCTTTTAGCAGTTCTTGTAGTGCTGGCTTAGTAGTGGCAAATTGTCTCAGCATTTGTTTGTCTGAAAAAGACTATCTTTTTTTATTTATAAAGTTTCGTTTCACTAGATACAAAACTCTTGGCTGGTAATTGTTTTGTTTATGGAGGCTGAAGATAGGCACCAGTTCCTACTAGCTTGTAGGGTTTCTGCTGAGAAATCTGCTGTTAATCTGATAGGTTTTCCTTTATAAGATACCTGATGCTTTTGTCTCACAGCTCTTAAGATTCTTTCCTTGGTCTTGACTTTGGATAACCTGATGACGATGTGCCTAGGTGATGATCTTTTTGTCATGAATTTCCTGGGTGTTCTTTGAGCTTCTTGGATTTGAATGTCTACATCTCTAGCAAGGCTGAGAGGTTTTCCTCAATTATTCCTTCAAACATGTTTTCCAAATTTGCAGATTTCTCTTCTTCCTTGGGAACACCAATTATTTTTAAGTTTAGTTGTTTAACATAATCCCAAACTTCTTGGAGGCTTTGTTCATTTTCTTTTTATTTATCTTTTTCAGATTGGGTTAGCTTGAAAACCTTGTCTTCAAGCTCTGAAGTCTTTCTTCTACTTGTTCAAGAGTTTACAGTGCATTTTGCATTTCTCCAAGTGTGTTCTTCATTTACAGAAGTTGTGATTGTTTTTATGCTGTCTATTTCACTGGAGATATTTCCATTCATATCGTGTCTCATTTTTTTGATTTCTTGAAGCTGGACTTCACCTTTCTCTGGTGCCTCCTTCATTAGCTTAATAATCAACCTTCTGAATTCTTTTTCTCACAATTCAGAGATTTTGTCTGAGTTTGGATCCATTGCTGGTATGATCTAATGGAGGAGTTAAAGAATCTTGTTTTGTCATATTACCAGAACTGTTTTTCTGGTTTCTTCTTATTTAGGTAGACTATGTCAGAGGGAAGATCTGGGGCTCAAGGGCAGCTGATCAGATTCTTTTGTCCCCCAGGGTGCGCTCTTGATATGGAGCTCTCTCCTTTTCCCCTAGGGATGGGGCTTCCTGAGAGCCAAACTGCAGTGATTGTTATTTCTCTTCTGGGTTTAACTACCCAGCAGAGCTGCCAGGCTCCAGGCTGGTTCTGGAGGTTGTCTGCAAAGAGTTCTGTGATGTGACCTGTCTTCAGGTTTCTCAGCCATGGATACCAGCACCTGCTCCAGTGGAGGTAGCGAGGAAGCAAAGTGGACTCTGTGAGGGCCATTGGCTGTAGTTTTGTCTAGTGTGCTGGAATTTTGTCGGCTTGGATACTAGCACCTGCTCCAGTGGAGGTAGCAAGGAAGCAAAGTGGACTCTGTGAGGGCCGGTGGCTGTAGTTTTGTCTAGTGTGCTGGTTTTTGTCGTCCGGGCCTCAGACTAGGAGCGGGCACTTTCCAGACAGCATCAGCTGAAGTAGGAGGGGGAGGATACCAGCTTGCCCTAAGCTTGTCTGGATAAGTATTCAGGTTTTTCAGGTGGTGGGCAGGGCCATACAGCTCCCAAGAGATTATGTTCTTTGTCTTGTCTCCAGCTACGAGGGTGGGAAGAGAAAGACCATCAGCTGCGGGGTACAGGTAGACATGTCTGAGTCAGAATCTCCCTGGGCAGTGCTTGCTGTGGCTGCTGTGGGAGTTGGGGTATAGTTCTCAGGCCAGTGGAGTTATGTTCCGAGGGGGATTATGGCTGCCTCTGCTGCTTTGTACAGGTCCCCAGGGAAGTGGGGGAAAGCTGCCAGTGACAGGCCTCACCCAGCTCCCATGCAGCCTGCGAGGCCAGTCTCCTTCCCACCATGCCCCGCCAACAGCACTGCGTTTATTTCCAGGCAGCCGGGGAGCAGGGCTAAGAACTTGTCCCAGGCTACCAGCCCCTTCCCTGAGAAAGCAAGCAGGGCTTCCGTGTTTCCGGCCTCCCCGCCTGCCACAGCTTCTGTGCTGGGATCTGCACTCCTGGCTCCCCCCATCACCAGATTCTGTCCAGGAAATTTCAAGTTGCTCAAAATTGTTACAAAGTTTATCTGGGAGTTTCCTTCTCCCTGTGGTCTTTCCCCAATTCCACTATCAGCCCTCCCCAAAGATCCCTGCGAGACAGAGTCAGAACGGCTTCCCTGGGGACTGAGGGTGTCCACGGGCTCTTCCCGCTGCCTCCTCTACTCCTATGTTTCGCTTGGGTCTCTACATTCATCTCAGCTCCAGGTAAGGTCTGATCCTTTTTTCGTGATCTGGACCTTCAGATTCCTCAGTGAGGTTGTGTGTTCAGGGCGGACATTCCCGCCTCACACTTTGGGCACTCACAGTTTTGCGGTGGTCTCACAGCCCTCAAAGGCAAGCTGCTACTTTCAAAGGCTCTGAGGATTCTCTCGGCTTTCCTGATATGTTTGTGTGGCAGTTCTTGGAGCAAAAGTTTTTGATGTGAGTCTCCACACGCTGCTCTGTCCATCCAAGTGGGAGCTGCAAGTTAATCCTGCCTCCTTCTCACCATTTTCCTCACGCTGATACCGCACGTGGTTTCCTTTATAGTTTTGTCTAGAGACAGGGTCTTGCTGTGTCGTCCAGGCTGGAGTGCAGTGATGCCATCATAGCTCACTGCAGTGTTGAATTCCCGAGCTCAAGCAACCCCCTCACTCCAGCCTCTTGAATGGCTGGAACTACAAGTGCATATCACCTTGCCTAGCTAAGTCTTTTTTTGCAGAGACAGAATCTCACTATGTTGCCCATTCTTGTTTTGAACTCCTGACCTCAAGCAACTCTCCTGCTTCAGCCTCCCAAAGTGTTGGGATTACAGGCGTGAGCCACGGTGCTTGGTCTTTGGAGATGTATTTATCACCCGCACATGTGAAGACATAAAAATCATCAGCCTCCAAATGGGCCGAACAGATGTGGTGAACTAGGAGGACATCCCAGGGACACTCTTGAAATTACTTTTAACCCTTAGGAGCCGCAGAGTTGGTTGGTAGCAGGAGCGGTGGAGAGGCAGGCATGCTCAGCCGCATCCCTTAAAGCAGTGTCAAATGTGGGCTGATTGTATGCAGCCAGCTTGAGAGCCCAGCACCAGTGCCTTTCAGGGGGTTCATATGTTTCTACCGAGAAATGCTGTTCTACCCACACTGTGCATAGCACGATGGGTGACTCTGTAAGGAAGAGGCTAGACACGGCCAAATCTGAATCAAGAGCTGATTTAGAAGAGTTGGAATCTGCATATAAAGAAGTCCTAGAAATATCTAAACCAATTTATCTTGCTTAATTTTTTTATATTCACATGGCAGTGGTATATGATTAAGAAGATCTCTGTATAATTAATTTTTTCAATAGGCACACAGAATAGAAATTCGTGCCATCAAGAGAGCTTTGTGTCGTATTGTCATTGTCTGTGGTTTTCCTTTTCAGTGGTATTTAAAATTGTGTCTTATAATTGAGAGCTTTCTAGATGTGACAGCAACAGTATCATTACCCCTGTTTTATATGGATGAGGAAGTTTTGCCACAGCAAGTAGCAGGACCAGGATGTAGGCTCAGTCTGCATCTAGAATGTGATATCTTTATACTCTACTGTTTCTCTGGTGAGGTGATTACAAAAAAAGCTAGAACAGTTTTTATTACACCGTTTGTATTAAAGTTACTACCAGAAAAAAATTTTCAAAATTCCATTCTTCCCTTTCCTGAATTCCTACCTCAGACTATACTAGGTACATCTGCCTCCATAAAAGAGGCTAAGAAAGAAAAGTCTGGCCAAGTGTGGTGGCTCATGCCTGTAATCCTAACACTTTGGGAGGCCGAGGCGGGTGATTACCTGAGGTCAGGAGTTCAAGACCAGCCTGGCCAACATGGTGAAACCCCGTCTCTACTAAAAATACAAAAAATTAGCTGGGTGCAGTGGCACGTGCTTGTAATCCCAGCTACTCTGGAGGCTGAGGCAGGAGAATCGCTTGAACCCGGAAGGTGGAGGTTGCAGTGAGCCGAGATTACGCCTCTGCACTCCAGCCTGGTGACAGAGCGAGACTTTGTCTCAAAAAAAAAAAAAAAAAAAAAGGAAAAGTCTTTCTTTTCTCCACAGTTTCCCAGTTAATTTTCTTCTTCAAGCTCCCTGAAGTAAGTTCAGTCAGAAGGTACGAGTTACAACAGAAGATGAAGACACCCCATTTTTGCTTCAGGACCAAGTCGTCCTCATATCCAGAACTTCTGTTACTCAAACGGGTGCTGTGTTTGAATCCTCTCCGGCTCCTGTGCAGAAGCACCGTGTGAGACTGCCCAGGTTGTGTCTGCTCTTAATCGGTTCCACTCTCCTATCTGTTTTTAATCAGTTCAGAATCCACAGGGGAATGTTGGTGAAGAATTAATTCCCTCGAGTCTTCCAATATATTTGCCTTTCTAAGCCTATGAAATAGATTTCATTGTATGTTCATTAAAAATTCACATGAGGAGAAAAATGAAACATCTTTCATAGTATATTATTCTTATGAAATAGGACTTACAGAAACCATGATAAAATTAAAACTGTGCTTTGAGATCTTTATAGCATATATATGTTGAATATCAAAAATCATGCCACTTTTTGGATCTTCAAAAGCAGACATAAAATCAAGTTTGTAGCTATACAATATTTTTCACTTGAATATAATACAAAAGTGTGATTTTACACAGGTATATGGTTTGAAGAAAGAAGCATAGAAATTACACGTTTTATACTTATCAAGTATATTCCATTAGAATAATCTAAAACCCAACAATTTTCTTTTCAGGAAATGACCTTACACCTAAATTTTAGAAAAAGATGCCTATAACTGGTGTTTTTCACATTTGAGTATCACCTTTCTCTTTTATCTTTCAAAAATAATTTGGGTAATGCGATATTCTGGTTTCCTTGTTTTAAAATGATTTTTATTCAGCCCAAGAACTACGGGTAACAGGTTTTGTAGAAATGCTTACTATGCGATAAACAGTGCTGTCACGGCTGCTGGTTGAAATTAAGGGAAAGGGTACACATGCGTAGGAAGGTCGGCTGAATGACGTGCATCGGTGCAGCTGGGAGCTGGCAACAGGGCCTTTGGCCTGGGACAGGGAGTCCTGTGGTTCACGCACGTGGCCCGTTACTTGGCTCCATTATTCTCAGGTATGGCTCACAGTTTATTCATAGAGAGTAATATGTTTTTATTACTCTGAATTATATATCTGTCATTTATTAAATGCCATTTATTAATAATAGATGCATAATTCATACTAAGAGAAAATAATTTTCTTCCACTATTTTAAAAATACATTTCAGGATGAAATGGTGCCAGTGCAGTCTTTGTTCATTTTTATTCTGCTTTAATCTCGGAAAGCACTTCATATACCTATACAAAAATAAACATTAAACACAGAACATCATATGAGAAATGCAACTATAGAAAAAACTGCATGAGTAAATAAGTGGAAAACTTCTGCTAGGCAATATATACATTTGATGAGGTCTATAAACCATTAAATACAAGTGAATTATTAACAAAAAGTCAGGGTCTTTCTTAAAGGGCCACAAAGATAGCAACTCTTGATAAAAATTAAATGTGACAGTTGCTCGATCAATATTCTTATTTATGACAGGAAAACAACTTTCTTAATTGCTATTTCTACAACTATCTTTTTAAAAATATTGCACACATTTTGCAATGTAACTGAAATTGCACATAAGGAAAATGTGATATATTTACTCCTAAAAAAGCCTGACTCTATTCATCAAAGATGTAAAGCAAGTTTATCATGAAAGGATGTGACGTTTCAACAGTGCAGAACCACCCTGGGATCTGTAAAGGAAAATTGGCATCATCACGTGTTCTCGTACTTGTTGGTCCATCATACAGATGACACAGTTTGGGGTTTAACCAGGATCCCACCTTCAGTAACCTCTCCTTGTATCCAGGGATGTGATGGAGGAGCAAAACTCTTACGAGCACACATTTATGTTGCAGCCTTGTGACTTTCTCACTTAGGATGGATGTGGCTGTTGATCACCAAGTGGTTTGTAAAATATCTGGCTCAGATAGAGAGTATGATAAAATATTTGGCTCACATAGAGAGTGTGATAAAATACTCTTTAAATATCCATTGTTATCCATCTGTTTGCATTTCAGTCCAATAAATGCTTCTGTGATTTCAGGATGGATATCCAGTTCTGGTTTCTCAATCTTATCCCTCCTCTAATAAATTTGGATCCAAATTTGACAGGTTGACATGTTTGCACTTCTAGCAGCAGTTTCGTTATCTTACTAGAGATGTATGTCCACATATGAAAAAGAATTTGCATTTTTACTAAATAACGAGAAGGATATGTATGGATGGTTTCTGTTCCTTTTCTGATAAAAAAAGAGGGATTAATTATCTAATGGCCCAAGGGCCAGAGTTCTATAACTCATCATTATTTAGTACTTTACATTATGCTTCAGGGAATATCTGGAGAACCTGTGGATCTGATTAAGAAGACAGTGTCATATAAGAATATTGATAAGCAACACTTTTACAATACCAAACATTAACTTTTCTTATCACTGAGTCTTCCTGGAAGATTGTGAAGACTTGATATTCTTTCCAAGAGTTTCAACTGTCCTGAAAAGTTTATCTTAGGGGAACGGGTTCTGAGCAAGAGGTGCAGTTGCCATTACTCTTGCATAGAAAGCACTTTAGACAAAGTCATTCTTAAGACCCGGTTTGAAAGTAAATAAGATTCAAGTAAATATGAGCCGAATGCTTCTGTCAACAGTACTAATAATGTTTTGAATATTTTATCATTACTTTCTCCCAAATGCCAAAACCAGGGCTTCCTTGTGTATGGTTTATAATAGAGGAACTCCTAGGATCTTATTTGAGTACATAAGCACTTGTTTTTATTATGTCTCACTTTCTATCTCTTTTCTGTTATTAGCTGATAGCAGACATCATGTACTTTGGATCACACTCATTGTTACTATCATCAATGCATCATTGGAAGTGTGAAAGCAGACAATGCTGAAGGCAGTCTGAACTTTCCTGTAGGGCTTTAGTTCATATTAACTGCCTGCAGTTGTCATTCTATTCAGAATCATACAAACCGCAATGGAATTGATTCAGAAATACCTGGGATCTGGAAGTTTCTTTGAGCTTTGCATGACTGAGCTTTTGCTCCCCCATTTGTTTCATTAATGTAACAGTTTCTCCCAAGAGGCTGACAGTAGACTTTTCCAAAAATATTACTATACATTTTTTTAACCAAAAAAGCTCACAGTTCATTTCTTCTACCATTGATATCCAAATGCAAATATTTTATAATCTGGTAAAGTGACATGTCCTTTAATCACTGAAGGGAATTCCCAGATTCTCAGAAACTCAGTTTCACTGTATAAAATTTGTCCTTGAAATTCCGTTACAGATGCTAAAATGAAGGCTCTCCCCCTAGAGAAGAGTCAGATACGTGGATCATCTAAGCCATCATGTGGAGATTTTTCACCAAGGCCACACAGTTTTCGAAGGTTCCCCTTGGGTTTTAGAAACAATTCCGATGCACCTACTGATGGATTATGGAACAAGGTCTGACCTAGTTAACTCTGGCAAGGATAACTCACACTTTAAGGATCCTTACCGAGGCTTCCTTTTCTTTTCCCAGATCCTGGTTTTGATTTCTTAGATCATGTTTCCTTACTATTGACTATACATAGATATAATTTTTCATTAGAACTGAAATGTATTGATTTTTTTCTGAAAAATGTCCTGTTTATTATTAACCACAATTTGTAGCTAATGTGTTTCCCCGTCTGCCATCAATAGGAGAAACAACTGGAAGAGAAGCCACATCAATGCTTGTCATGAAGCAAAAGGTTGTAAAAAAAAGGTTGAATGTGATTTCACATTGTTTATTAAGAAGCACCCTGGGAAAAATCACTGCACCAGCCTATATGTGTATATGTGTATATGTATATACACACCAGCCTATATGTGTATATGTGTATACGTATATACACACATAGGCTGGTGTATATACATATATACGTATATACACATAGGCTGGTGTATATACATATATACGTGTATAGACATAGGCTGGTGTATATACGTATATACGTATATACACATAGGCTGGTATATATATGTATATACACACATAGGCTGGTGTATATATGTATATATGTATATACTCACATAGGCTGGTGTATATACATATATACACACGTAGGCTGGTGTATATACGTATATACACACGTAGGCTGATGTATATACGTATATACACACGTAGGCTGGTGTATATACGTATATACACACGTAGGCTGGTGTATATACATATATATGTATATACACACGTAGGCTGGTGTATATATTATATACATATATTAAACACATATATGTATATATAATTATATACATATATATATATATGTTGGGAATCTAACCCAGACTGCCAAAATGAAAGGGCAAAATCTTAGTTTCTGAGTCACAGCAAGGGGCAGTCTCCATTGCCCTTGCCAGAAGGAGTCTAGAGTAGTTAATTTTGAGTTTACAAAGGCTTTTAACTATTCAGGATAATTTTTAGAGCTAGCTATGACATGAACTCTAAAATTCCTTTTCCCTGGAAGGTGGAGACCAAGAGAAAGTACCGTCACGTGGTTACAAGGTCAAGCTCCCAAGGTCATAAAACAAGATGGAGACCTCATCCAGTTATTTGTATATGTCAGGGACCTGCAGCAAAGTTTATTACTGAACAGCTTCCTGGGCTGTCTTGAGCAGGAGTATACGGAGTCCTAAGCCCATGGTTCATCTCAAGGTACCCCTTGACACAGAAAAACGAATTTATAACACAAAATATACCAGATTCACTACAGCTTAAGACTAGCCTCAGAATTCTTTTTTGCATTAATCAAAACTTTACAGAGGAGACAAACAGTGATTTTTACCATTCATTGAACTGGTTTGCACAGAGAGAGAGGGAGAAAAGGGCCAGAGGTCTGACTGGTAAGAAATTCCTACCCTTTTGCCAGCATGCCCTTCTGGTTTCCCCTTCCCTGAGTGGTCCTAGTGACCCAGCTCACTGTACCATAATCCCAGAGGCCAAGCCACAACACAGAAGGAAATACATACATACATTTTTCAATGCCCTTCAGTGTGTTGTTGTTCATTTGGAGCATTCCACTGCAAGTTATTTTTAGCAAGACTTTGCCATTTCTATAAGACTTTGCTGCCTCCCAGGCCTAATGTATAAGCTGGAAGGAACTCAGTTTTCCAGAAATTAAGAATCCCATTTTTACCTAAAATATGGCCTTTACTCTCAGGTTCTCTTGATTAACTCAGACAATGGTTTTTTCCTACCTAGGTGCACAAGAAAAATGAAACAAAGGGGTAAAACACAAAAATCCCTGTGAATTTGCAAAAGCCAAATTTTATAACCCCTGCAATATTACTGCTTACTACTAGTTCTTTTCTGACCCAGTCAGATGTAAGAGGCCTCTAAGTGGATCCAAGCCAGTTAATTAACAGATTAAATCCCATCCTGGACCCAGGCCAGTTTCTGTCACGACTTCCAAACTTAGTTTGGATCAGAAATTTGCTCAAAGAAACTCAGAGAGCTCAAAACACCAATCAGTGGAGCTCTGAAATCTGAGAGGGAGCTTACCCACGATCCCCAGCTACTCCAATCAGTGGAGCTCTGAAATCTGAGAGGGAGCTTACCCACGATCCCCAGCTACTCCAATCAGTGGAGCTCTGAAATCTGAGAGGGAGCTTACCCACGATCCCCAGCTACTCCAATCAGTGGAGCTCTGAAATCTGAGAGGGAGCTTACCCACGATCCCCAGCTACTCCAATCAGTGGAGCTCTGAAATCTGAGAGGGAGCTTACCCACGATCCCCAGCTACTCCAATCAGTGGAGCTCTGAAATCTGAGAGGGAGCTTACCCATGATCCCCAGCTACTCCAATCAGTGGAGCTCTGAAATCTGAGAGGGAGCTTATCCACGATCCCCAGCTACTCCAAGAGATCAATGGACACAAGTGGGTTCTGCAGGGATGACGGAGCTTACCCACGATCCCCAGCTACTCTGAGAGATCAATGGACACAAGTGTGTTCTGCAAGGACAAGGGAGCTTACCCACAATCCCCAGCTACTCTGAGAGATCAATGGACACAAGTGGGCTCTGCAGGGACCTTGCGTGTTCACTCAGCACTCTGAGGGTGGCTAGAAGCTCTGCTTTGGATCCTGCTTCTGACACCATCTGATAAAAGAAAAACTTCAGCAGAATTAAATTTAAAGGAGTTTAATTGTGAGCAATGAATAATTCATGAATCGGGCAACCCCCAGAATCATGGAAGATTCAGAGAGACTCAAGCACAGCCACGTGGTGAAAGATTTATAGACAAAAAAAAAGGAAATGAGGTACAGAAATTGGCAGTGAGGTGCAGAAACAGCTGGATTGGTTACAGGTTGGCGTTTGCCTTATTTGAACATTTAGCTGTCTATGAGTGGTTGAAATATTGCCTCTGGGATTGACCAAGACTCAGCTAAAGTTACAGGCGCGTACTCCTAAGTTAGCTTTCAATCTTGTCTGGCTATTAGGCTAGATTACAGTTCATCCACAAGGACTCAAATATAGAAATACGGAGTCTTTCTTAGGCCATATTTAGCTTTTGCTTTAACAGCATCTACGACTGAGTCTCCAACTGAGCTCTAAATTTTCAGTGATCTTTTAACATTTTTTTATGGTGTGCTTAGTCTTTTTACAAGATCTAAATTTTTGCACAATATTTTTTTCTTCACAATCTCACGGGTGTGACTCCCCCTTTAGGGTCCATTCTATATGCCTATTGGAGGTGTTTTAGGTCTTCCATAAGAAGCTTCGAGTTTTTGATAACTTTCTCCCTATGCAAACCACAGGCTTGGGCCTTACTCACCATTCTCTAGACCTACATACTGAGGGAGTCTGTTCTGATGGCAAGAGGGTGTGTGATAATGTCATCTGCATTGAAATAGGTGTCTGAGACTCCCTCAGAAAATTTCTACTATTATAATTATTCATGTTTAAAAATGATCAACTCAAATGCAATTTATAGCTGAGGACTTTCTGATCTCCTGAACTGGAAATGAGGTCCTCTTCATAATCTCGTATTGCTTCCAGTTTCTGGCACTTCCTTCTTTCATTCATTCAGTAAATCTTTGCTGAGTATCTCTTAGTGCCAGTGCTGTTTTAGACCCTGGATATATGGCAATAAATAAATATTCTACTTTCAAGACACTTCCACTATGGTAGGGAGAAACAAACAATAAGTTAGTGCAATAGAGGAATATAGTATATTGGAAGGTAATAACTGCAGTGGAGAAAAGTGCAGGGGAAGGGAGCGATGGGAACTGCTAAGGCAGGAGACTAGGGCATAGGGCTTCAGGATGTGGGATGACAAGACTTGGTCAGAAAATGTCTAAGGATGTGACATCTGAGCAAGTTTGGGAAGGAGATGACAAAATTATTCATATGACTCTCTGGGAGAAAAGCTATATAGGCAGCAAGTGAAGTGTAGCTAGCATGTTAGAGGATCTCAGAGGACCCCACAGAGCCCTAAGAAGATATGATTTTGTATTGTGATTCTGTTTCTCCCTTAATGACTTCTCACCATGCAAGGAGATAAACACATGTCATAAATCTGTTTATATTCCTACAGTCCTACCACAAAAAAAAGTCGCTATTCAATTTATGTGTTTTTAAAACGTGTAATGATAGGGACTTCACCATTCTGATTATTTCAAGCAGACAGAATATCCGATCTCAGTATTCTAAGAAGACACCTAGAATCCAGAAAAAAAATAATGAAAGAAGGAAAACCAATATAATGAATAACAGCTATCTCCCAAGCTTGCATTAATTTACAAGTTATCTCATTTAATTTTTACAAGAACCTTAAATATTTGAATTTAAAAATCAGGTCAAGCAACAAATGTTCTAGTATTGGCAACATGTAAACACGTATCGTCAGGTATGGCTGAAACAAAGTAACCTTTTCATGGAAGGACAGACAGGTAAATTAGTGGACATTTAATTAATGTTCATATTGAGGTTAATTTCCAGAATCTGTTAAACAGAAGCAGCTGCATAAAGTGACCAGCAAGACTCCAATTGCAAGAGAGGAGTGGAAGGGTAGACATAAGTTTCAGAAGTTCAGCAGAGTGTCGGGAGAGGATAAGGTTCTTTTGGATATCAGGATCCTTTGATTTGAAGAGACTGGTGCTAAGGATGGAAAATAAAGGGACCACAGCTTCAACATCAGGAATCCGAGTGACTTGGAAACTGTGATACCAAAAGCATGTACAGGTCCAAGACAGCATTGACATGTCTACATTATAATCAGGGCCGCCAACGTGTGCAGAGTGTGTACAGGTCTAAGACAGCATTGACATGTCTACGTTATAATCAGGGCCAACGTGTGTAGAGCGTGTACAGGTCCAAGACAGCATTGATGTGTCTACGTTATAATCAGGGCCAATGTGTGAAGAGCGTGTACAGCTCTAAGACAGCATTGACGTGTCTACATTATAATCAGGGCCAACGTGTGTAGAGTGTGTACAGGTCTAAGACAACATTGATGTGTCTACATTATAATCAGGGCCGCCAACGTGTGCAGAGCGTGTACAGGTCTAAGACAGCATTGATGTGTCTACATTATAATCAGGGCCAACGTGTGAAGAGCGTGTACAGCTCTAAGACAGCATTGACGTGTCTACGTTATAATCAGGGCCAATGTGTGAAGAGCGTGTACAGGTCTAAGACAGCATTGATGTGTCTACTTTATAATCAGGGCCAATGTGTGAAGAGTGTGTACAGGTCTAAGACAGTATTGACGTGTCTACGTTATAATCAGGGCCAACGTGTGTAGAGTGTGTACAGGTCTAAGACACATTGACATGTCTACATTATAATCAGGGCCAATGTGTGAAGAGTGTGTACAGGTCTAAGACAGCATTGATGTGTCTACATTATAATCAGGGCCAACGTGTGAAGAGCATGTACAGGTCTAAGACAGCATTGATGTGTCTACATTATAATCAGGGCCAACGTGTGAAGAGCATGTACAGGTCTAAGAGAGCATTGATGTGTCTACATTATAATCAGGGCCAACGTGTGAAGAGCGTGTACAGGTCTAAGACAGCATTGACATGTCTACGTTATAATCAGGGCCAATGTGTGCAGAGCGTGTACAGGTCTAAGACAGCATTGATGTGTCTACATTATAATCAGGGCCAATGTGTGTCTCAGGGTTTGCAGTAGAGCAGACACTTTCAGGTGGTTTATGAGTCCAAAGACTAAGAGTCAAACAGCTCCTGACAGTTCAGATGGTTAGAGGTTATTTATAAGGAGGAAGAGGCATACCTTTATAGAACAAAGAAGCTCTGGGAGAAAAGAAACTCACTTGTGCTAATTTAAAGTGAGTAGAATGCAAGAGAAACAGAGCAGTGACTGGAAAATGGTTTGACAGACCTGAGTTGTGTCTGTTTGGAGCAACTAAATTTCACCTGTTTAGGTTGGAGCGTTTCGTTGTTGTCATTGCTATTTTAAGAGCTAGTTTCACATAGGAAGATTGGCTGCTTCTGTGTATATCGTATAGTTACTAAAATCACTACCCAGGAAGCTGTAGCACAGCACTCATTAATGAACTGGACTGTTGGAATGGCCTAAATTTGGTGGGCTTGTTCAGCATGAGATAACTGAAACCCTCATACTGGTTTTGCAGTCGAATCCAGTGTGTAGGGCAAATCGATTCATCACGTGTCTGTGTTGTTGCTAAAGTCGACTTACTCCTGAATAGCATGGAAGAAGTCATATTTGACTTTATGTGTTAAAACCAAGGTACCTATTGGGTTTGGTATGGTTCAGCCACACCTGGAATTAATAGGACTTGTACTGAGTGGCCATTTTAGGTAAAGAAATAAGTACTTATTGCAGTATTTGTAGATATCAAATTTATGTAGAATTCTACATTCATCTATATGCAAATGTAGAATTATATATATTATATATTTATATATATATATATATTGAGTTCCCTGAGCATATTTTGTATTTTTAATCTGTTTATTCTTCACTGCTATTTTGTGTATTTTCTGATGTCACCTTATCCTTCTTCCCTCTTTGTAGATCAAGAAATTGAATCAGAGAGACTAATATCCTTCTCAGTGTCACTGATTTTTTGTGTTTACTTAATATCTCTTAAGCACCCACCGTATACAAAGTACCTTGTGAGTCATTGGGAATAAAAAGATGTATAAATTAATCCCCATGTTTTGGAAGTCACAACTTTTGGAAGTCAGGAAAGTAGACAACAAATCTATTTATGTGATACTGACATCTGCCATAATAGGGATGGCTTCCAGGTGTCTTAGAATTAGGGGAAGAAACCCTGAAAATATATATGAGAATGTAGCCCAGGTTGATATTAAAATATTTCACGTGTGTTCAAGAATTCCAGGTGCAACCATCTTTTAAGAACCTAAATATCAGTCCTGTAAATCGTTGAGAAAAGATGCTCTAGGTAGACAGAGAAAAAAGTTAATTTAAAAAAATTATGGAGATTGAAGAGATAATTTCCATTATTTAATCTCTCTGTGCCTTAGTTCCTCATTTGTAAAAAAGGAATAAATAGTATCTCCCTCATAAGACTATTCATAGGATTAATTTACAAATGTAAATTGTGAATTATGTTATACACAGGAAGTGTGTGGAGCACGGTAATTAATCAAAATGTTAGCTCATGATGTTATGATTGTTGTAGTCGTTATGCCTTTTCTTTGCATTTTGGAAGTTTACGTGTCTAAAAGTTTGCATATTAAGGTAAGCATACATACACAATCCACCCTGACATTTAGTCTTGATGTTGAGGACTTTGATATTGGTGACCAACTTTGAGACCCACTTCCAAAAATAAAGTACATAAAAAACCTACTGTTAATGTTACTGAACGGATCGTGGGTCTGCCGACTAGACGCAGCGAAACCAAACACTGACATTGAGATTGCAGCGAGAGAAAGTGAGGCGTTTACTGCAGGGCGCCAGGCAGGGAGACTTGTGCCGCTCATTCCTAAGACTGCAACTCCCCAGCTGCTTGCAGCTAAGGGTTTTCAAGGCAGGGAGGCAGAGGTTTCAAGCAATGAAGGATATGCACTGACGTGACCGAAGCAGGCCGGACATCTCAAAGCGGAGGCCACGGGCCATCGGCAGATTCGATTCTTTTCTGATTTGCAGTTGGTTAAGAAGGCAAAGCGTTGTCTGAATATGTGGGATCCGCGGAAAAGAATGTTACCTCTGGCTCATGGGTGTGACTTCCTGCAGGCCACTCAGGAAGAAATTTAGCACAAAGAACAGTGGTCAGAGTTCACTCCTCAGCTCCCCCTTATCTGGCGTGTCTGTGCCAGTAGATCCATTTGGTGGGGATTTGGGTTTCTTAAAAATAACTCAAATATATGTTCAGATGTTCTCTTTAGCTCCTATAGTGAACCAGATATCCCTTGACTTTACCTTCCTGGCTATTGCTTTAAGCCAATTTTATTGTTAAATATTGTTAAATGTTAATGTTAAATATTGTTAAATAATAAGACAAATAATTTTATTGTTAAATAAAATAACCTTGCCTATCAAGTTGTTCATTTACTTCTCAGGGCTACCCAGGTGCCTGGACTTCCCTTCGAAGGAACTCAAGATTTTATTTCCATACTTCATTTCCATCCACATTTCCAAGAAGGGTCCCTGCTCCTCTCATTAATTATAATAATTTCTTTGGTTAATAGATTTTTCTCTAAGGAATTTCAGACTTCAATTATTATTTGCTCACTAAATTCTTTCCTTACTGAGATGTCATCTGTGGGAGGAGAGCCAAGGAGGGGGATGACAGACATGTGGGCTCAGGAATGACCAGAGCTCCAGCAGATGCCCCCGTGCTTACCCCCATGCGGTGGCTGAGTTAGATCAGGAACAACCTGCACAATTCAGAGGAATTCACAGCTAACGTCCAAAATGGGACGTGCCACTGACTCTGCTTCATAATTGGCACTCATTATTGTGCCCTAATAGAAGCTAATGGAATTTTCAGCCTCCTCAAATCATGGAAATAAGAATATGATGTTGATGGATCTTATCCATTGATGGATCTGGGTCCAGGATATTCTTCCTTACTCGAGGAAGTATCAAGTATTTAGGGACTTAGTTTTCTCATGTGCAAAATCGTAATAATTGTACTTTCCTTTTGCATTTTGTTCAAACATCTGTGGTACTTGTAGAGTGTCTTGAGATTAGGCTGTTAAATGAAGTAGTTACACCTTGAGTTATTGGGTTTGGCCCAGTAGCTAAAAGTCATTTGGTATTTGTCATGGTTTCAAATTCCGTGTCCCACGTCCATGTGTAGAGACAGCCCCCGCTGATGGCATTAATGAATACAGTGAGGGGTGAGGCATGCCAGGAATATCTGTGACACAAAGCATGGAGAACTCTGACATCGCATTCTCCCAACGTCTAAAACACATATGTATGCAAACTAAATGTCTTCTCAACACCGATGCAATTGAATATGAGTATTATGTCATTAGTTTTCTTTCACAGACTTAATGCACATGAAGCAGGAGTTATTATTTCAAAAATAAATGTTATAATCTAAAGCACAAGGCCACATTGAAGCAATGTGTTTTTATTGACTATGTCTTTGACATTTTTGCATTTACACCAGAAAACTTCAATTTGACAACTTGTAGGAGATTTTGCATGATTAGGTGACAATTAATCTATGACTTTGAATGCACAGTGAATGATGTGTCTGTCATGCTTTTTAAAGAGCAGCACATGTGTTTTGAATATTAAAACTTGATTAAAGGAGACTATTTTAGCTGACAAGTGACTGATGAATAGATATGTAAAATAACAGGATAACAGGATAACTAATAAATTTATTAACGCATATTTTCTTATTTAAATAAAACAATTAGGTATTTTGATTATGCAGTCTTTTTTATTAAATAATATTTTCAATTGGCTGTGGTGCATGTAAGGTAGAGAAACAGATGAAACCGTGAAGAGAAGGGAGTGGCTGAGGCAGGAGACATGTATGACCTATTACTTGTGTACCCTTGCACCTAAGATTAGGTAAGACGCTGATGGCTACTGAGCATATGCTTGTTCCTCCCCTTAATTCTATCTTGTTGCTTGCACCCTTACTGCTTTTTACAAGCCAGTTGCTACACTATATCCTGGTCCTTTCCTATTAGCCAAGTTTTCCCAGTGACAGGTTAGGAGAAACAGTGATCAGGAGTCTGGGAGTTCTTGCCTACTGGTGCCTGTGGGAAAGCTGTGGCTACAGTAATGTTTTCTCCATGCTCCACCGTTACCGCATGTATTTAAATATGAAACTGCTAACCATAATAAAGTAAGAAGTAGGAATCTTAGCCATATTTCTCATTGCCTCAGTGTCTGATTTAACAATGTCATAAAAAATCCAAATAATGGACTACGAAACAAACTTAAATTTTCATTTTCTTCGTTTCTACAATCCTTACCATTTGAATTATTTACACCTTACCTTGGACAGTCCTATTATAAATTATGCAAATAAACCTGAGTAGGTTGTAAAACATCTCTCAAAACTTGGTGTGCTCAAAAATCCAGTAAGGTGGTTATTGAAAATGGAGATTTCTAGGCTCCATTTATTGAGTTTTTAATTAAGATGTTTAGGACAGGGTCCAGAAATTTTTCTTTTTAATAAGCACCCAGATTATTCTGCTGTGGGTGGTCCATTATCAGGTCTCTAGGAAATACTGTTTTAAGACATTCCAATACATTGTTAAATTTTCTCTCTTGGAACTTATAATCGTCATTTATAAAGTGCTAAATCTGCCAGGCATCATTCTGAGTGCTTGGCATGTGTTCACTTGTTTAATCTCACAGCTGGGGAGATGGGTACTGTCACGATCATCCTGTGGATGGGAGGCTGATGTTGACTCCAATTGAGTTACCTGCTAGCTGTGAAAAAAACTAATTCCAAGCTTCCAAAATCAGTGTTCTCATCTGTAAAATAGGAGGGACAAGAAAATCACTGTAAGGATTCATTAGAAAGCACTTAGAGCAAGGTAGATACCACTTGGGAAAGGTAATTTAATTAAAAAAGAAAAATGTCTTTAGTGAATGTCAAATCCCCCGGGCGCTGGAGAAAGCCGGAGTGAGTGCAGTTGTTACTGTCCTTTCTGCCTGATGAAGACTCAGCCTCTGCCCCCTGTGCCGTACATCACTGAGGAACAACCAAGAAGAAAGTCCAGCAGCTATAGATACAAATAACCATTTTCTGTTTACTTGCTTTTTAAATCAGAGTAATTTTTTTAAAAAAACTTAAAATAGTGCAATGATGTTTGGAACCAGATTATAACAAATGCCTGGGATTATTTTTCTAAAGAGGAGAACAAATATTTTGGTATAAACTTCTCTTTAAATATTGATAAGATTTTATATATAATATACATAAATATATAATATATATAAAATACACAAATGTTATATATAATAAAATATAAAATATAATATACCATATATTAATATAGTATATATGTTATGTATATTTTGTAGAGATGGGGTCTAACTATGTTGTCCAGTTTTATCTCAAACTCCTCACCTCAAGTGATCCTCTCACCTTGGCCTCCCAAAGTGCCCAGATTACAGATGGGAGCCACAAAGCCTGGCCTATATTTTTCCATGTATTTTCCCTCTTCCTTTTGGAATTTTGGTGGTGGTTTAGAGCTATCACAAATTAATAAGCCTAGTGGTGATAGTAGAAATACACATTAGATTCAATTATGGGACTTGAGGAGTCTAATAAAAGAAATCAGCAGGAAGGTAGCGGTGAGAGCTAAGACAGCTAAGATGGAAAGGGAAGAGTACTCTGTCTTGAAGCATCAATTAAGCTTAACGTTTTGAATAAATGGACAATCTTTAAAAGATTAGCTTGATTTAAATCACTCATTTAAATGTTTCTACTCTGTGGCCTAAAACCTTGACAAATGAAACAATAACCCTGACTTTGGTTTGCAAATGCAATGCACACATTGATTTTTCTCCGATAGAGCACCTGCCTTTGAATGCCCTAATGCACCTCACTATTACCACTTACTCTTTTACGAGCTTCCACCACCCTTAAATGGAGTCGCTTGTCTTCCTGGAGTGAAGAAGGGTGTCAGCACTTTTTTTTTTTTTTTTTGTAGTTCTAGATCAGTCCACGGATCATGCATTTATCGTTCATCCGTGTTTGTCTTTCTGTCTCTAAAAATGACGATTTAGTTTTGAACTACTTGTAGCAATATTTAACCACTGACCCTTTTAATTACTTGCTCTGCTGACACAAGCAGAGCACTCTCGGAGTCGGGAAAAAAGCCTCGCGCATGAAAATTGAATTCAAACAGCAAATGGCTGCACCTTTCCCATTAGCTCTCCTGCCAAATTTATAGCGCAATAAGCAAGCCTGAGGCCAACGTTTACAGCAATTGAGGGCCTGCATGCAGTGAATAATAGGAGAACGTAATTGACAGAGTCAGTCTGAAGCAGAAATATGTGTAGACAAGGAGAAACAATAAAGCCGGAATCCATCTCCTCTTCCAATTAAAAATTTCAGTTGAATGAGCCTTTTTCTAATGGTGAACTCTGAAGAATTGCGGGTCTGTCACAGGTTTCTGTGTTTATGGAATAAATATTCAACATTCATGACTCATTCAGTTCTAATTAGTGAGATGATGGGTAGTTACTTAGCATACCTTACTTATTTTAGAAACACCACTTCATCTTCATTCTATGGATAAGCAACAGGTCCTCAAAAAATAATGAGTTTTCTCTCTGGTTTCAGGCATCATTTATTGAATACCTAATGCATGCACCATATTGTTCTTGCATTTTGTGTTTACATAATTTATTCCATTCATTTGATAAAAAAACATGGCAATATCTCCCTAGCCAAAATCAGTGAGGTACATGAGAAGACTGGATTGTTGAATGATTCAGAGGCTAAACAAAGCTTATAACTCAGTCCCAGGACTGGTATTTGATTAGGGAATCTTGGTTCCAACATGGGGAGCGAAGGTTAATCTGGGAATTATGAACTTGGAATTACTTTTCTACCTTTTTGGGTTATTTTATTTATTTATTTTTTTGAGTCTCACTCTGTTGCCCAGGCTGGAGTGCAGTGGCACCATCTCAGCTCACTGCAACCTCCACCTTCCCTCCCAGCTGAAGCGGTTCAGCCTCCCAAGTAGCTGGGACTATATGTGGGCACCACCACACCCAGCTAATTTTTGTATTATTAGTAGAGAGGATGTTTGCCATGGTGGCTGCTCTCCAACTCCTAGTCTCAAATGATCCACCCGCCTCGGCCTCCCAAAGTGCTGGGATTACAGGTGTGACCCACCACACCCAACCCCTCTTTAGCTTACTTCATTTTTCAGTAAAATTTTTTCAAGTATAGAATTAATATTGTTTTTCATAAAAACAGAATATACAAAAAAAGGGTAAGGAAGGAAGGTTACTCATAAATATATTACTTAATGACAACCTCTATTAATATTTTTCTATATTTCATTCCATTTGCTATTTTATACACACATAAGTGGTAGATTTAACAACTAGAACCTGATAGAATGCAGTTATAAAATCAATAATTTACATTTCAACGTTTCCTGTTAAATTTGCTGTCTTGAATACTTACCTCCTCTCCCTCAGGTGAAATCTCAGAGAGTTTACTTATTCTTTCTGGTAACTCCTATATAAAATATGTCCAATGTAAGATGACAACTCCAGACTTCAGGATTTCTGTCACTTTTACCTTGTGGCCTAGTTTTATCATCTCTGGGCATGTTCTTTATAACATTAGGGATAGAACTTCGGGATATGCTAGGTATTTGAAATATATTTGACCTCAGCTATCTTGAGACAGACAAGACCTCATTTTACATGTTACATGTGGTCAGGCTTACATACAAATAAGTTCCTGCTTTTTCATCTAACATAAACAGAAGCATTTTTCTATATTGTGAGAGGAACCTATAAACACAGTATCTGGTGACTGTGTAATAGTGCATTGTTAGAAAATGCCACATTTTCTTTAACAATTCCGATATTGTCGTTTTCATTTTTTAATCAATGTTAAATATATCTTTAAGAATAATTTTAAAATGTAAATCCTTACCTAGTTTTTAGAATTATGTTTTAGAATGAATTCCTTGACATAAAATCAGTGGATCAAGGGATGTGAACATTTTAAGGCTCTTCATATGCTTGCTCTGTACAATTTTCAAAATATTAAAATTAATTTACACTGTTAACAGCTACATTTGATGATATCCAACTTAGTACACCTTGACCAGTGGTGGGTTTTGTTTCTCTATGTTCTTTGCCTAGCCAATTTACTGAACTCTGTTATTCGTTTTAGAAGTTTTAAATTTTGAGTGTGTGTATTTTCAAAACTGAACTCTCATCTACAAAAAGGGTCATTCATCTTTTTTCTTTACACACATATGCTAACTTTCTCTGTTTGCAGTTGATTCCACTGGACGCAACTCAAGCAACAGTGTTAAATGACGATGGGGAATACACGTGGGGCAGAGGGACCGGGTGCCTCGTGACAGCGCCCCACTCAGGCCCCAGCTGGAACTGAGCGCAGCCCCCATCCGGGGAACGGGGACAGTCTCCCCCTGGTGGAGCCGCTGAGGTGTGTCCGCCAGCGACGGCGGAATCGCTCACTGCGCACCGTCCTGACTCCTCAATACAAATACGGGTAAGAAAATGCTTCAGCTGTGGGGAAGTAACAGTCATGGAGAGAGGCTGCTCCGTCTCCTCAGCTCACCCTGAGTGGAGTGAAAAAAGAACCACCGGGCCGAGCGCGGGGGCTCACGCCTGGAATCCCAGCACTTCGGGAGGCCGAGGCGGGCAGATCACGAGGTCAGGAGATCGAGACCATCCTGGCTAACACGGTGAAAACCCGTCTCTACTAAAAATACAAAAAAATTTAGCCGGGCGTGGTGGCGGGCGCCTGTAGTCCCAGCTACTCGGGAGGCTGAGGCAGGAGAATGGCGGGAACCCGGGAGGCGGAGCTTGCAGTGAGCAGAGATGGAGCCACTGCACTCCAGCCTGGGCGACAGAGCCAGACTCCGTCTCAAACAAACAAACAAACAGAAAAGAACCACCGGAAGGACGTGGGGTGCCTGCACTGTCCCCCATCTCCCTTGATTAGGGGTGGTGATGCTCTCTCAGGGGAACGTTACTCCCCGTTAGAGGGTGGAGTGCGCAGTGTGTGACCCAAATGTCCAGGGAAGGACAGGGAAAACGCCCCCGCGTGCCCAGCCGGCCAGTGGAGCCCACGGCGGGTCCTGGAGCTTGAGACATTGGGCTGGTGCAGAGCTGGAAGCCCCACGGTAGATCACTGTGGACTCAGGAAATCACACAGCCGGGAAAGTGCTCGGAAGACAGAACACTATTTCTAGTATTTACTGGGAAAATAAAATAGTTTTATCTTTATACTGAAATAATATATATTCCCCAACAAAACAGTGATATATGTTACATGTTCTTTAGATATACTGGGCATACTTCGTATTTCACTTTAAGAACATTCTAGGCAGGGGTTTTAAATAAAAGGTTTTTGTTTGTTTGTTATCAGGTTAAAGAAGTATTCTGCCTGTCTCTTCCTGGTGTTGCCTCTTCTCATTATTTCTATTTACTCAGTCTGTACCCACTAAAATCTAACTTTTAATCCAACACTACACCCAAACCAGCTTTTGCTAAATTCAGTAATTACCTCCAGCCTGCAGTATTTGTGTTCAGTTTGCTCCTGTGTGGCCCCTCTTCATCATTTTCTGCTGTTGCCCATTCTCCTTCGGTGACCTGGGAGACTCCTCAGCCTCATTTTAACCCTGACCTTTCCAGCTCGTCCTTCTCTGCCTGCTTTGTGGGGTAATTTTCTTCCTCTAGGCCACCAACGTTTGGAGTTCTGGAAAGCTTGGGTTTGGGCCCTTTTGTCTCAAATTATTCCCTCTCGCTCTAGTCAATCTCATCTATGGTCCTGGCTTCAATTAACACCCAATGTGCATGATTCACAAGGGCATTTTTTTTTCCTGCCCAAATCTCTTTTTAACTCAAGATTGGGATTTTTAAAAAAATTATCCACTTACATCTTATTTTTTCTAATTTCTGAGACAATTCCGGGACTTTACCTTCTGGTTCTTCCATCGAATTTTTACTTGATTTTTACTTGGATGATGCCAACAGGTTATTCTTATTTTCTCATTATTCGAATTACATCATTCTGTCTTCACTTTATGAATGAATATTCATTTGACTTTATTCTACAGGTAGCATTTCAGATTTGGTGATGTTCTCTTCTATTCCCAAAAATGAGCTTTTCCTCATTTGATCCGACGGTTTTTGTTTTGTGTTTTGTTTCAATTATTTTTGTTTGTTGACTCGTACTTTTTGCCAGCTCTGGTTAAGGATGTGAAGCTTATAAACTAATTGCCTGTGTTTTGGTTGATTGGAAAAAGACAAAAAAAAATGAGAAACACAAACTCCCAACATTTGGTGGTCTTTGCTCTGGGGCCAGGTTACTCCCCTGGCTGCTGGAAGATCTTTGTATCCTCTCGTCAGCTCACCTTGAGGGGAGTGTACATATTTTTTGAAGGGTCCATGTTTTATTTTATTTTGCAGCTACAGAGCAGTTGTTTATGAAGACATTCTCCTTTTTAGTTCAGCAAATCTCTTACAATTAAACACTTTCCCTCTGCATTTATAAGACACTAACTTGTCCTCATATGTAGAGATTATTTTGATGGTGCCAGGCTGGCATCACTTTTTTCTCGTGTCTAGGCTTGGTGCTGGTGAGGCTCAGGATGTTCCTGTGCTTTCAGTCCTCACCACTGTCAATTACATGACAGTCGTTTTCTCAGAATTCAGATAGGGGTTGATATGAATGTTTCTTACTCAACATTCTGGTATTATAAGGTATTGGTGGGTAATTTTGAAAATCAATTCTTTAAAGTTGCAGGATTTCCTTCAGACCATGTGACTTAGTATTTCTGATGTGAGGGACACAATTTATTCCTGAGTTTTAAAAATATTTCCATAGTACATTTCTCCCTGATGGCCTCCTCATATCCAAGGTAGACATTTTCATTGTCTTCCAACTTCCACTCTTGGATATGTTTACTTATCAGTTTATATAAAATGTTTAATTGATTTTAAAAGCATGCTTAGGTTCAAAAAATTTAAAAGTACACACAGAAGAGGTCAAAATATATGAAGCAGAGAAATCTGCTTATTTTATTTTTTAATTTATGTATTGTATAGTCAGCCTCTGTAGAAGCAGCGTGTAAGAATTTGAGTATTCCATTTTTAAAATAATTGTTACAAAATACATTAACTATTCACTTCAACACAGGCTACTTTTTTCTTAACAATGTATCCTTTTTCAACGACGTATGAATTTGAGCCGTTTGTTTTAAAGTTTTCCACATCATGGTTATGGCTGACTGCATTGCTGTGGTGTTACCATTTTCCTCTACTCAGCTTCCATACTTTTGGAATGCTAGTACAACTTTATTAGATGCGACCTATAGGAATTTGGGGCTTTAAATGCTAAGCATTCTCTAAGTAAATTTTGCTTTTTGTCTTTCTCTTTTGTGAGTTTTGTGAATTTAGGGACTAGGAGGCCCCTGAGAACATATTGATTCATTTGTTTTGTTTAGTGATATATTCATCATCCATTCAACCACTATTTAGACTCTATCCCCAAGTTTTTGTGCATAAAATAATGAATTAGAATATTATGATTTTGACCATTAAATATAATTACCAGTAGATTAATAGATTTAATATAAAAATATTTCTTTTAACTTATGTAGTTTTAATTAGTTGATATGCATAGACACTTTTTATGATTAAATAGGTGAGCCTAAACATCGCATACCATCCATGCTGTAATAACTTAAGCAAGGTATTAATCTGAAAGTATTTGACTCTGATGGGCTTTGTCTGAGCAAACAACTTCTGTCACAGTCCGTCTAGAACCACAAATAATGCTTCCCCTGGTCTCATGTAATGGCATTGCCTCTCCTCTCTGTCACTACTGTTTTAATGGTAGCATTTTTTTTTTTTTCTTTGAGACAGAGTCTCGCTCTGTCACCCAGGCTGGAGTGCAGTGGCACAATCTCGGCTCACTGCAACCTCTGCCTCCCGGGTTCAAGCGATTCTCCTGCCTCAGCCTCCTGAGTAGCTGGGACTACAGGGAAGCATCACCACGCCCAGCTAATTTTTGTATTTTTAGTAGAGATGGGGTTTCACCATGTTGACCAGAATGGTCTCCATCTCTTGACCTCGTGATCCGCCCACCTCAGCCTCCCAGAGTGCTGGGATTACAGGTGTGAGCCACCGCACTCGACCTCGTGATAGCTTTTTATAAATACTATTGATTGTAATGCTGCTAAGCAGGCCTCTTCTTTCTGAGGCTTGGTGAGGCGTTTTGTCACCTTCCAAAGCGGGGTTCATAAGTAGGTTAGGAATGGGTAGGAAGATACCACCTGTACTCATTGTAAGATTAAAATAAGTTTCTGACTTACTTAGCCAAGAGTACAGAAACTTTCCTTAAATGAAACTGTTATTGGTAGAGGGTGTCCAGGTTCTGACATTTTGAACAAAGAGTTGGACAAAATGCACAAACAAATCAAGGAAAGAATGAAGCAACAGAAGCAGAGATGTATTGAAAATGAAAGTACACGACACAGGGTGGGAGGGGCCGAGCAAGCAGCTCAAAGGCATGTTCAGAATTTCCTGTCGTTTAAATACCCTCTAGAGGTTTCCCATTGGTGACATGGCTTCCGTTGTATGTAAATGAAGAGGTGAAGTGAGGTTATAAAGTGATTTCCTTGGTGTACACC
This sequence comes from Homo sapiens, assembly GCF_000001405.40. NCBI lineage: Eukaryota > Metazoa > Chordata > Mammalia > Primates > Hominidae > Homo > Homo sapiens. Next base: position 189,092,704 of record NC_000004.12, on the reverse strand, counting down.
CTATGCAAATAAAGAGAATGAAGTGAGGGTACAAAGTGATTTCCTTGGTGTACACCCTATGCAAATGAAGATGTTTCCTGGCATGGCTGAAGTAGAGTTAGAGTTATTTACTTGGTCACAGAGCTTGATTTAGTTCTGTGAATTCCCTAGGTTCCCTGCACCCAGGCCCTATTTTCCTGTCTCAAAATGATCATACATGTAGAGTAGAAGCGAATAAAGCATTTTTGAGAGGGCTGTTGTTTTGGTGTTGGTTTTGGCATTTGCATTCTCTAGTGCACGTGGGATGCAGCTACTCCCCATGCAGCGAGGCCACACTCACACTCAGTTTAAGTACATGCTCACCAACATAGGCCTTCCCTGCTTTGTAAACTAACCACAGCATCGGCAGCCAACTTTCCATTCTTGGAGAGAAGGGGAAGTCAGAGACCACGTGTTTTTGAACATTGTCTTTGCTCTCTGACTTCCAGCATCCCCAAAAATCCCATTTTCTCTTAAACAACCACCTTACTCTGACTGGATACTTTTTATCTGAGTGGTTTTGATCATGAGTTTGGTCCTAGGACCAAGGACCACAATTAGAAGTTTATTTTCCCGTACTACATCAGTCATGTATGGATTATAATGCAAACAAAATGATTCTACCCATTTGTTGTACTTCTCATTACCGTTCCACTCTCTGGATATCCTTAGTCACATAAAAAATGCACATGCACGAACACAGAGACAACAAAAAAGAAGAAATAACATAATTAGGCAGATTGTTAAATCCATCTTTCTATGTCTACTTCTAAACAATGTGCCTCCTAATTTATCTTCTAACAAAAGGATTTCTTTAGGGGAAGGCATGACTATGAAAACAAAATGACCCAATATTCTCAATGATTTTTAAAACATTGTCTTCAAAAACTGTGTATAAAAATTTTAAAAATCCATACAACTCTTCATTGCAGTATCTTTATACTGAGTATCTATAGACTATTTCAGTATAATAACACAGAGAATACAGGTGTCATTAGAGTTACTCTGCAAAATTGCTAGAATATCCATAACATGGGCTTATTTCCATTTATCTGGAATTTAAAGTCAGAGGCCAACAATGGCTTCCTCTGAAATTAAAACTGGGTTTGAATCTGGCTCCCACCATTTAATTTACTAGCCCTGTATCCTTGGGAAAACAACTTTTGTCTATTTAAGTTTCTTTTATAAAATTTAGATAATGACCGTTGTACCTGCCTCCAAAGCTATTCTGGTATTGATTGAAGGGATGCATGTAGAGCAATCACATGCCATCCACCACCTTTTCAGTAAGGTTAGTTTCTTGTATTGTTATCTTGTACCCCACAGATGACTAATCACTTCGTTATTGCCAAAATGTATTTTTTAACAATGTTCTAATTCTAGAGACAATAGAACATTGATATTTTTCAAAAAACATCCATTTGCAAATGTGATATTTCTCACATGTCAAGTGTCTCTTTCTTTCTCAGGGAATATCTAACAGTAGTGAAATAAAAATACTTACATTATGGGCCTTGTAAAATAGAAATCAGATGAAAATATAGTATCCAAATTCATTTTTTAACCAAAAAATAAATTCATAGAAATATTAGTGGACTTTTTCTCTCACCTCTATCAACTGTATATATTGGGAGAGAATGTGCATACACATATGTGTCTATATCTGTATCTAGCCACGTCTATTTCTAGTATATTTCAGTTCCTCTCCATTTGTGCAGCAGTAACCTGGATCCAGATCATTACAGTTCAAGAAAATCTACTATGCTATTTGTATAGTAGAAATTAAACCCTCAATTTTCATTAATTATTGCTTTTTCTTATAATAATGATCTTCGGAATTTTTTTAATGAATTGTCTGTATTTAGCTATTTTTCTATTGTACGATGTACACTGTGGGGTATTAGCTTAGCCTGTGTCTCATTTTAAAAATATTGTCCACAGCCTGCAATCACTTTTAAAGAGGTGGGTCTAGGTGGAGAGGAATGTGCTATTTGACCTGGCCTCCCTCACCTTAGCTGTTTGGACCTGCGATGGAGTTTTGTCTCAAGGTAAACTAATCCAGGGGCTGGGCTGTTTATGTACTCTCTTTGGAAAATTTGAGCAAAAAGTCTCAGAAAAAGTAAGTATTAGTGAGTGTGAAACTAACATAGAGCTGTCACCAAAACAAGTCAAAGCCACATGCAAATAGAAATTATGGGGCAGAAGGAAGGCATTATTAAAGAGAAGAAGCCATTGTGTCCAGAAAAAAAAAGGAAAACAAAATTGGGGAGCTCAGGAGTGGAGCAGCAGTCAGCTGCCTCTAGTGGCTGTGATGAGCTGTGCCCTGTCCCAGGAGCTCTGAGGAAACTCCTTCTCTTGAGCCACATTGACTGACTTGCAGCCTTGTTTGTAAATTTGCCTGACTGAAGTGTTTGTCTTGTTCTGTAAGGCTAAGACTTCTCTCATTACATATATTTTTCCTAATGTCCTCCTTTTCTAACTACATACAATTTAATTGTGATATATTTTAAAGCTATAAGTAATAAGATTGAACAAATACAAGGCAAATCATGAGTTACAGAATGTATATACTTGGAAAAACAAAAGACATTTTTATGTAGAATATGTTTATGTAACAACCAATTGACATACATTTATGTACTACTGTGGAGGTCCACTGTTGGGCCACAGATGGGGTGTTAGGAGATGCTGTAAAATCACTGGCCCATTAATAAGTCATATTGTTTCATACAGTTTAATATTTTAAAATTTTGAAACTTTAATAAAAACAATTTTATTCAGAAGTGCTTTAGCCTACAGTGATGCTATTATCATTGTAGCATGCATGCAAAATCCAAGGTGTAAAAACTTGCGGTGAACTAACACAATTTGGGTCGATTATATTTGATTCTTAATGACATTTTTGTAGTATAAGGCAAAGGCCACGGCCAGCTTATTGAATAGGATTATTAATTGACTTTGAATGTAAATAGCGGACAATTCTAATTGAATTACATTTGTCTCAGAAAATGCATCTAATACTATTTATTTATTTTCTACCTTAAGCTACTCCTAACACCTTTTTTATTTTTATGTGTGTGTATATATAATATATATATTATAACATATATATATTTTGAGAGAGGGTCTAGCTCCCTTGCCCAGGCTGGAGTGCGGTGGCGTGATCTCGGCTCACTGCAACCTCCACCTCCTGGGGTCAAGTGATTCTCCTGCCTCAGCCTCCTGAGCAGCTGGGATTACAGGTGCCTGCCACCAGGTAATTTCTGTATTTTTAGTAGAGACGGGGTTTCACCACGTTGGCCAGGCTGGTCTCGAACTCCTGACCTCAAGTAATCCCCGCACCTTGGCCCCCACAAAGTAATTCCCCACAGAGGTTACGGGTGTGAGCCACCCTACCTGGTCCCAACACCATTTTTTAATAGCAGAATTTCATACTAGACACTTCCTTAATATTATTTTATCTATGTGAGCATGGTTTCATCTCTAATAGATTCTTTTTCTTCCAAGCCTTCAAAAAGACTCTGACTGTTCATTTATGTTTTTATAATTTTGCTAAAGTATTAGAAACTCAAATGCTGCTAGATCATGCAAGAACAATGTAGTTCCAACAACCTTTTGGAGAACAGATGAGCTCTGTTGAGTTTATGACTGAAGACAGTGTGTGTGATGACACACGTGGAGACAACGCCGTGGCGGACTTCTCTGTGCTGTTAGTGTTGGTGCATGCTGCCTGGGAGAGCCGCTGCAGCTGTGTTTGCTCTGTGTGTGGTGTGTGCCAGCCCAGACACCATCCCAGATGAACAGCTCTTATCCAAAGGTAAACTGATGATACTGACAAGGCCTAACACAGAAAGATGAAGCCAAAGAGACTAGGAGAATCAGAAAATTTATGTAATAAAGACTTGAGATTATTTTAAGTGGTCATTTGGAAATACAAAAATACAGCTATTTTTCCCACTGCCATTTTTGTTAATGTCGACAGTGTGCCAAAATTCATTCTTCCTTACTATGAGACGTACTTGACAGATGCCACAGTTGATTTGAGAAAGAGTTAAAGTTGGTGCTCAGGAAAATGAAAATGAAGTCATTTACATGTCTTTATGCCTAGATTTTAGCTATGTGATTTTATGTAAAAATCCTCAAAGTTAGAGGCAGCAAACCAACATGGCACATGTATACCCGTGTAACAAACCTGCACATTCTGCACGTGTATCCCAGAACTTAAAGTTAAATTTAAAAAAGATTACATATAATGGTGTCAAAAAAATCCTCTAAGTTAACCTTGTCCTTGCAATTTTCCGCAATTAGTTCAAAAATCAAAGCAACTCTAATGGGAAAATAAGCTTTAATATAAAATATTTTCAGTTATGCTGTTAAGTTAGTATGTATATTTTCCTAAAAATGAATATTTTAGGTGTTGGGGTAGTTAAGAGGAGAAAATATATTGTCATTGTTGCTTGACTGGTTCTCTTGAGTCACTGTAACAATCTGTCAATAATTAATTGAAATATTCCATTCAGTCTTCAACCATGGCTCAGTTGACATGGTTTATGAGGCACAGTAAAACGTCTAAGAACAGTTATTCCTAAACATTTCACTGTGCCTAACTGCGCCTGAAATATTAAAACCCATGACAGAAGCACATATTATGTTTACTGTTGTACATAAGTATAATATTGCATTTTTCAGGGTATTATGATCCTATAATCAATTTCTATTGATAGATGAATTATAAATATGAATTGTCAGAAGGCAATACACAGACTTATTTCTCTTATTTGATACTGTATCTATAAACATCAGGGCATTAAAGCAATTTTTTTTTTTTCTTGAGACGGAGTCTCGCTCTGTCGCCCAGGCTGGAGTGCAGTGGCGCGATCTCAGCTCACTGCAACCTCCGCCTCCGGGGTTCACGCCATTCTCCTGCCTCAGCCTCCCGAGTAGCTGGGACTACAGGCGCCCGCCACCACGCCCGGATAATTTTTTGTATTTTTAGTAGAGACGGGGTTTCACCATGTTAGCCAACACCAAGAGTAAATATATATATTTACTTGATAGGATTCGTTTAGTATCCAAATTGGGACTCCAAGCAGGGTAATGAAAACAGAATAGCAAGACTTAATTTCTTTTCTTTTTTTCCTACTTGTCTACCTGATGATCCATTTCTTTTACCATTTTTAGTATGGAAATCTCATTTTTAGCATGGTATGATTTAGAAATATCAAATGTATTCCTATGATCATAAAAGGAAATACAATGAGACCGATTGGGTGTAAAGTTGCACTCTCATGGAACTACATTTCAGGATGTGGCAGATTTGAGAATTCTAGATGAATTTGCTGCCTGTTCCCTGATAAAATGGTGTTCAGGGTGTCCAGGCTTTAATGTCCTATTAAAGGCAGTAATGGGTGCCCTGTCACTTTAACTCACCTTCAGGGTCCTATTAGAAGCATGTCTTACATTATTTCTCATATAATGATATCCACCTTACACCTATTAAGAACATGGGAAATCAGTTGAGCTGTGTTGAGCTATGTCCACCCTTAAGGCAAACAAATGCCTTGGAGCTCAATGGTTCTGAGGCAGAAGTTTTAGCATTGTGCTGCGAGTCTGCTTTTTCCAAACATGCCACACAGATTGAACACTGTGTGAAGGACAACTGAGGTTAGACAGGAAATATCTCAACAGCTATCAGTCAGAATGGGGTCACCTTTAAACTCTAGAACTAGGAACAACAGAGTACCATCTCCTGTTTTGAATAGTTATATTTTTAATAAGATTTTTAAAAAATTCTGGGTTAAGGGATGCACTTAACAATTCAAGAAAAATTGATTTTGAATGAATATAAAGAAATTAAGGGAGATTGAATTGAATTAAAAGAAGACATACAAAGATTTTTATGTTATATTATTACATTATTAAATATATACATTATATATAGTAAATATATATTTACTATATATTTATTTACTATAAATGTATGCTATATATAATATGTATTCATAATATAATATATAATAGTATATATTATATATGCCATATATATTATACTATATGTATGGAGAGGGAGTAAATGTATATGGTATGCATTAAGGTGTTCTTTCCGAAATTACGGATAGTGTATTCCTAAGTGTTGAATTTGAACTTCTGAACAGCATGATCATTTTTTTTTAACACAAAACATTTGTAATGGAGATTTCAAAAAGAACACTAAAAAACAATCATTAAATATCCCTTCCCTTGCTTCTCAAGACACGTAGCCAAGAAAATGGGTAGAATCATTGCTTTTTATTTGTTACGAGCTGACAGTACACACAGCAGTGTGCTAATCATTTGTTTTCTTAGGGGTATGTGTGTTTTATCAGTTACCATTCACACGGAGAATAAAGAATTTCTGTTTTGCTAGTATAACAAGCTAAGGAACTGGGGAATGCTTTGTATTTGTGGACATTTCTATTGTTTTGTTCTGCTTTTTTTTTTACATTTTTAATTTTAAAAAATGTGTGGTAGTGGTTATTTCTCGCATTGGTCAAAAAGAGAGAAAGCAATAAAACTTTCATGAGTTCGTGAAAGTTTTACAGGCCCTGCAGTGCCTGGAGGAAGAGTTGCTGCTATAATTCTCTGCAGTAGTTCTGGCTGGGTGGCATCTTATTCATCATGGGAGGAGGGATTGGGGATGAGGATTGGAAAGGGACAAAGGAGATGCCAATGCCACATGCTGAAATGCTCCCAGGACAAAATTCAAGGTCCTCACAGAAAGCTTCTGTGCTGCCATGTGTAACTTCACAAACACTGAGGAGAAAGCAGGCTGTGGCAATGTCAGCAGCAGCCCATCATGCAGGAGTGTTTAGTGTTAACTAGACTAAGGGTTTACAGTATTTTCAGATCAACATTAAAATTTTTGGTAATCATAACTCTTAATTTGATCTTTCAAAATAATTTTGCTTATGTTAAATTTGTTTAATCTTTTGTGACTTACAAGTTTCCCTGACTATATAATACATCTGGTAACTTCCACCAAGAAATTGGGATTGGTTGTTGTTGCTGTTTTTTGAGACAGAGTCTCGCTCTGACACCAGGCTGGAGTGCAGTGGTGTGATCTCGGCTCGCTGCAACCTCCGCCTCCAGGGTTCAAGTGTTCTCCTGCCTCAGCCTACCTTTTCCTAGGAACAACTCTCATTTCTTTTTTAGAAGAAGAGAAGTCATCACCATACCCACATAGACATTTTCATGCACTCTCATATCTTCTGTCTATTCTAAGAGCCCATTTATCTTTCCAGAAATTCAGCTGCTTTTTCACAAGTACCGTTTCTCCCTTTCCCTTTCCCCTACTAAGTTAGGTTTGGAGACACCAATAACTACCCTTTGAGTTACTGACTACTAAGTTTCTTCCATGTGTTTTGGGGATGGGCACGCTAATAAAATTATGTGCTTCTCTCTTGCTAATCTGTGCTATGTTAATCTGATTTGCAGGGCTCCAGTGGGAGAAGCTAGAAGGGAGAGGAAAAATAATTTTTTCTTCCACTATCCAGTTAACTTAAATAATAAAAGACCTAAAACTTGCAAGAGGTTAAAAGAATATTGTGGCCAGTTGCTAAATGTTTTGTTTCTATTTCACACCTAAATAGAGCTTGCCTTAAGGCTGTTTAATTGCTTTTGAATATTCTTTTCTATTATTGTTCATCTCAGCTTTAGGTAGAATTGTGAAATGGTATTTTACCACAACATAGCTGCTTACTATTGAAACAGGAAAGTTTCCTCATCCGCAACACAGGACATGTGACAGGGGTGTGGCTCACTCCTTCGGTCGCCTTGCTGCTCAAACCCCTAGTGGAAGCATGCAGACAGGCAGGTGCAGAGGCCATGGGGAGCACTTTTGGGCTACGGCCCCATGGCAGTGTCTAGGGGTGGTTGTCTGTGACTCTCAAAGCTTTTGATTGGTTATCTCAATTATAAACCTTATCTATAGGAAGGCAGAATAGAGTGAGGCTAAACATAATTGGTAAAGTAGTAGCAGTCACTTAAATGAGCTGGTAGAGAGGAATGGTTAGTATTGTGGGTGGCACAGTGATCTTGTTCTTAAAATTATGCAGTAGCTTTACTTTATCTTATTTTAGAGTCTTAGAGCAGCCATGTCTGAAGATATTATTCTGTGACATTTTTTGTGTTTAATAGAAGAATGGCTTTTGGGGCCAAGCCAGCTTCTGAATGTCAGAGACTGTTATTTTTTCTTTTCCTCACTGGTCATATCAATTTTTATCCCGTGTAACTCTACCAAACTTCTTTTTCTTTTTTTTTATTGAGGTATAATTTACTGGTGGTGAAATTCATGCTTTGTAGTATACAATTCTGTTAATCTTAAAAAATGTGTATAGTCATGTAACCACTACCAAGACCAAAATATAGAACAGTTTCATCACCACCCCAAATTTTCATCTTACATCTTTGCAAGCCACCTCTGTCTCCATTCCCAGCTCCTGATAATCACTGTTTGGTTTCTCAGCTCCATAATTTGGTCTTTGCCGAGATATCTTCTGTAGCTATATTCATACAGTGTGTAGCTTTTGGAATCTAGCTTCGGCTGCAGGCCATCAGCAACTACCTGGGGTCAGTGGTTTGGGAGTAAGTAGAATTTACCAAGATAGTTGCAACTAAAGAAAGGCATATTATTAGAGAACATAGGAAAATATGTTGCAAGGGAGCGATGGGGAAGTTGGCGAGAGAGGATCTAACTGCCAAGAGACAAAGGTTTGCTGTGAGGTTTTATAGGATGGTGCTTTTGCTGTATGCTGAAGAGGGCTTTGCGTAGTACTGATAACACCAGGGTTGTAGTAAGCTAACTTGTCATTTTCTGTCAGTGAAGGGTCTGGTGATGGCTGAGCACAGAAAGATTGTGAGTTATTTGCACAGGAGGGCTATGTGTCCTGGACCAGGAAGAAAGGCAGACTTCTAAGTTATCTGCTTTCTCTTTTTGCTTTCTCTTGGTCCCTCCAGCCTGACTCCTCTTCCCTAAATAGGACTCCACAGTTCTTTCATGTGAGAATCATCCCTACTACTGCATGCTCATCGATTTTCAGTGCTGAGTAGTATCCCATGGTATGGTGACCTGTGCATTGCAAACACAGTTTTAGTTCAGTAATAATGCAGTTCAATGCTGTGTAATAATCACGCTTCAAACATGATTGTGAATTAAAATTTCTATTCACATCTAGTTCTCGGGCAAAATCTTTTCTATGGTTTGCCTGTGTCCCCACCCAAATCTCATCTTGAATTTTAGTTCCTATAATTCCTACGTGTTGTGGGAGGGACCTGATGGGAGATAATTGAATCATGGTGGTGGTTTCCCCCATACTGTTCTCATGGTAGTGAATAATTCTCACGAGATCTGTTGGTTTTATAAGGGGAAGCCCCTTTCCCTTGGTTCTCACTCCCTTTTTGCCTGCCACCATGCCAGGTGTGCCTTTCAACTTCTGCCATGATTCTGAGGCCTCCCCAGACATGTGGAACTGAGTCCATTAAACCTCTTTTTCTTTATAAATTACCCAGTCTCTAGTATGTTTTTATCAGCAACTTGAAAACAGACTAATACAATTGTGCAGCTGAAATAAGGTGTCAGAAATGGTATTTGTAGTGGCTTGGGGAATAGTTTGCCTTCTCCCTGATTTTCTAGCTGTGTTCTTGACCCTCATTAGAAGGAGTAGAGGGCCTGGGTCAAAGGTAAAGGGTGGAGAGGATTTTACTGTCCCATGTAGAATACACTTTCTTAACCATCATGCTCTACTGTCTCTCCATATCTACTACGCAGTTAAAATGAACTTTGGGTAGTTTGCAAAACAATAAAATTAAAAGTCAAATAAACTAGCATAAATTTGGGGGAATGATTAATAAACTCAAAACAGGAAGTGTTCATTCAAACTGTACACCCCTTTCCAAAACAGGGGTGTAAACAACATCTCACAAATGGAATAAAAAACCATTAAGACTCCAAGTGAATCACTGGTGGAGGATATCAATAGAGATATCAAACATGGAGGAAAGTCATATGGCTAATACCATATGAAAAAGCTTCCATTTATGATCATCAAAGAGATAATATTAAAGCAACACAGTGGTAATATTTCCATCTACTAAAATGGCAGTGAAGTTTTAAAGTATGTGTTCTGTGTTATGACGATGTAGTGTAATAGGTACTCTTACAGCACTGAGAAACAGGACTTTACAATTTTTTTTCCAGAAAAAGCCTGCTTTCTCAAAATTCTGGAGATTGTCTTGATTTTTACTATTCTTTTTAATGGTAAAATAAGCAGTTGAGTAAAGATAATAATTAAATGGTCTAGTTAAAAATTACTTTTTGTTATTAAATATTATTTTCAGCTATTTGGACACAAAATATGAATTTTTATTTTAAGTTTACAAAGGCCACATTCTTTAGTAGCAAATAAAAATTGTTATAGAGATAGACAATCATGAACATCTTATATCATATTCATACATATACTACTTTGTTGATAATTTTTTTTACCAATTTTTTGTTTGTTAAACTCTTGCAGGTAGAGACTTGATGTTAATGATCTATTACTCATGGGCTACTCATCACTTTCTGCCTATGTGTATATTTCTGCTGCCCCATCTGCTAAGATATTTCTCTACTGTTGTTGGCTAATTGTCCTTTCTTGATGACTCAAGGGTTTCTTTTAAGGAATTCCAGATATTCTCCCCTTGCCTGCCATCCCTCAATCTCACTAGTGACTCCAGGTTTTTCCAGAAGTGCTCACTTCTCCATCTTCATAGAAATCCTTAGTCATGTTATACTGTATCCTGTAACTTTAAAGGATAGCTTTTCTGTCTTGTCTCAGGACACAGCATTGTCATGTCCCTAATGTCTGTCACACTTGAAGTGACATAGTAGTGCTTCTGTTTGAAAGACTGTAGGCTACAGACACTTAAATTCACGTATATGGTGAACATCAACTAAACTTGAGTTCATGTAAAGATCCCTCACACAGATTGAAAAATAGTGTCCTCAACTCACCAGAAATTAGATAGTAATATCCTGTGAACCCTTGTGACATGGTTTGTCTGTGTCTCCATCCAAATCTCATTTTGAATTGTATCTCCCATAATCCTCATGTGTTGTGGGAGGGATCCTGGAGGACGTAATTGAATCATGGGGGTGGGTTTTTTCTATGCTTTTCTCTTGATAGTAAGTCTCACAAGATCTGATGGTTTTATAAAGGGCAGTTGCCTTGCACACACTTTCTTGCTTGCTGCCATGTAAGATGTGCCTTTGTTCCTCCTTTGCCTTCCGCCATGATTGTGAGGCCTCCCCAGCCATGTGGAACTGTGAGTCCATTAAACCTCTCTCCTTTATAAATTACCCAGTCTTGGATAGTCTTTATTAGCAGTGTCAAAACAGACTAATACACCTTGTTATGAGACTGACAAAAATGCACGTGTGATTTTTCCACAAATGTCTTCATAGTGACCTACATGGCATTGAATTTAATGGTTTAAAAAATAATAATCATACAGTAGAAACAGAGTTGCATGTGGTTCTGAATACAGAAATGAGGCAAATAAATTTTTTAAAAAATTTTATCATTTCATCAATTGGCCACTTAAGACAAATTCTAACAGGTAACTTTTGAAAAGAACATGAAATAAATCTTCTTCTAGAATTAGGCTTCACAAATTTATACGTTATTGTTTATTTTATTCTTAATGAATTTTCAAAGACTAGGTTTTTTTCGGATGCAAAGTAACTGATCAGTAAATTGCATAAGTGTTTTGTAAGTTGTAAATTTATAAAATATAAAAGAGAATATGTAGTGTTATGGTAATTCTGGCTATGTGAAATTCAGTTCACAATTTATATACTTTAATTATATGCTATATAAAGTATCTCACTATATTTAAAATTATTACATTAGCAATTAAACTCTCAGCAGAAATTAAACACTTGAGGGAAATAATGTCAAAACTACAACAGATTTGAAACAATTGGAGTGATTTATTTTAAGCAAAATATTATAAAACAATTTCTCTTCTAATAAACAGAGAAAAAGTAGTTTGCCATTTTAATAACATCATTGTAAGTAGTCAAATAGGTTTGCTAGAGTATGTTTCTAATTAATTTTTACACAGAAGACAAAGTAAGTCATGCATCTCACAGAGGCACTGTGTTTTCTTAAGGCTTTTCCTTGGTGTTTTCTTCTCAATGGGCAAAATATGGTGTATGTCCTATCATTTTATTTACTTTTTGGTACTTAAATATAGTTAACTTGTTACAAAAATTTTTGAAGCACTTATTGAGGTACTATATATATGTTTTAATATATGTATTATAAAATTCAACATTTTAATTTTATAAGGCACTTATTTTTAATAAAATTAAAGAGTTGTGCAACCATTACCCAAATCAAATTTTACTACATCTCCATTATCACTCCCCGAAAATTCTTCTTGGCGGTGTGTGCAATCCCTAGTCCCACCCACACCCCACTAGCTACTTTCTGACTCCAGGGATGGAACCCTCTGGACTTTCATTAAATTGAATCATGGGATATGTGGGCTTTTGCATCTGGCTTCTCTAATTTAGCATAATGTTTTTGAGATTCATCTCAAAACATGTGATAGCATGTATCAGTACTTCTTTTTTTATTGCAAAATTTTTGTGGCATGAATATACATATTTTGTTTATCCATTCATTAGTTGATGGACATATAAATTGTTTTCATATTCTGTTTATTAAGAATAATGCTATAATATTTGAATACAACCTTTGTGTGGATGTTTATTTTCATTTGTCTTGGGTAAATTCCTAGGAGTGGAATTGCTTGGTCCTGTGATAAATTTATATTTAAACTTTTTTTTTTTTTTTTTGAGATGGAGTCTCACTCTGATCACCAGGCTGGAGTGCAATGGCACAATCTCAGCTCGCTGCAACCTCCACCTAACAGGTTCAAGCTATTCTCCTGTCTCAGCCTCCCAAGTAGCTGGGATTACAGGCCCACGCCACCACACCTGGCTAATTTTTTGTATTTTAGTAGGGATGGCGTTTCACCATGTTGCCCAGGCTGGTCTTGAACTCCTGAGCTCAGACAATCCACCCGCCTCGGCCTCCCAAAGTGCTAGGATTACAGGCATGAGCCAACACACTCGGCCTATATTTAACTTTTTATAAAACTGTCAAACTGTTTACAAAATGGCAGTACCATTTTTACATTCCCACCTGCAATGCATGAAGATGACTGTTTCTACATACCCTCACTCTAACATTTGTCATTGTTTATCACTTTTATTATAGCTACTTTCATTCATGTTAATCAGGATGTCATTGTGGTTTTAATTTTCATGTCCCAAATAACAAATTATATTGAGAATATCTTTATTTATTAGGAATTCATATACCATTTTTGGTAAAGTGTCTGTTCACATTTTTGGCCCATTTTCCCATTGGGACTTTTGTGTTCTTATTGTTGAATTGTAAAAGTTGTAATAAATTCCAGAAAAAATATATTTTATCTGAAATATAATTTGCAAATAATTCATCTTAATCTGTGACTTTTCCTTTTGTTTTCCTGATAGTGTCTTTTAATAGTGTCCTTTGACATATAATCATTTTAAGTTTTGATAACATCCAATTTTTTTTCCATTTATTGGTTATGCTTTTGGTGTCAAAAAAAGAATTATTTTTTTTAAGGGACATGGTCTTGCCATATTGCTCAGGCTGGTCTCGAACTCCTGAGCTCAAGTGATCCACCCGCCTCAGCCTCCCAAAGTGCTGGGATTAGAGGCTTGAGCCACTGCACCTGGCATCGTATCTTAGAATTCTTGACCTCACCCAGAGTTACAAAGATTTCCACCTATGTGTTTTTCTAAAAGTTCTATAGTTTAATACTTACATTTAGGTCTATGATCCACTTTGAGTTCATGTGAAGTAAGGGTATAAACTCATATTTTTGTATGTGAATATTCAATTGTCTCAGCATCAGTTTTCTAAAAGACTGACCTTTCCACCTTAAATTGCCTTGGCATCTTTGTGATAAATTTAATATAAATGGAAAGATTTGTTTCTAGACATTGATCTATAGATGTATACCTAAGGTATAAGAGGGAAAGGATAGTCTTTTAGAAAATTGATGGCCTTCCCATATACATTTTAGACTCTGCTTGTAAATTTCTGCAAAAACAAAAGCAGAAGCAAAAACAAAAACTCTGCAGGGACTTTAATAAGGGATTGTGTTGAATCTATAGATCAATTTTGGAATAAAGTGTCACCTTCACAATATTGAGTTTTCCAAACTATGAACAGGGTGCAAGTGGTTTTTGGTTAAATGGATAAATTGTATAGTGGCGAAGTCTGAGATTTTAGTGCACCCGTCACCTGAGTAGCGCACATTGTACCCAATATGTAGGTTTTTAAAAAATCTGTCACTCCCTCCCACTTTGTCTTCTGAGTCTCCAGTGTCCATTAGAACACTCCGTATGCCTTTATGTACCCAGAGCAGAGCTCCCACTTACAAGTGAGAACATGCAGTATTTGCTTTTCCATTCCTGAGTTACTTCACTTAGAATAATGGCCTCCAGCTCCATCCAAGTTGCTGCAGAAGACATTATTTTGTTCTTTTTTTAAATGGCTGAATAGTATTTCATGGTGTACTTCTACCACATTTTCTCTATCCACTCATCAGTTCGTGGGCACTTAGATTGGCTCCATATTTTGGCAATTGTGGATTATCCTGCAATAAATCTACACAGGCAGGTGTGTGTGGGTTTTTGTTTTTGTTGTTGTTGTTTTTATATCATGACTGCTTTTTCTTTGGCTAGATACCCACCAATGGGATTGCTGGATTCAGTGGTGAATCTACTTTCAGTTTTTTGAGAAATCTCCTTACTATTTCCCATAGGGGTTGTACCAATTTCCATCCCCATCAGTAGAGTCTAATTTTTCCCTTCTCACCACATCCAACCCAATATGCTGTTTTGGTTTGTTCTGACTTTTGAGTAATGGACATTCTGGCTGTGGTAAGGTGTTTCTCTTTTTAAAAATGTTCTTTCATTTCTCCCAGCAATGATTTGTATTTTTCAGATACAAATCTTATACTACTTATATTACATTTTTATGCCATTAGGAATGGATTTGTACATTAGTTTTGTTTTTATGTTATATATTGGTAATATATAGACATTTGTTGACATTGGTACACTGCTTGAATCCACCTAACTTGCTAAACCTATTTATTATTTTCTGTAGCATTTTTGTAAATTGCTTAGGTTTTTCTACCTAGAGGATCATATTGTCTGGGAATAAAAACACTTTGATGAATTTCCTCACGGTCTGAACGGCCCTTACTTCCTTCAATTGCCTTTTTGTACCTATTGAACTTCTAGCAAGTACAATGTTCAATAAAAGTGGCAAGTCAGTGTGCTGGCCTTCTTTCTAATTTTAGGGCTGACACATTAATTCTTTTACCATGAAGTATGATATTAGTTGTAGGTTTTTTGACTGTCCTTTATCATATTGAAATATTTCCCTTCTACTTATAGCTTGTTGAGAGATTTGACAATGAATGAGTGTTGGATTTATATGGAATATGTGTTAGACTTTGTAAAATGATTTCGCATCTATCAAGATGATCATTTGGATTATGCCCTTAGTTTAATTAATATAGTGTCTTAAGTTAATTGAATTTCTAAATTTTAATTCAAATAAAAATCACATTTCTAATATAAACCATTCTTGATCATGATGTATAATTCTTTAATATTTTACTAAATTTGGCTTGCTAGTATTTTGTCATGAATTTTTGCATTGACCTTTATGAGAGATCTTTGCGTGTAGTTTTCTTTCCTTGAGATGCCATTGGTTTTTGTTATTAAATATGAGACTCATAGAATAAGTTGAGAAGTGTTCCCTCTACTTGTGTTTTCTGGAGGAGTTTGTGAAAGATTGGTATTGTTTCTTAAATGTTTGATTGAATTCCTCTGTGACAGGCCTGGAGTTTTCTTTTTGGGAAAAAATTTAAATCTTAACTGAATTTCTTTATGTTTTATAGTTCTAGTTCTATTCATATTTTCTATTTCTTCTTGAGTTAGTCCTAGCAACTTGTGTCTTTCTAGGAATTTGTTCATTTCATTTAAGTTGTCTAATTTGTCTTGATACAGTTTTTCATATTATTCCTTTAAAGTTCTTTTAATTTCTGTGACATCAGTAGTAGCATCCAGTCTTTCATTTCTGATTTAGTTAATTCGTGTCGTCTCTTTTTTGTCAGTTTACAAAATGTCTGTCAATTTTGTGGATATTTTAAATGTACAACTTTTGATTTTATTGATTTATTATGTTTTTTTCTTCTGTATAATCTTTACTAATTCTTCTTTCTTGCTTTGCATTTAATTTGCTCTTCTTTCCTTTTTAAAAATTATACTTTAAGTTCTGGGATACATGTGCAGAACGTTCAGGTTTGTTATGTAGGTATACATGTGCCATGGTGGTTTGCTGCACCCATCAACCCGTCATTTATATTAGGTATTTCTCCTAATGCTATCCCTCCCCTTGCCCCCTACACCCCAACAGGCCCAAGTGTGTGATGTTCCCCTCCCTGAGTCCATGTGTTCTCATTGTTCAACTCCTACTTATGAGTGAGAACATGCGGTGTTTGGTTTTCTGTTCCTGTGTTTGCTGACAATGATGGTTTCCAGCTTCATCCATGTCCCTGAAAAGGACATGAACTCATCTTTTTTCTGGCTGCATAGTATTCCATGGTGTATATGTGCCACATTTTCTTTATCCAGTCTACCATTGATGGGCATTTGGTTGGTTCTAAGTCCTTGCTGTTGTGAATAGTGCTGCAGTAAACACACGTATGCATGTGTCTTTATGGTAGAATGATTTATAATCCTTTGGGTCTATACCCAGTAATGGGATTGCTGGGTCAAATGGTATTTCTAGTTCTAGATCCTTGAGGAATTTCCACACTGTCTTCCACAACGGTTGAACTAATTTACACTCCCACCAACAGTGTAAAAGCGGTCCTATTTCCCTACATCTTCTCCAGCATCTGTTGTTTCCTGACTTTTTAATGATTGCCATTCTAACTGGCATGAGATGGTATCTCATTGTGGTTTTGACTTGCATTTCTCTAATCACCAGTGATGATGAGCTTTTTTTCATATGTTTGTTGGCCACATACATGTCTTCTTATGAGAAGTGTCTGTTCGTATCCTTTGCCCACTTTTTCATGGGGTTGTTTGTTCTTTTCTTGTAAATTTGTTTAAGTTCCTTGTAGATTCTGTATATTAGCCCTTTGTCAGATGGATAGATTGAAAAAATTTTCTTCTATACTGTAGGTTGTCTAGCTAAAATAAATAGAGAGGTTCTTAATTGTAGATATTATCTGCCTTAATTGTAGATGTTATCTGTTATATGCCAATAAAGGATGTTATTGTCAGATGATATCTGACAATATCAGCCTTTTGATTGAAGTGATTCTATTTACATCTAATGTAGTCATTGACATGGCTGGACTTGCATCTGCCTTTTTGCTATTTTGCTGTTTGTGGAATGCAATTAATTCTATTTCCACTGTGAAAACATCTGTTTTCTTTAAACTTCTTAACACCCACATAGTATTTATTTGGGGTCCTCAATTATAACTGACAGAAACCCAGTTGACTGAGTTAATAAACAGAGAAGTAAGAAAAAAGGGATAAATTTGCCCACATTACTAGAAGGTTACCTTTGCTATTTCTAAAGGCTCAAATGATGCATAAGGTACCTGTTTCTGTTCATCTTTGCTATTTTCTGTATGCATTTATTTCAGTAGCAACACAGGCTTACATCTTACTTGATTGTTGCAATAGAAATGTTTATATTTTTCCCAAATTTGAGCAAAACTCCCAATGATAATAAACATTGGCTGTAACTTTTTGCTAAGTCCATCACTATGGCCATGGGGGATGAAATAATCTTTTTGGTTAGGCATGTATCAGTAAAAATCACAAGAACCAAGAGATATCATAAATGCCTGTGGAAGCCACAGCTTCCTCAAAAGTAAATAGATACATATTTGAAAAAAAAAGGATGCTGGGCTGGCAGGAACAACAGTTTTTACTATTCTGCTTTCATGGTATGGTACTCTCCCACTCTTAATTGGAGTTTTCTCCTTCAGTACTGACAGAATCTAAGGGTTTATGGAGGGGTCCTCGCTGGTAGTGCCTACCCAACTTGTTCAGTTGCTCTTGGAGTAAGGTCAGCTTCTTGAAGAGAGTTCCAGCAGTTTCCACAAGGTATTAAAATCTTATATTTCCACTGGAATTGAAATGAGGCCAAGAGTGACAAGTTGCATCCCTGAAATGTTTTCACATATGTGTCTGTGTGTTCCTACATGTGCATGGATACACAAGCACACACAAACACAAACACCCACATCCACATTGATAACCTACCCCACGTGTTCTTCTTATAATATGACCAACACCTGTCCTGTGGAGAGCTGAGGTCTGTTTTCTTCCCCTTGAATCTGGGTGGGAATTATGACTGTTATGGCGCATCTCATGCTTTGTGATTTCTGTAGCTAAGTCATAAAACCAATGCCGCTTTTGCCCAGCTCTTTCTGTCTCCCACTTGCTCTTGAAGGCCAGGCACTACGTTGCAGGAATGTCCAGACCACACGGAGAGGTCATGTGTGGGTGTTCTGACCAATAGCACCAGGTAAGGTCCCTGCCACAGCAAGAGCCAAGTGCTAGACAGATGAGATAACGAGCCGGTAGATGATGACAGCCCCAGACTCTGAGAAGCTCCACCCAACACCATGTGGAGCAGAGCCAAACAGTTCCCCTGAGTCCCTCCCAAACTGAGGATTTGTGAGAAAAATAAATTTTGTCACTATTTTAAGCCATTACACTTTGGATGATTTGTTAGACAGTCATGTTAACTCTAACTAAAGATATGTTATTTTTAATAATAACAGTCACTGTCTTGAATCTATACAGTTCTGCTACAGGATCATATGAAATCTTAGGAAAACTTGGTCTCTTGATTACTTTCTATGTGAAACTTTAGGATAACACAGTTTATAGCTAAAAGGCTACTGCGACTAATTCTTAAAAGGGGAAAATATGATGACTTGGTATGTGTTAATTGTTTGATTTATATGTTTTAGCATGATCTCAAGGTTTGCTGCAGCAAATGTTTTGCGTATGTTTATCTGGAAAAGTGACAGTCAATGTGAATTGTTAAAGGTCTCAAAAGGATGCCTGTGTCTGCAGCAATCAAAGGCAAAATATGTGCTTCTAGTATGTAATCTCCGACAGGTTAGAGTCTCTAAAAATACACTTCTCATTTCACTTTGGCATTTACTACTCATCTCCATTAAAGCAATTATTTAAATTTCAGGAGTCTTCATTTTGGGAGGAGTAATTTAGCAATGTGTTTCAAATTAGTTATTTTAAATTTCAGAAGTCATTTTTTTGTATCAATTCCTCATCTCTCTAAAAGTTATCTGCAGATTTATTACTTTCAGAAAACTTGTGTTTTTTTAGATAAAAGTGATTTGCTCTGTAATTGACCTGGTGTACCCTTAATAAAGAAAACTATTAATAGTTTTGTTTTCAATAATTAGGATACTTATGAGTGTCCAGGTCTTTGGAAAGATAAATGACTGAACAAAAAGACCTTCGAAAAAAGCCAGATATGGTGAAAAATATGATCCTTGTCATTGTATTATACAAAAGACTCAATGTGCTCACTGAAGCAGGTAGGGAACAAAGTGAAAGTTTATTTTAATTAAATAAGCTGCTTATAAGCTGTGTTTCTTTAAAGATAATGTGGGCCAATAATAAAACACAATACCTCAGGTTTATAGAATCGGATTCTAAAATCTCTTCACAGAAGCATAATCAACTATCAACAAGAGATGTTTGTAAAAATAAAATTGAATTATAGTAAATTATATTTCTGCCAGGCAATGATGGCCTGTTAACATTCAAAACCCTGATATCAGAATCTTAAACGAGAGGCACAATTTATAAATTAATAAATCTTGTGCTTAAAAATATATCTTTTAAAAAAAACTGTAGTCGGCTGGGTACAGTGGCTCCTGCCTGTAATCCCAGCACTTTGGGAGGCTGAGGCGGGCGGATCACGAGGTCAGGAGATCGAGACCATCCTGGCTAACACACTGAAACACCATCTCTACTAAAAATACAAAAAATTAGCCAGGTGTGGCAGCGTGCACCTGTAGTCCCAGCTATTCGGGAGGCTGAGGCAGGAAAATGGTGTGAACCTGGGAGGCGGAGGTTGCAGTGAGCCGAGATCACGCCACTGTACTTCAGCCAGGGGGACAGAGCAAGACTCCATCTCAAAAAAAAAAAAAAAAAAGAAAAGAAAAGAAAAGTAATTATATATTTATAAATGTTATAAAACTTGGCAAAAACTAGACTACCCACAAAATAGGTGATTGGATGATATAGTTTATAAACTGCAACCTTGAACCTTGGAAATTTGTCTGAAGAATATAGTTACCTGGAGTTCCGGCAGTTATCACAGCACAGCTGGTGAATGTAAGAAGAAATGTATCAACTGTAGACACAATATACAGCTCTGCATATGTACAGGCTGCACCAGTCTCCTTCCTGAAACGCACACATGCACAGAGCCATTCATAAACACACTCCTCAAATACATTCCACCAACGTGGCCATGGCTTACCGGTGGGCCTACCCAACTACTTGTCTTTCTAATCATTTGCACTTTTTCATCAAAATAAAGTGTGTATAATTTATAGAAATCATCAAAAAAACAAACTAAAGAGACTTATAGATGTAAAGCTTTCAAATCTTCACTAAGGAGAAATACAATAGGATATCTGGGGCAGAATTGTTAACCTAGATAATGATTATGGGTTACATAGAAGCTTTGTGTTAGGGTGAGAAAATGCATGACATGTTAGGCATGACCAAGAGCCAAGATAAAGTACAAGAATGCAAGGAAAGATACTACATTCTTAGAAGAACTCTTCAACCTTGCCAAAATATGAGCTACATTATGGGCTAATCTTGAAAAACGTCTTAGCAGGTGTTGAACAAAACAGATAAATCTCTCCAAATATGTATATCCAAATAAGTGTAGGATGTGGAAATGAAAAGGACAAGATATTGAAAATTATAGCAAAATAAAGTGGAGCTTCTACTAGTGGAAGGTTTTTGTGAGGACGGGATGGGGAAGTGGTGAGCTGAGAAGTTTAGCAACAGAAATTGGTGTCGGGTGGTGATAAACCCAGAGCAGGGGAGGACGTCTGCTAGCACTCTGTGAGCTCAGCCAGGGAAACTAGCCATGAAAAGTTCTCAGTCAGGTATGAAGATGAAACTGATGATTTATCAATACCAGGAATAGAAAGAAATGGAATCCACCGCTGTTCTTACGACTTGTAAAGTGCACAGCTAGATGGGTGTATCAGCTACTTCATATCCAACCACAAAACTGGAAAAAACTGATCTTGAAATGTAAGTGTGATTTTATGGAGGTCACAGGAGTGATGGGAGACGAATGCCTGGAGCACTGAACAGCCCTTGGTTTTCAAGCTAATGATCTTTTCGTGAAGTGGAATGCAGGAGATGAATCCTTCTTTCCACTCACTCTGTCCTCTCCTACAGTGTAGGGAGAGAGGCCGTACCTATAAAGTTCATCATCTAGGCACACGCAAACGTGTGTGTGCCTGTGTAAGGCAGCGGGGCTCTATGGATGAACAGCTGTGTCTGAAGAGCCTCAAAGAGAGCCACTTGGTTTATAATGAATGTCATAATACTGTCTAATCCGTTCAATACACCTGCGTCTCTATGAACAGAGAGTAAAATCTGGGCAGTGTGACACTGCGCATTCCAGCCAAATCGGTTCAGGAAAACCCTACCTTTGAATTCTAGAGAAAAAAAATTGTCAGAGACAAATGGCTTCTGTATGAACTTATCACATTTTGGGACACAGCAAGACGCATGGCTCTTCTCACCTCTGCTTTGGATTTTCTTCTGGCCAAGTTCAGTGTTTCTCTTCTCCAACTCTGACATCTACCAATCTGGGTGTGTTTGAACTTAATTTTGAGAATCTTCATCTTCCGTGGAATCCCGGGACTTTCAAGTTCATTTCATGTGCCAGCGTGAACGCCGGTTTATCTCATTCCTACCCATTGTTTGGCTTTGTCACCTCGTTTCTCAACTACATGGCTTGTCTGTGGACTCTGTAGGAGTACACAGACTCGCTTTTAGCTCTAGAACTTGGCTTTAAAAACCTGACCTACTCAGGAGTTTGAGACCAGCCTGGCCAACATGGTGAAACCCCATCTCTACTCAAAATACAAAAATTACCCAGGCGTGGTGGTGGGTGCCTATAGACCCAGCTACTAGGGAGGCTGAGGCAGGAGACTAGCTTGAACTTGGGAGGCAGAGGTTGCAGTGAGCTGAGATCATGCCACTGCACTCCAGCTGGGCAACAGAGTGAGATTCTGTCTCAAAAAAAAGAAAAAAAAAAGCCCTGACCTACAGCATACCTACACCATATCCATAAGTAAGAATGATTCAAATTTTTCTACAGGTATTCAGTTTCTCACAAAACAAAGGGCCTGAATACCTTTTAGACCAAGTGACTGTGATTAGACAAACACAATACCTTTCCTTCTTTCCAGAGACTTGGCTGGTATAAATAGGATATGATGCATAAAGATAGCAAGGGAAGTATCAAGTGAGAAATTCCAACAAATACTATAGGAGTTACAGACAGGAAGTGAATACATCCAGTCAGCATGGAAGATCTTCCAAGAAATGGGAGCGAAATTAGAAGGGCAGCTGCAATGCAGAGACTGGGAAGAGGCTATGGATAATCTAGTTTTCACCAAGTTTCATAAAATTTATAAACATATAATTGTAATTAATATATAATTACATAAGTATGATTATGTAAATAAATATGGCATCTAGACAGAATATAACGTGAGTATCAAAGAGAGCCTATAAACACAGATACATGAATAAGGGCCCTCCCAATGTGTGCGGCTGCCAGTGTGCAAGGTGGAAGCGAGTGCTCAGAATGAGCAGAGTAGCGCTGTGTGAAAGTCAGCGAGGAATGGAAGACAGTTTCAAAACCGACATGCTCTGTGTATGGAATGCTGCAACCGGGTAATGTAGGTTCAGAATGAGAACATAATTAAACCTACCCATTAAGAATTATATGAAGATTATTACCAAGAATCAAAGAAAAGAGCATTTATTAAGCACATATTATGTACCAAGAATTCTGCTAAGTGTGCATTATGCTTTGCCTCATTTACTCGTTAAGAAAAAGCTTATGAAATGCAGAAAATCTGAAATGTGACAACACATTTTTAAATAAATATTTGGTGAAGATAAAATTTACAAAAGAAGAAATGATCAAATCCATAGGAAACATCCAGAGTGTTATGCAACAGGAAATAGACACAGCTAAAATACCAAACACAAATCAAGGGTCATGGAGAGAAATAAGCCTGGACTCAAGAAACCAGAAAGGCTTATTGCATCATTTAAAACCAATTAGAAATGATAGAAATATAAATTACTGACCTGACACAATGGCTCACACCTGTAATCTCGGTACTTTAGGAGGCCAAGGCGGGCAGATCACCTGAAGTCAGGAATTCAAGACCAGCCTGGCCAATGTGGCAAAACCTCGTCTCTACTAAAAATACAAAAATTAGCCAAGCGTGGTGTCTGAAGAGCACCGGTGAGAGTGTTTTTCTGCGGCATCATGACTGACAGCTTCCAAATGATGTTTCCCTTAAACAAATAAAGTTAGATAATAATAGAAATTCTAATCCTTAGCTACGATTCCCTTATTTGCCAAAATGCCTTTTTAACAGATGTCCAATATAAGAAATTTTAATACTCCATCGTACTAGTTTGTAAGAGGAATTTTTTTTCACTTGGGCATTTTGTAAAATAAACAAAAACAACAAGTCAAAATGTTTTAAAATTATCTTTAACATTTTCTTTATCTTTAGCTTTTGTCCTTGAAAGTTGTTCCCTTTTCTCAGCATCCTTTTCCGTTCTGATTTCTTCCTTAGCTTGTGATGAATCTTCTCAGTAAATACTCCTGGAACTCTATGGCATGCTTTTGCTGAGTTTTATCTCTGTACAGAGTGTAAATTACCTTCTTTTCTTCAATCTCAGTATTGCCCCGCTGTGTTCTCCAGCATCAGCGCTTAGTATTGCAGTCGCACTGCACTTGCCTGTAGTTGATAATTTCATGGCCCTGCTGTCACACCTGGGTGCTGATCAGATTCAATTCCATCTTTCCTTTATCCCGTAACTGTGTCTTCTATGTGGTTATTAAATGCTGTTCTTTTTCTACTGGGTAACTATTTGAAGTTACACTGATTGTGTCTTCTGGAGAAAGTTCTGAAGCATTTAGCTCTTTTCAAAAGATGCTATTGACTAAATCACAATGATTCTTTTACTTTGAAGATTTAAACTTTGGAATACACAGTTCATATTTGTGTTTGGGGTCAAGCAATCGTTTGCCTTCCCATAGCTTCCCAAAGAAATGTGTTCTTACTTCTCAAGGAGAATCAGTGGCTTAAGCCAGATATACAAGGCAAATAGAAATATGAACAAAAAACTCAGTACTTGAAAATTTTAAAATCTTAAGTTGAAATTGTGGTTGAATTAGGAAATGTCTCTCTCCTTTTGCTGCTTTTCATGTCCCCTTTATTAGTAGAACCAAGTCAGAACTATCTTGATGTAACCATGTAAGAAGAAGGCTTCTTCCAGATCTCTCTCTTCAAACATGTATTTAGTTATTTTAACATAAAGGTATTAATTATATGTTTCTTGTAATTCAAAGGTAGAAATTATGTACCTTCACAGATTCCCTACAACATTTGAATACAAATTAGCAACACTGAAGATCTTTGAGGGTTTTCATAATTTTTTAGCATTTATACTTTTGCCTTATTTGTCTATAAATATTTTCCTTGTTGTAAGTCCAAGTCCTCTAATTGTTTTGAACCAAAAAATAGTTTGGCACAAAAGCCTTAAGATATAAACACTTGGCTTCACAATCTATTTCTATGACTCGATAAATAACTGAGTGAAGTTACAGCAAGTTAGTAGGGTTCCTAAAACCTGATTCCTTGTGTCTAAGTAGGGAACATGACACCTGCTACTCTTCATTTCAAAGACTCAAAATGAGGTCAGTACTGGATTTATTAGTGTATTAAATAACTGAGGGTTAGTATGGCAAAGTCGAGTAGGAAAGGTTCCTAGTGGATTCTCATCATTAGTTTTGTGTTTCTATTATTTTCACTTTACGTTTCACTTTATGCAGTTCAGTTTGGAGCCTAACCACTGAATGAGATGGTAGTGTAGGATGCTGGAATTTAAACTACATTGACTATAGGAAGTTGTATGTGAATGAGAAAGTGACATGAGAGGGCTTGGGAGCAGAGGGAGCAACGAGCTAAACGGGCCCACTCAAGGGGAGAGGCATCACAGCGTAGCTAGCGTGGGAGAAGAGCACAGAGGCATATGCAAGGCTTGTAGGGAGGGTGAGAGAAGGAAGGCACCATAGGCACTGTGAGTAGAAAGAATTGCTCATGGAAATGCACCATGGTCTGAAAGGGTGGGTTCTATTTGGTGACAGGTGAATAATTTGGTGTGGCTGAACTCTACCCACATGAACAACAGGAAAAAATGAAAAGAAGAAGTTGGGGCAAGATGGTAATGAACAACATTTTTATGCTTGTCCAAGGAATTTCTAACACACTATAAATGTAAGAAAATGCTGCATACTCTGAAGAAATACTAAGAAATATATATCTGGGGAATATTTTTGATAAAAAGAGACTAGAAAATGGTAAATGTTGGGAGTCAAGAATGTCTCTGATGAGAGAACGGAAGGAAACCCCACTGCTGAGACAGACAACTCAGGAAGATTTGAGAGAAGAGCCCCAGGGAGGAGGACTCCAATGATTACCTTTGCTTCTGCCTTAATCCTTCCTAAACCTACATGTGAGAAAGTTGAACAAGAAAGCAGGATTCCTGACTCATCTCAAGGCTGCTAAGAAGGACGGGGTGAGGGGGAAGCAGCTATCAGAGCTGGCTTCCTGAAGCCTGTTGTGTATGAAAACTGCTGTCTAACATGAAAGCTGTGGGGATAAAATTTGCATGTAAGTAATCAGGTGCAATATTTGTGAGTTAAGTGAAGTTAAATCTAATTGTAGAAAAGACACAAATAATTTACCTAATTTTATTTTTTTTAAATTCAGAACAGTTATTTGCTCTGAACTTGATGACGAGAAGATCAGCAAATTCCTTAACAGAGAATACAAGATCTCCAAGATCTTAGATGCGAGTCATGAATTAGGTTCTTCTGTCTTTGTAAAATCCATCTGGAAACATTGTGTATTATTCTAAATAACTTTTTTCTCTCTTAACCTTCTACCGAGTTAGAAGAGAGGGAAACAGTAGAGGCTGCTTTACCCTATAACCAAGTATTTTGGGAGGTATAAAGGCATGACATACAGGCATTTTCACTTATGGTTGTAAAAACTTATTTTAACATTTCTGCTACCACTTCTGCCTTTCTCATTAATATTTATGAATGTGTTAAGCTCTGAATATTGTCTTTCAATATAGTGGGCTAGATTCCCATGCAACACTCCCTATGCTAACTAATGCCCTGAAAGAGTAATACCAATAGATGTTAACACAACCAGAGTAGGTAAAAGTCAGAAGATGGACAACACTCAGTTTTAGCAAAAATGTATGGCGCTAAAACTCTACCATGTTGCTGGTGAGAGTGTAAAATGCTATACTTTAGAAACTATTCAGCCATTTCTTATAATGTTAAACATAGATCTAGCTCGTGTCACAATTTCACTGCTACGTATTTACTCAAGAGAAATAAAAACATGTCAACACAGACATACACAAAAACTTGCACAATATTTTGCTAGAATTTTTATTTACAATAGCCAGAAACTGAAACAACCCAGGTATTTCTCAGTAGGAGAATGGATATCAATATTTTTCAACAATGAAAGAGTACAAGCCCTGTTCTGTACAACAACATGAGTAAATTTTAAAAGTACTAAGTAAATGAAGCTAGATAAAAATTAATGCATGGAATTTTATGGTTTTTACATCAAGTTCAAAAAAATGCAAAACTCATCTATAATGACAGAAATTAAATCAGTGTCTGCTTATGAGAGGGCAAAAAGGAGACATAATGGAAATTTCTGAGAAAATGGAGATATCTTGTATATTTTTCGGGTATTTGTTATTTGATTGTGTAAATCGTCAAAATTTATTGAATTGAATATTTTGGTTCTTTGCATTTTACCATATAGAAATTTTACCAAAAGAAGAAGATGATATAAAATCTGCCTCCAAGGCAAGCGTCAAAATAAACTCAAAACCATAAAAACATAAGTAGGCAGTATTTATAGATATTTCAGCATGTTGTACACCCCTGGAACTTAACCCTCCTTAGAATTGTATGCAGATATAAGTGGTTAATATGAAGCTGATGGACATTCATAAGGTAATTAATAAGTTTTAAAACCTTGGAATCTTGAAATAAAATGTGTAGCAATGTCTACCCGCAAAAGTCATGCCCTGAAAGTTACCCAAGATGAGGAGAGAGGATCTTTAAAGTAGGGAGGGTTGTTTTAAATAAAGGGATAGCCTGAAGAAAAACATATTTATGGGTAGAAAGGTCAAAATCAGAGTGATATCAAAAGGAAAGCAGGCTTGGAATGAAATAGATAATGAAGAAACATCTGGCATCCTTATGGAGCATGCATAAGCATCTCTGGCAGCTCATTTGTCAAGCTCAATTTTCACAAAACAATAATTGTGTTTGATTAGAGTTTGGGGAGCAGGAATCTCAGAATGCAGGATGGAGCCATTTGGGGCAATACTGTACAGTTTTTAAAATTTTTTAATTGATACCTAATAGATAATCATATTTTCAGGATACATGTGATAAATTGATACATTCACATAATGTGTGAAGATGAAACCAGGGAAATTGGGGTATCCATCACCTTAAACTCTATTCAGGAACACATTGTTTAATTTCCAATATATTTGTGTAATTTCCAAAGTTCCTCTTATTATTCATTTCTGGTTTTATTCCATGGTGATCAGAAATGATACTTGATATGATTTCTACTTTCATGAATTTGTTGAGACTCGTTTGTGGCCTAAGATATGGTCTATTCTGGAGAATGTTCCATGTTCTGATGAAAAGAATATGTATGCAACAGCTGTTAGGTAAAATGTTCTGTAGGTGTGAGTTAGCCTATTTAGTCTAGTGTGTAATTTAACTCTGATGTTTCTTTGTTGGTCTTCTGTCTAGAGGATCGTCTATCACTAAGAAGCAGGCATTAAATTTCCCCACTATTATTATATTGCAGTCTGTCTCTCCCCTTAGATCTATTACTATTTGCTTTATATACCTCGGTGTTCTGTGTTGGGTGCATAGATATCTAGAATTGTTATATCCTCTTGCTGAATTGTCACCTTTATTTTTGTATAGTGACTTTGTCTATTTTTATAGTCTTTGACATGTTGCTATTTTATCTGATAAAAGCATTGTTACTTCTGCTCTTTTTTTATTTCAACTTGCATGGAATATCTGTTTCCATCCCTTTACTTTTTGGTCTATACGTGTCTTTATAAGTGAGTTTTTTTTTAGAAACAGGGTCTTGTTTTGTCACCTAGCTGGAGTGCAGTGGCATGATCAGGTGAGGTAGATCTCTTGTAAATTACATAGTTTGGTCTTGTTTATTTATTCATTCAGACACTCTTTTTTTTTTTAACTGGAGAATTGAGTCCATTTACATTCAGTATAATTATTGATACATAAGGACTTACTACTGCTTGGTTTTTGGGGGGTTTTTTGCTTGTTTTCTGGTTGTTTTGTAGCTCCTCTCTTCCTTTCTCTCTTTCTTATCATCTTCCTTTGCAATTGAGTGATTTTATCTGGTAGTACACTTTAATTCATTGCTTTTTATTTTTAGTGTATCTATCACAAGTTTTTGCATTGTGGCTGTCATGAAGCTTATATCAAATATCTTACAATAAGTTATTTTAAAGAGACGGCAGCTTATCTTAGATTGCAATAGAAAGTATAGACTCAAACAAAATACTGAAGAAAAAATTTCTACACTTTAACTTAATCCTCCCTATGTTTTAACTTTTTGTTGTTATCTCAATTTAGCTATTTTTTGTTGCCTGTCTCTTAACAGGTCACTGTAGCTATTGCTGGTTTTGATTGATTTGTCTTTTGAGTTTTATATTAGAATTATGAGTGGATTTCACATGTCAGTTACAGTGTTTGAGTATCCTGAGTTTGTCTATGTACTTTTACAGTTCATTTGATACATTCAAATGCTTCTTTGTGCACATTAGTGTTTTTGTTTTTGTTTTGTGTTAGATGGAAGACCTTGCTTTTAACACTTGTAAGATTTTGTTTGTTTAGGAAAGACCTGCTCCTTCATACTTGAAGAATAGCTTTGCTAGATAAACAATTCTTGATTGCCATTTTTTTCTTCCACACTTTGAAAATGTCATCTCACGTACTCCTAGCCTTTACAGTTTCTGTTGAGACATCTTTTTCCAGATGAATTTGAGTTCCTTTATATTTTATCTGTTTCTTTTCTTTCACTACTTTTAGGGTTGTCTCTTTACTCTTGACATTTAAGAGCCTGATTACATGCCTTTTGGTAGTCTTATTTGGGTCAAACCTGTTTGGTGTTCTCAGACCTTCATGTACCCGAATAGTTGTATCTTTCTCAAGTTTTGGAACATTTTCTGTGGTTATTTCTTTGAGTAAGCTTTCTATTCCTTGTTCTTGCTCAGCTTCCTGTTGATCTCCAGTAATTTTTAGAGTTAGTCTTTTGAAGTTATTTTCTATAACTTGTTCATGATTTTTGTTCCTTTTTTTCCCCCTCTGACTGTGTATTTTCAAATAGCCTGTCTTTAGGCTCACTGACTCTTTTCTCTGCTTGAGTCATTCTGCTGTTGAGAGCCTCTAATAAAGTTTTCAGTTTAGTAAATGTATTTCTCAGTTCCAGGATTCTGAATTTACATCTATGTCTTTGTATTGACGGATTAGTTATTTTTTTCCAGTCTTCTCTACGTGGCTTGTTTTGGTTTTTATTGGATATGTTTGCTTAGAGATTCCTTCTAATTTATCTGTTGAATTTCTTTCTTTTTTATTTTCCACTAGGTTGCTGCCTCTTTATAGGTACTAGAGAGTGCCATAGGCCCATGTTTGCCTTGACTCTAGTAAGTGATTAGAGTACTGCCCATTCTGAATTAAGGAGGTCATAAAGGGGCTATCCCAGCAGTGTGGTGGGAAGGCTGGCTAGGGGTTCATGCCCAGGGGACCTGTGGAACATATCTCCCACAGTGTGGTGCTGGTGAGCAGCTGCTCTGATTTGGTGTCTTCTCTGCCCAAGTTACAGCACAGAGTTTCCAAGGCTGGGAATGACAGTCCCATCTTCCCCACTTTGTCTTTGGTTGCCCTCAGGGATGTTTCTCCTTCAGGCACTCCCAATGCTTCCTATGGGTTGAGGCAGGAATAGGTCTCCTGCTAGGAAACCCAGGATGGATGGGAAGCTGGTTGTTTACCTCTATCTCACTTTTTCCCGTGTAGAAAATATGAGTCTCGGAAAATTTTTCACTTACATGGTGTTGTACAGATTAGGGGGAGAAATGTCACAGATATGAAAGCCCAGTTCTCTCACCATCTGCTCAGAGCTTTTTACTTCTCTATGGACCTGGGAACTGTTTCACCCTCATACTTGGATTCTATGCTATTACTATTTTTAATCATGACACTGTCTATTTGCTTTTGGTTTTCTGATGAGGGGAGTGACACCAATGTGTTTCCATACTTCCATTCTGGAACCGGTCAATATTGTGAAGTTTCTCGTAGCACAGTTCAACACTACACCCAGAGCCCTCACCAGCTCGATGGGGGCCCCTTAGATTCTTCGTGGTCACCTGGCTCTTCTCTGTGCTATGCCCAAAGTTTCTCATTTATCTAGAAGTGTCAATTGAAAAACTACTTAAAATCAACATAAGAAAGGACTAGGAATCAGATGACAACTGCGTTTTGTTTTTCTGGCCACTTACAATGAACCAGTAGCCACTGCCTGGGATGCAGCATTGAAAATGGATGTGAAGTCTTTTGTAAGCTCAAGAAAACAGAATATGATGACTGATTAGCAAGGAAAGGGCCAGGGGTGGCACACATAATTGGGGAGCCTGTACTAGCAGCCACTTCAGCTTATAGGTGTGCTTTTTTAACAGTAGTTTCTAGAGCATTGTCTTTTGTTTATGGCCTCATAATTGTCTTCAATGATGATAAATGTTATTTGCCAGAGGGACTTTTCAGCATCCTGCAGCATTCTGCAAATTTCACACTATCTATAGTTCTTATCAAACTGTTGGTCTCAACTTTTGAGTGAGTCAGGAAATCAGTTCCAGGAGTCTCTCAACCATGTTTTAAGGAATAGAATATAACAACACAGAGTAACTAGAAACAAACTAAATTTCTAATTTTATACATATGTATATATTTATATGGTTCATTTTCTATAAAATGCATTCATTGCTTGTTTGAGAGATTATTCCCAGTACAGTGAATTAAAAAAACTATTTTTTCTCATTTTAGGTGTCAGTGACATGAAATTTGTCACTGCAGATATCCAGAGAGCTGAAATAAAGGGTAAGCCATGTGTGCAGCAATTGATACACATGTGATATCAGTCATGGAACTTCTTGACTTAATATTAAATGATTATCAAAGTTGATGTTAGCCCTTGCTTGCTCTGAATTTGGGGTTATTAACAGAGTTTAATCTGGAGTATAATTCTGACATTCAGATTATCAAAGACAGAGGTGAAATGTGGGCCACACTTGGCAAATGGAACTCATGAGGTTTGGTCCCAAAGGTCTCAGAGCTATAAATGGGGAAGCAATTTACCTGAATTAAAACCTGAGGTGCAGGAAATGCAGGAAAGCTAGCTTTCCTCAAAGAGATACATCAATCCTTGAATGATTCAGCTCATTCGGCATGAGCTGGATGTCTCACGCCCAGGCACACAGCTTTTGGGCCTTTCTAGTAAAGATTCTGTCCATAATAGGTTAGACACTGACCCTGCCATGTTCTGAGACCTCTGGGAGGTCTCTGGAGACAACTTCACACTGAGAGCATCCATCAAGTACAGGAGGCCCCTGGGAACCATAACTTGCTCACTTCAAGAGCTAATGCCTTGTGGGGACATCTTGATATTGCTATTGCTTGGCAGAAGAGCAAACCACAGCTCTTCCCCCAGAGACTCTACTCAGCAATCATTTCCATCTATAAAGAATTTTTTATTGCTGTGCTGGAGACATAGAGGGAAGCTGTGAGGCTACTATAGAATTCCTAACTTAGAATAACAACAGTAGAGTCTCCTACCTTGAAGCATTCTTATTTCAGCTCAGTCGACTTCACAACAGCATTACTCTCCTGTTTTGCAGAGTATTTAAGGCATG
Organism: Homo sapiens; assembly: GCF_000001405.40. Lineage (NCBI taxonomy): Eukaryota > Metazoa > Chordata > Mammalia > Primates > Hominidae > Homo > Homo sapiens. The sequence goes on along the minus strand of NC_000004.12, from coordinate 189,060,105 downwards.
CAGGGATTAAATGACTGCCTTGAGGTGATGTTGGTAATTGCATTTTAAAACTTGTCGAAGAGTGATTTTGATTCACATAAGGCATTTTACAAGAGGGTGATTTTGGCTGGTAGAAAACAAGGCATTCTGACAATGGGTTGCATACCCTGTTGTTCTGTGAGGAAGAGACCTAAAAGGTTTTGTCTGAAGTAACGATGTTATCCATGGAAATGGCATTTTTCTTAGAAGGTTAAATTGCATAGTTTTGTGGAGATAGAGATTATGCTTAGTACATAGGAGGAGTTCAACATGTTTGTTGATTGAAATTAAAAAAATGAATGACACTGTCCCTTATGCAGCAGCGTACTCACCTACCAGGCATGCATGTTGAGTCTGTTTTCCCAGGGCTGCTAATAAGCTCTTTTTGCTATTGATGCTTTATCTTACTAGTGTCCTCGTGTTTGGGAATAGGCAGGGTAGAATCCAGCCATTGTCTGTGATAGTCAGCAAAGCAAACCAGCGATGGTAGGAACCCATGACTGGCGACTTTTAGCACCATATCAGGCAAATGTGAAAGAAATATTTAAAACTTCAGATTACTTCTTAAAGCTGTTTTATGTGAGAAAGGAAGTTACAGCCTGTGTATCCAAAACTAAATGAAGAAGAAAAGATTTTGTATGTGTTGCAGGGCTGGAACATGGAATTGTGTTCTACACGAATTTATAGAAGCGCTTGCAGCCAGACTATGTACTGATAAATTGGAATTGAATGTATTCTCATGAAATTTGCTTTACCCTTTTCCACAGAGTTGCTGGAGTGCTGAAATGCAGAACCTAGAGCAATACTGAAGTATGGACTGGGTCTGAGCTGCTGTACAGCTGTTGAAGGCAGTCTGAGGCACCCTGGAGAGAGACCTGGGCTTTCAGTACCCTTCTCAGGCCCCCAGCCCTCCTAGAGCATTCCTCAGCGAGATCTGTCAGCTTGCCATGCACAGGTTTTGCCTTGTCCCAGATCCTAGACCAGTGCTAAGTGGCAGCAGCAAGCCCTTACGCACATTCCTATTGAGGACATTCCTTATTGTATTTCCTTGCGGACGTCATAGTGTTACTGGGGGGTCCTTGTTCTTAGAGCTCCCAAGATGGTGGCTGCTTCCAAGATGGTGGCAAGCCTCGTGTTCTCTGACCTGGGGTTCTTGGCCTCATGGATTCCAAGGAATGGAACCTTGGGCCATGCGGGGAGTGTTATAGCTCTATTAGAAGCCCTGGGTCACGGAAGAGGACCGTGGAACCTATGACTAGTGTTCAGCTCAATTAGGACAAACCCTGGCACTTAGCCATGCAGGAACAATGGCAAGCCTTTATCCTGATCCAGAGTGGCAACAGGCGCCTTGCTGGATCAGAAACGCAGTGGACACCCTGCCAGATCCGGAGGGGAGAAGTCAAGGGAGGGTCTGGGACGACAGACAACAGCGGTGGTGGACGGCAAGCGAAAGCTCAGTTTGAGCCATCACAAACACAGACCAGAAGAGTGCGCAGTTGCAAGATTTAACAGGGTGAAAACAGAGCTCCCATACAATGGTAGGGGACCCAAAGGGGGCTGCTGTTGCCGGCTCAAATGCCTGGGTTTATATCCCGATCATTGTCCCTCCCCCTGTGCTCTCAGGCAATAGATGATTCGCTATTTCTTTACCTTCTGTTTTTGCCTAATTAGCATTTTAGCGAGCTGTCTTTACTACCTGATTGGTTGGGTGTGAGCTAAGTTGCAAGCTCCCTGTTTAAAGGTGGATGCAGTCACCTTCCCAGCTAGGCTTAGGGATTCTTAGTCGGCCTAGGAAATCCAGCTGGTCCTGTCTCTCAATAGTGCCCCAGCTCCTACTATTGGGTGTCTTTGTGGTGGCTTCAATGGCTTATTTCAAAACTTACCTGGACCTGGTGGTCCCAGAGAAAGCTTCTAGAATTCAATGTGCTTCCGCAAGTGGGAGCCACTTTCTCATCTTGACTCAGCGGTTCCATTCTGATTCTTAACCTCCAATGCCAACTATCTTCAGCATATTGCAAACTTCAGCAAACGAACAAAGCCAAGACTACTAACCTGTCAGGAATCTTTCTGCAAATCCGAAAAAAGCTCTGGGAGGGCAGAGGGCAGTGTCTTGTGCACTTAGAGAATGCCTTCATGTATATATCTGTATTATGCAGTTTTCTTAAGGGTGTCTTTTTCTCTGGAAAGATCTAACCCCGTCCCAGGCTACATGACTCGGAAGGCAGAGAAGTGTTGGATTTCAGCCCCACTCACCCCTCAGCTAGGTGCCTATGTGCGTTAGACCACCTATTTGACTATACAAATGGCTTATGCCCATTTAAAAAATTATTTTTCTAGAAGGCTTTCTAGTCCAGAAATTGCTCTAACACAATAACAATAAATAACACAAATAATTGCTCTAACACAATAAACAATAAATAACAATAAATTGCTCTTTATGCTTACCTGAATCTTGGCTTAGCACGGAAGGATCCAGGATTTATAGGCAGGCCTTCCAGATGTCAACAACTCCTGAAGTATGAAATTTTGACATGATCGAGATTTAGCAACGTGTTTCTATTGGCCTGAGGTCATTTGTACCATTGTTTTCACACAGGCATCCCTATTATAACCAAACCCAATGCCTAGACAGTGCCTGGCCTATAAGAGAGAGACAATAAAAAAGTTGTGGGCTCAGTTAACAAGCCATTGCATCACCCACCATCAATGCCCTCCTGCTGACCAAGAACCAGACCAAGAACCATGTTGACCACGTCTTGCTACCAGGAAAATCACACTATTTGTCCAACAAATCCTAAGATATAATAATAAAGATGAAAAGTTACATTAAAAAGTATTACTAAAATTAGGATATCAATCTGCATGTACTTAAATACGTGAAAAGAGGTAATATAATGTGTATGAAAAGAGGTAATATAATGTGTATGAAAAAAATGTTCTACTGAATGATTTTGGAAGCAGTTGATAAATTATTTTACCAGAAAGAGTAAGAATGGCATAATCATCTGTAGATACCACAGTACATATAATTCTTTATGAGATGGTTAATAACAGTGGAGTTGATCTTGGGAAAACATGCACGAATTGTGTGTAGCTTGCCAGCCGTTTTTCCCTCAAACCTTTATACTTGTGGCTTGTTTAACATCTTATAATCCCTTGTGATTACGTTGTTAAATCAATTTTTTCATGTTTCTTTTGTGGCCATCTTTTATAATTTTTATTTTTATACAGCCAGTGGGTCCCTGTTGTGAGGACGGCATGGGAGAGATGACTTCCTTCCAGCCTAAGGGATTGGGCACCGAAGACAGCACAGACAAGCATCCTTGGTCATTGCATGGAATAGAACATTTCAACAGCTCAAACACACTGGTAATGCTCCAGGAGAGGAATGAATGTTTCCTTCCCAGACATGTCATTTTGTATTAGCAGAAGCTGGACAGCTTGAGGATTATTGCTTGTATATCTGGAATTAAATTTCTAGCTCTCCGAATGCTCATCCTTTATAGCAGTGCCATGTTCTCGGGAGTTTAGCCAGTAATAGTGTTTGCTGCCACAATAGATACAAGTTGTTGGAAGCTGGTCACATCCACTCTCCTTCTTTACTGAACATAATGAATGATCACCCATTGCGTGGATAACAAAGCAATCAGGAAGTAAAACCTTTCTTGTTCTTTTTTGGCTCAATGAAAGGCAATACACGTGCTTGCTAACAACTACATGGCCAAAGAAAACACTCAAATAAACCTGCGAGTTTGTTCTTGCTTGGGGAGCAGGAGAAGTTAATGCCATGAGGCCATTCTAAAGTGGACCAGGTGAGTTGGATACATTAAAATGATTAATAACAGGGATGGTGAATGATGTCCCTCAAGAACATACATGATTCTTTCCTCCACCACTTGTCTTCAGTCTTTGCATTGAGATAAAAATCAGTTACTTATATGTACAAAAATAAAGGAAGGAGCTCATAAAAAATTAAAAAGTGGTATCAGAATGCAAAATAAATAAGACAGAATATGAACCAAGTCTTGTAACAATGTTAAATACATGAAATGAGGCTGTAAGTCTGTGATTGCAGTAAGAGGCACACAGGGGCATTTGAGTTCGGTCCTAAAGAGCAGAAAGCATTTTGTCATGTAGAAATGGAAAGAGCGCCTCAGGCAGCTGAAATAGTACACAAGTGGGTGAAGAGGGGAGAAACGCCTTTGAGGGCATGGAGTTTGGCTGTGTAGACAGGGCATATGGATTCAGTCTACAGAGAGCAGGCTGGCGATGCAACTGGGTGATGAGCACAGGGCAGGCTGAACCAGCAGAAGAGCCCAGGACCCCTCCAAATAGAAGCAGTTTAAAAATTCCCTCTCAGGTTTGTTATTTAATACTTCAGAGGATACAAACAACATATCAAAAGAAGTGTCAGGATTGGATTTTTATGTGAAATTTCATTTGGCTACTGGGTTTTGTTTTATTAGAAGAGTCTATCATTGCTTGTTGTCAGCATACAAGTCTTCACGCTGAGGGGGCACCTGGCACTTCCTGCAGTGGTGGGGTTTTATAGCATGCACCACACAGCTGCACCACCGCCCGCCTCCTGACCTGACCCATGCAACACAGCACTCTGCAGATGCCTCTTGTTCCTGGTCATCCGGGAGTCTCCTCACTAACCATTTCCAGCTGTTAGCACCTATATGGGCCACTGTTTGGAAAAATGCGGAGACCATTTGGACCCAAATGTCTTACTTAATGTTTCATTGATGCATACTTCATATACCACAAATATCACCAATTATAAGCATAAAATATGATAAGTTTTGACATAAAAACTCAGTCTTATATTCACCATTACATTACAGAAAGTTCCTTCCTTATGTTTGAAAAAATTCATTTTAAAAAGAAAGGCTGTGGTGTCCTTGTGGAATACACTCGTGGGCTTTCAGTGTGAGACGCCTTCTGGGAGCCATGATCAAGCCTGGACTTTGAATAAGGCAGCTGGAGAGTGGAGGATTCATGGAAGGTACACTTTGGAGGAGGAGATCTAGAAACTTTGTTAGTGTGTATGATGGGATGTAATAGCAATCAATTACATATCAATAACTAGGGTAAATTTTCAACATTATTGTTGATAATAGAAACCGATGAGTTACCTACGCAAATAATAATTTAAGAAAGGTTAATTTTTGTTGTGGTTCTATAAAAATAATGCTGTTTACCCGAACTGATCCATGCTCTTCACCATTTATGCAAGATTATCTTGCAGAAGCATAGCAATTATATACATCACTAATGTGGTCGGGGCTCTTGAGTGAATTCTGTTTCATTGGCATTAAGCACATTCTTCAGTGCTAAACAATGAGGTAGCTTCTCATGTTGTGTGATATTTAACAAATTTAGCACATTGAAAAGGCTCTCTGGGGTAAAATAAGATGTTTGTAAGTTGACATTTTGTATATTTTCCTAAGCCAATGTAAATACTATACAAAGAGATGGCAGTGAGGCTTCTGCAAGGTATCAATACAACCTCAAATGACTAAGTGCATGGCATTTTCTAAATTTTTAAAATTACTTCTTGAATACTTATTATGCCCTTATTCCACACCAGGTAGTGGAGATATAAATAGAGATCGTTTCTATTTCCATTAAGCTTTAAAACTTAGTGGAAAGAAAACTGACTTTAATCAAATAATGCTACCAAGATATAATGTAAGTGATAAGTGCAAAGAAGAAAAAGCGTTAATTGTAGAGCATCTATACTTGGGAATCCTAATACACTCTGGAAAATAGCTGAAAAGTTTCTTTGAGATCATGACATTTGAATTGAAATCTCAAGTTCAGGGACTAGAAATGAGGATCTGAACCAAGAGAGGAGCTTTTTCCAGGACAGGAGTTTGGACAATGTGAAGCACTTGAGAAGATGGAAGATGGTGAATGTGAGCTGAGGCGAGTGGAGAGGGAGAGTAGAGGAGACAAGGCAGATAGAGCAGACACTTGATCGTGAGGGACATGGGAGGCCATGCCACGGACTTGACCCTTTCTCTTACCTGTGATGACTCGTCTGAGAGACTTTATGCAGGAGAGCAGCACGATTGCCTTTGGAAATGGCCATCAGGCAGCCATGTGGAGTCTCTATTGCTCAGAAGACAGCAGGACACCACCTGGAAGCAATTCCGAGTAAGACACAGTGCTCAAGACAATGTTCGGATTAACCCTACATTCCACCAATAGGTATCAAGGACTCCCGACGTTTCAGGCATGGCACGGGGATTGGGACAGAGCAGTGGGAAAATGACAAAGGCCCTGCTTTTCATTCTAGTGGGTGTGTCAAGGGCTTAGAAGATCAGTAACAAAGGACAATGTGGGAGAGAAAAGAATGGAACAAAAAAATGACAGGAATGAAAGTAGATCTCTGCGTTTACACTGGGGAAATGTCAAAGTTCTGAGGGGAAAGGAGAAAACAACAGTGAACCCTACTCTGAACCAGTGTCAACAATTAATTAACAAAGTATAGAAATTAGCTGATTTTTTTTTGCATGTGTACCCTGTAAGAACAGGAGAGGAATTTTATTAGAACCCCCTTTTCTAGAGGGATAATGGCCGGGCTGTTCATTTTCTGTGATTTGCAGTTCTGTAAATATATTTATAATGATCATCAACTCTATATCTAGCCTACAGATTCACAACTCAAATATAGTAAATATGGAGCATCTGAAAATGCACAGCTGCTGTGTTTACTAAAGCACTTATTACATAAAAATAATATCTGTTATTCAATTGGGTTCTAAATTTGAACATGATACATACAATTCTGGTTATATTCACTATTGGAGTTAAGGAAAATGAATGAGGTCTACCTAAATTGATATGTGAGAAATTAAAAGCAGAATAAACACCCACCCACAGTGAGTGGCAGATATTCTAATACTTTCTAATGTACTTCATAGAATGTTTACAGAAATACAAATGACTAAGATTCATTTTTGAAGACAATTTTGTGGCTAATGGAAGTAGTTAATTTGTAATGTTTGATAATCTAGAGCTTTGATTAATCTTAGAGCTTCACTAAGTAACTTATAACACAATTATCACACTTATAACAATTCAGTGTTATAAGTTACTTAGTGAACATTTAGGATTCATGATTGACTCTCTTGAAACCATCCTGGATAGTTAATTGTGGAGCCGTTTCTTTTTCCTTGATATTTACATTTCATTAGTTTTCATTTGAGACCATTTAGATTTAACAGTTAACAAAAACCTATTTGCCTTTAACCTCATGTAGGTTAAGTATGTTTTTCATTTGAATAGAGATGTTAAGACATTTTTGTTTTAAATTTATATATTTCATAACTGAAGTATTCTCAGGATATGTCATTAATGAAGGCAACAGGATATATTAAAATAGAATAACATGAAGAAAGGAGGTGTTAACCAATTGATGGCCAAGGAGTACAATTCAGTACCAAAACCTTATCGTTTTCCAATTTATCCTATAGAACTGCTTGAATGATTAAATCACTTAAAAAGTTGCCAAGTATCTTGTGCTGAGGTTCTCAGAGCCCTGATATGGCAGTGAAACACCCGAGTGCAGTTTTTATAGTGAGACACTCGAGTGCAGCTTTTACAGCGAGACACCCGAGTGCAGCTTTTACAGCGAGACACCCGAGTGCAACTTTTATAGTGAGACACCCGAGTGCAACTTTTATAGTGAGACACCCGAGTGCAGCTTTTACAGTGAGACACCTGAGTGCAGTTTCTATAGTGAGACACCCGAGTGCAGCTTTTATAGTGAGACACCTGAGTGCAGTTTCTATAGTGAGATACCCGAGTGCAGCTTTTATAGTGAGACACCTGAGTGCAGTTTCTATAGTGAGATACCCGAGTGCAGCTTTTATAGTGAGACACCCGAGTGCAGCTTTTACAGTGAGACACCCGAGTGCAGCTTTTATGGTGAGACACCCGAGTGCAGTTTCTACAGTGAGACACCTGAGTGCAGCTTCTACAGTGAGACACCCGAGTGCAGTTTCTATAGTGAGACACCCGAGTGCAGCTTTTATAGTGAGACACCCGAGTGCAGCTTTTATAGTGAGACACCCGAGTGCAGTTTCTACAGTGAGACACCTGAGTGCAGCTTCTACAGTGAGACACCCGAGTGCAGTTTCTATAGTGAGATACCCGAGTGCAGCTTTTATAGTGAGACACCCGAGTGCAGCTTTTATAGTGAGACACCCGAGTGCAGTTTCTACAGTGAGACACCTGAGTGCAGCTTCTACAGTGAGACACCCGAGTGCAGTTTCTATAGTGAGATACCCGAGTGCAGCTTTTATAGTGAGATACCCGAGTGCAGCTTTTATAGCGAGACACCCGAGTGCAGCTTTTACAGTGAGACACCCGAGTGCAGCTTTTACAGTGACACACCCGAGTGCAGCTTTTACAGCGAGACACTCGACTGCAGCTTTTACAGTGAGACACCCGAGTGCAGTTTCTATAGTGAGACACCCGAGTGCAGCTTTTACAGTGACACACCCGAGTGCAGCTTTTACAGCGAGACACTCGACTGCAGCTTTTACAGTGAGACACCCGAGTGCAGTTTCTATAGTGAGACACCCGAGTGCAGTTTCTATAGTGAGACACCCGAGTGCAGCTTTTACAGTGAGACACCCGAGTGCAGCTTTTATAGTGAGACACCCGAGTGCAGTTTCTATAGTGAGACACCCGAGTGCAGCTTTTACAGTGACACACCCGAGTGCAGTTTCTACAGTGAGACACCCGAGTGCAGCTTTTACAGTGAGACACCCGAGTGCAGCTTTTACAGTGAGACACCCGAGTGCAGTTTCTACAGTGAGACACCCGAGTGCAGCTTTTACAGCGAGACACCCGAGTGCAGTTTCTATAGTGAGACACCCGAGTGCAGCTTTTACAGCGAGACACCCGAGTGCAGCTTTTACAGTGAGACACCCGAGTGCAGCTTTTATAGTGACACGCCCGAGTGCAGCTTTTACAGCGAGACACCCGAGTGCAGCTTCTATAGTGAGACACCCGAGTGCAGCTTTTACAGCGAGACACCCGAGTGGAGCTTTTACAGTGACACACCCGAGTGCAGTTTCTATAGTGAGACACCCGAGTGCAGCTTTTACAGCGAGACACCCGAGTGCAGTTTTTATAGTGAAACACCTGAAGTCTTATCATAACACAATCAGTCATTTCATTTCGCTTCATGACTAAGTGTTGCCATTTAATTTGGCTCTAGTTCAAAAAGGCTGATTAAGCAACAGTCTATGATTAGCTTGCTGATAACCCAATCTATTTGTGTCACATGTGATTTCAATAGAACAGGATTTTGAATGGAAGAAATAATTTGCTAAGAAAATCTTGACTCAAAACTGGAAAAAATAGACAACATTGTAAGAGGTTTGTGATGGTCATAGAGTGTGGATGAATAGGGAACGTGGGCATGAGGGGCCCACCTCCATAGCGTCCCACCCCTTAGACTGACTGACTTTCCACAGATGTTAATTCACGGAAAATTGTACTGATGCTTATTCAGTTCTTAAAACATGCTTGAGAAAATAATAATAACTAAACATCAAGGATTTCTTTTAAAACTCCTCCATGCACAATTAAAAATATAATTTTGCAAAGCCCTTTCACATCTGGTATGTCTATCATCAGCATTATCTTATATGATCTCAAAGGCAGATTTAATTTCTTTATTTTACAAGTAAGCCAATCAAGGCACATAGATTTTCAAGGATTTACTTCTGATTGACTTTTTTAGAGGGTGTTCTAAAATTATACCACAGTTTCTGAAGTATAATTTTAAGCTTTTTTAAAAACTATATTTCCTAGTGTGATGGATTTATTTTTTAAGACTGCAAATTAAGGTTTCACGTGGCCTTATTCTCCAAATTACATGTTAGATAGATAGTTATTTGTCAACCCAATATCATTGTCTTTTTCTTTTTTATGCATCTGATATAAACAGAATACGTTTCATAATCATATTCTAAAGTCTTGTGGGTAGGGGTGACCCCTGTGTCTGAGTTCTGGCAAATGATCGACGCGCAGAAGCACTGTGTGGACCATCTCTGAGGGCCGCGTCAGTGCTGACTCAGGAAGAGGGGAGCCGTTCTGTGCTTTTCCTGTCCTTCCTTTTCGCTGCCTGGAAAGCAGAATGATAGCAGTGTTTCCAGCAGCTGTCTTGGGCCATGGCACAATCTTGTGAATGAGAGTCACATGCTGAGGGTTGAGGGGAAAAATAAGAATGAAGGGTCTTGTTTCATTCAAATTCATGAAACCTCTGTGTCACCTTTGAGCTGTAATCCGCCTGAATTCTTTTACATGAGAGGATAACTTGGTGTGTTTAAGCCAATATTTGGATTTTCTGTTATATATAGACCACTCCAATCCTAACTGATATTAAACAAGTGTTAGAGTATTAAAGTATTAGAAACATGGATATTAGCCTTTTGGGTGTAAAAGTGTTAATATCACTAAAGTTGGCTTTTACATAGAGGGAAATGGTTTGTTTTTATCTATTCACTAATAAATCAGATGCATATCAATTTTATGTGCTTATCAAATATTCTAAAACAAGCTAAAAATCTTATTAGATGTAAAAAAGTTTTTAGTCTCAATGAGCTGAGCTTATTATTTATTTTAATAAGAATTTTTGGTGGTATGTCTATATAGTGATAATAAATACAACATTTTACCCATAATCCGATGAAAACTGGGATAGTCTATTGCAGAGCAAATTCTGAAACGAGGAAGGCAAATGAGTTATTTCTTTTCCCAAACCTTTAAGTGTGTGACCTTCAACAGGATCTGTGGGCTTTAGTTTTCTCAATAATGAAATCGGAGGGTAAGTCTTAAAAGTGTGTAACTTCACTTTTGGTTTTTAAATTATGGCCAAATAATATTATGAGAAACTTTATATCATATAATCATTAGATTTGAAAGAAAACAGATATTATCGAGTAATAAGATCTAGTCTCTATATTGATTTGATTCTTGTTTAATTTTGCACAGACTATACCTATGGAGGAAATGAAATGGCTTTTGTTGTAGGCAGATATTTATATTATTTTAAACTGCAGGGATTTGCAGTAAATGAGGGATTATAAATATGTACGTGGGAAAAGACTGGATATTAAAAGAAAAAAGAACTACTCAAAGATAAAATGGATGGCAAACATTTTTTTAAAAAAATCTAGCATGCTCGGCCGGGCGCGGTGGCTCACGCCTGTAATCCCAGCACTTTGGGAGGCCGAGGCGGGTGGATCATGAGGTCAGGAGATCGAGACCATCCTGGCTAACAAGGTGAAACCCCGTCTCTACTAAAAATACAAAAAATTAGCCGGGCGCGGTGGCGGGCGCCTGTAGTCCCAGCTACTCGGGAGGCTGAGGCAGGAGAATGGCGGGAACCCGGGAGGCGGAGCTTGCAGTGAGCCGAGATTGCGCCACTGCAGTCCGCAGTCCGGCCTGGGCGACAGAGCAAGACTCCGTCTCAAAAAAAAAAAAAAAAAAAAAAAAAAAAAAAAAAAAAAAAAAAAAAAAAAAAAATCTAGCATGCTCAAGAACATATGTGATAGACAAATCAGAAATCAGGAAAGTCAAGAATGGTGAAGCTTGTAAAAGAAAAGAGAAGGTCCTGTTTAAGAAAAAAAGAGAAGAATGAGTAGTTTCAAGAGCTAGTATATCATCCAAATGAAGCTGCGTGACTCCACCACTGGCTAGGAGTGTGACCTTGTGACAAATACTTAACCTTCCTAAACCTCAGTAGTTTGTTGATGATCATGATCTCTCATGAAAATTCTCTGTGGGACTTGCACAAACTTGATCTTTAAAAACATAGCTCCATTGTTATGAATTTCTCCTAACACTGAAAACAGAAAGGTAAAGAAAGAAGAGTTCTGAATAGGCAAAACAGACAATACACCTATTTTAGGAGATAAAATTTACATTTGCTTATAAAACCCCCATTCTTTATTAAACAGCCTTGTGTGGCCAATTTCCATATTTTTCCAGTTCACCAGCTTTCCCACTTCATTGAATTTGTCAAAATGTAAATGCAAGAAAAATTGTTTTGTTTAACTCAAATCCAGTTAATGAGAAATACCATGTAAGAATAAAGGATATAAATTTACCTATAATATTGAAAATCCAACAATCACATATCATCCTGCTTTGGTTCTTGTAAAATGTATTTTCAAAAATCATTGTGGAAAACCATTTACATTATTTCTAGTGAATTCATAAGTCACTCAACAATCAGGCAATTATCTGCATTGCAGAAAAATTACAATATGATAAAGCATATACCGAACAGAGGTGAATAGCACTTCATTTCAAGGTTCTCAAACACAAATGCTCATAAAATATTGTGGGATTTGTAGTATAGGAAGCTACAAAAATTGAAATGCAAATGTATAAGAAAGCAGAACTAAGGAAATCACATGGTTATACAAAGATGGGTGACACAGTTTAGGCGTTTGCTTTCTTTCTTTGTATTTTATTAAAAGTTCCAAAATGGACTAATTTCCCACTAAAGCCAAACCCAGTTCATTTTACAGATGAACTCTTTAAAATGAAAGATAAATAGTAAACCATTCTCTCAGAATTCCATCCTGCAGAGGCTCTGAGCACCAACTATCTGTCTGAGGTACACTTTAGTTTTTAAGTTGAGTTAAAAGTAATAAAAAAATGTGAGAGTCTTTAGACAATGGCACATTAATGGAGTTGCTGGAATGGTCTGAGAAATGCAGAACTCTGAATAATGTTTATTATTATTTTTGAAGGTTTTTATCTTGTTTTGTTTCATTCTGTTTTTGCTAAAAGCTGGGGCTTCCACGAATGACTTTAGGAAAGTTGGAACTGAATTATTTATGCTAAAAATGAGAATCTGAAGTTTAAATGTGAATAACTTGTATAACAACATCCAAGGCCATAGGATTCAGAAAAACAATGAGGTCATCTCAATAACTCAAACTGTTAGGAAGCATTTTTTTTCCATTTTTACCGTAATAGTTTCGGGGAGAACATGCTGCCTGATTAAGCTTGATGGTTAAAGCACATTTCCAAAAGCACTTTCGTAAGTAACATACATACTTAGCAGAATCTAAAAGACAGGTAATCACTTTAAAATTTTTTCTAATGAATGCCCTGTGTTCAAATCCTTTGTTTTCACAGGATTGGGCTTGTTGTTGTTGTTTTTGTTATTCATTGCCTGGAATACCTTTGCTATGAATCAAAGCAAGTGCCATGAGAATGGCTGAGTTCAGCTGGAGAGGAGCCCACTCAGTGGGTTTCCATGTGAATAATCATGCTCTTGCAGCCTTTGGGAGGTCATTTGCTGCAGGAGATTCTAAAATGAACCTGCTATGGAAATCAGAGGAGGGAGTGTGGCCTCCATCTTCTGTAATGAAAAGTATATACATCCTCAGGGTCATTACATTCTATGGGGACAGGGCAGGAAACTAAAAAAACAAGCAAAGGTGCCAGCAAATACAGTGGAGATAAACTCTGTTGTTCTTCTTTGTCTTTGTTTGGCAACACTACCAGATTTGAAGAATTGAACAAAAGTACTAGCTTATATAGGAATAAAATAACATTTTGCCTTTGCTAGGTTCTATTTTTCTTTAGAGCCACTTAACCAGATACAGCATAGTAAATACAGCAGTTCAAGGGGAAGATGGTAAAATAAAGGACAACAACAAAACTCCGAATATTTGCAGCTTATTAAATGGCACATTTTGAAAAGTGTGGCTTAGAAGATATCCAAGAAATTAACTTTTTCCGTGTGGTGACACATGTCTGACAATGTTGCAGCATTATATATGGTTTGGGTTACCTGTATCTATTCATTTTTAAATGTGTAGAGCATTTCCTAGAAGCAAGCAGGCTTGCTAGATTCTTAATAAATATTAACTCATTTAATCATCTTAAGAGTTCTCTGGAATAGACATTATTATTGGTAGTGTTATTCCCTTTTAACTTATAGAAAAACAGAGAGTCAGAGAAGTTACTTAAGTTTATGGATTATTACTGAGTGATATCTCATTATTTGAGAATTATATACAACATTTGTCTATATTGAAATAAGAGGTTTATATTTAATAGTTATTTGTTTATGAGATCATAGCAAAATTCAAAATCAGTTATTCTCTCGTGTGAAATGCTTTAAACATGAGCATAAATATATTTGTTAATATAGGAAGTTAAGGTCAACGTGATGAAATTGTTTTACAACATTTTGCTGGATGGCTTAATTTTCTTTAACTTACATTGTTTTTAATGGAAAACTTAAAAATGTCAGGTTGCTGAATCATGCGGAGGCAATCTTCATAAAATGCCTGAAGGTGATTGCTAAAAAAAAGCCGAAGCGGTGATGGTATAGTTTATGCTAAAAAAAAAAAAAAAAAAAAAAAGCAGAAGGTGACCAGAGAATAGTTCCAGAAGACAGGATATTGTACATAGGTTGCAAAAACGCATTTCTCTCGAAGATGAATCTGCATGTAGTAAAACAGACCAGTGCGTTGTCAAGGATGTGGAGCAAACAGAACTCCCATACACTGCTGATGGGAGTGTACAATGCACAACCACTCAGGAAAACTGGCAATTCCTTACAAAATTAAACATGCACTTACTCTTTGTCGTAGCAATTCCGCCTCTAGGCATTTATCCAGCAGATATGAAAACGCATGCACAAAAAGGTGTGTATTTAAGGGTTGACAGAGCTTTATTCCTAATATCTGAGCACTGCAAAACTCTATTGTCAATCCATAGATAGGTGAATTTTTTTAAAAAGTTCATTCAGACAATGAAATACTGCTTTCCAATGAATAGAACTGACAACTGACATATATAACCACAGGAAAGAATCTCAAAACATATTTCTAACTGATGGGACTAAGACACACAAAAAGTCATATCATAGGATTGCACAGATATGAAATACTGGAACAGGCAGAATGATAGTGACAGGGAACAGATAGGTAGTTCCCTGGGATCAAAATAAAACTTTGTGGGGTGATTGAAATATCCTTTATCTTGACTGGGAGTTATGTAAGTATATATTTTATCAAAACTCATTGAACTGTATACTTACAATGGGTACATTATTTTGCATGTATAGATCTAAAAAGGAAAAAGTACTAATACCGCGTTTTATATTCTAACAATTTATCAATAAGAGTAAATTACTCTTATTTAGGGAGACCTAAAGTGATGAAAAGAAACTGAGTAAGCAAAAGTCAAACCAGGAATTCAGACTTAAATATTACCATAATAGAATTAACAGAGTGATTTTTGTCTAAAATTCTCTGGACTCTATCCTTTATCTGTATATTTTATTGTGTAGTCAAAAATATTTAAAAAGCTAAAATCATTATTTTTATTTTCTCAAACATGGTGAATGTAAAACTACTCTGAGTTTCTTTAATTTTCACGACAAATGAAAGGTTAAGCCACTCTTTCTGGAAGGCCACACCAAAGCTTCATGAATGATTCTAAGTGACAACGACCAGGGTAAAATAAAGCACTTCGAATATAAGACTACAGTTATGATAGGCCTTAAAATCTCAAATTCTTAACAACAGAAACTGCACAATCTCCATTAGTTAAAAGGACGCGCGTGTGCTATACACCACCTTCTTAGAGCAGGCAATGAAACAGGAAGAAATGGGCAAATTCAATGTTTTAGTAGGCGGTTTGTGATAATATTGATGATTTTAACATACTGATGTTCCTTAATGCATATTCTGCCAAATAAGTCATTATCACAGCTCTCCAATGAAGAGGAAGTTTTAGTAAAAGCAAATAGGCGTTAGGATAGCTGAAAACTCACTAACTACTGCTATTTAAATAGAGAAATATAGTGCTATTATAAAAAGTATTTGCTATCTTCTTTAAATGTTCTCCAATGAGATTAGACTTCTGTAGAGAAAATGTGCTACAATAAAAGTGTGAAGCATGAGGCTGATGTTGATGGAGGAAATTCAGTGCTAGGTTAGCAGCAGAGAAGTTAAGCTATTAAAACACGTGTGTTCACACCACAGCCAGCGAAATTTCTTAATGGTTGCTGTATGGACACCATGGCAGCATTCTTCCCTAATGGAGCGCTGCGTGTTCAGCCGATCAATCAACCTCGCTTTTTATCTGATGTTTGCAGGCTTTTTACTAAAATAGAAAAGAGGCTCTTACTGCCTGCAGGAAGTTTGAAATTGAATGGAGGAATTGGAGGCAAATAGATTGAATCATATTGAAAGAGGTACAAAGTCATCTTCTCACAGGTGAACTTTCTTCTAGAAACACGTTAATAATCCACTTGACAAATTGCTTTCAGTCGCAATTCTGTGCTATTTATCACCATCATGACCAGTCTCTCTTGGTTTAGTTTAGTCTGGTAGTAGTTTAACGAGTAAGAACTATTTTGAAGGTAGATTAATAATTTGAAAAGTAAGTTATCATGTTGAAAGAATGAAATGTAATTCCAAAGTGAAATACAACCAACGGAATGATCATGGGGCAGTTCTTCCCTCTGACTGTGAATTGAGCTAAACGCATGTCAGGTATGAAGAATGCTAGAGTGATGCATGGCCCAGCTAGAAATAGAGGCAAATGCATGCAATTGAGATTTCCAAACTCTCCTCTCCACTTTTCCATTACCACCTTCTGGACTTGTTTTCCATTTATTAAATATAATCATTAAGTGAGTCCCTTCCTTCCTTCCTTCCTTCTTTCCTTCCTTTTTGACAGAGCTTTGCTCTGTCGCCAGGCTGGAGTGTAGTGGCGTGATCTCTGCTCACTGCAACCTCCGACTCCCTGGTTCAAGCAATTTTCCTGCCTCAGCCTCATGAGTAGCTGGGATTACAGGTGTGTACCACCACGCCTGGCTAATTTTTGTATTTTTAGTAGACACGGGGTTTCACCATGTTGGCCAGGTTGGTCTCGATCTCCTGACCTTGTGATCCGCCCACCTCGGCCTCCCAAAGTGCTGGGATTACAGTCGTGAGCCAATGCACCCAGCCATTTGTGCTTTCTCTGTTTTGGGTGACCATATAAATTATGATCCAAACTGTGACATTTCTGAAACAGACAGGGGTACTAATCAAAGGGGACATTAGGACAATACATAATAGACCTGCAGTGTTCTGGGCAGATCAGGTTGTGAGGTCATGCCACCTTCAGTCCTTGTTTTAGGCATCATAAACATGCCCATTGCTTTAACTCTCAGCTCTTTGAAGATGACTCCTAAATGCATGTCTTATATCAAGCTCAACTCTTTTTGATACTACTAACCTACTCAAAAACTTACAAAGGTTCCCCATTGCCATACTGTGTCATTCAAGACTCTCTTAGATAACCCAGATGATATTTCCAAAAGCAAATTCATTCCTCTGCACTCCCTGAGGCATAACTTAGAGTCATTCAATCAAACTGAATTGACTCATTATTTCATAATTTAACTATTTATTGCCCAGAAGTGTATTGTTTCCTCTACCTAGAATTTACTCTTCCATCTCCTATTTCTATTTTTATTCACATGAAATTAATTTTAATTTTTAAGCATCTCCTTGAATTCTAGATACGTAACTTTTTTTTGATATGACTTCTCCAACATGAGCAAACAAGAATGAGTTCTCTACCTCTCTTAAATTTGATTATAATTTTTACATTACTACTTCACCTGTGTTTTCTTTTACTGGTGTTTTATACTAATGTATGAAATTTGTTAACTTTTATGCAAAATTATAGCCTCTTTGAGAACTATAGATTTCATCTTATGTATTACTGTTTCCATAGTAGCTTGTTTTGGTTGGGGTTGTAGCAGATATTCAGTAAAAATATATTGATCGCCCAAGCGCAAGAAAGAGAGAGAGATCAACTTACAAAACAGCCATAACCTTGAATTATAGGTGCATCATTAGGAGTGCATCATTTTACTGGAATTAATAGTAATTATTTGCGACATTATTTGTTGTGATTTTTTTTTCTGTTCTGTATAAATAACTGAATTATGTGACTTTGGTTTTTGAAATGGTTCATGACCAGATCTAGAAACAAATCCTCCTTCTGTCATCCAAAGGTAGGCTTTCAATATTTCTTAGACCCTGAGGAAAAGTATACTCATTCATGTAGACAAAAATTTTTCATGACTGAAGCTTAAGTTTTTATATTTCTTTAGAGTTAGGTAAGTGTTTTATGTGACTCAGAAAATGGCTAAAACTACAAAATTAAATTATATTAAATTAAAATTAAATTATAAAGACTTGTCAATTTATAAAAAGTAACTCATTCAAAATATAGAACAAAATTTTATCTTCCACATAAAATATATTCCTAAAATCCTCTCATTTTAAATTGTTTATCTGAGTGAATTTTTCCAAATTTGTAAGGGTTTCAAATTCATTTTGTGAAGTTATCCAATGTTTAATTTTATCTTTCAGAGGTGAAAAGTTTCTATTGGAGCCACATTAAATTTTAAAGTTTCTCAGCTTATATCACACCTTTTAGGGTACTGCATGTAAAGTTGTACTCAAATAAATAT
This sequence comes from Homo sapiens, assembly GCF_000001405.40. NCBI lineage: Eukaryota > Metazoa > Chordata > Mammalia > Primates > Hominidae > Homo > Homo sapiens. The sequence continues at coordinate 189,041,549 of NC_000004.12, read as the reverse complement.
CTGTTGCATAAATCCAGTTTTGCTTTTTCTCCAAAATTCTTACCTGGAGCATAAATTGCTGTTGTCTGACGCTAGAATTAGAAGTTTGTGCAGATTTAGTATTAAACCTCTGTCTGTAGTGGCTCATTAAGATTGCTTTTCAGTATTTGCAAAATTATACAATCTCAAAGAACTATGTTCTCTCTAGAGAGTAAAACTTTATTTTAGCAAGTCACTTCAAAGCATCTCATGGAATTCCTACAGAAAAATGATGATATATGGACTGTCCGTGGCATGAAAATAGGGCTCCAAACTTGGAGTAGATTCTTGTTTGTTTGAATGAATGTTTCCTGGCATGTGGAGTTTATCAGCCTGTCACACAAGAAAGACTCAGGGTAGCATTCCACTCTTCCCATTTACCGGCTGTGTGGCATCTGTGATGGGCTCACTGTCCCCTCAAAATTCAGATATTGAAGTTCTAACCCCTAGTACTTCAGAATACAGCCTATTTTGGAGATACAGTCTTAAATTGCACAATAAAGTTTAATTCAAGTCTTTAGGATGGGCCTTAATCCAATCTGACTGGTGTCTTTATAAGAAGAAGAAATTTGTACACCAGAAATGTCCTTGCACAGAGGAAAGATCTTGTAAAGAGACAGAGGGAGAGTGGACATCTGCAAGCCAAAGAGAGGGGCCTCAGAGGGAACCTACCTTGCCAACCTCTTGATCTTGGACTTCCACCATCCAGAGCTGTGCTGACATAACCTGCTTTTGTTTAGGCCGCCCAGTCTCTGGTACTTCGTTACGGTAGCCCCAGCAAAGGAACATGGCCTCTGACTCTCCACCACCATTGGTTGGCTCAACAGACACAGCCTCCTGCTCCCCACCTTAATGGGACTGACAGCTCCATGAAGTCCCTCAGGCCCCTCTGGAGAGCCCATCGTCTCATTGCCAGAGAGGCCACCTGGATAGTGTAGCTCATAGACTGCTCTGCTTCCCCACGTCCCAGACGAAGGGCTCTTCTATGCATGGCCTTATTTCTCATCTCACTAACAATATGGAAGAGCAGATCTCAAATGTAATGCAAGGCATGGGAAAAGTTTAACATGGAGAAAATGTGACATTTGATTCTGCTTTTATCATTATATAAAGTGGACAGAGTCCTTTTCATGACGATTTGGAGGCTGCTTGGAATGCTGAGAAGTGCTTCTCCCCCTGTGCTGATGTATCACCTCCCAGCATGGCTCAGTAGCAGAATACCAAGGAATCCATCCAAAGGATTCCCTTGATCTCCACCTCAGTGTCTTCCAGGCCAAGCTGCTGTGCCAGCACTGTAATGAGAGGGACTGGCCCCATAACACCGTGGGGGGACAACCCAATTGGCTTTGTGAGACAGAAGTGATCCACTGATGGGGAAATCCCATTTGTGATGTTTCTCACTATCTCTGTGTAACACGGTTCATGAAGGCAAGGCAGCCATGCTTATTTTGTTCTTTGAAATTCCTTCATGACACTCATTAGAACATTCTGCACAAAAAACACAGTTTAAATCCTGGCTACATATTCACCTTGGGGTGTGTACAGGGTAAGTAATGAGTCAATGACTAGAAATTCCCTACCCTCTGTTCAACTTTTAAAAATTATTTTAATTTAGGTACAGTTGTATACTATTTTAGTATACGTTTTTTTATTTTCAAAGTGCTTTTTTTTTTTTTTTTGAGATGGAGTCTCGCTCTTGTCGCCCAGGCTGTAATGCAGTGGCATGACCTCAGCTCACTGCAACCTCTGCCTCCCGGGTGCAAGAGATTCTCCCACCTCAGCCTCCCAAGTAGCTGGGATTACAGGCAACCACCAGCATGCCTGGCTAAATTTTGTATTTTTAGTAGAGACAGGGTTTCTCCATTTTGGCCAGGCTGGTCTTGAACTCCAGACCTCATGTGATCCACCTGCCTCAGCCTCCCAAAGTGCTGGGATTACAGGTGTGAGTCACTGTGCCCAGCCCTACTTCAACATGTCCTTTATCTCTGTTGCCATTCACTGAGCATGTATTTATGGAAGGCTGAGATACACCTGATGCTACTTCTTAGATATTTTAGCTTATTTTTAAGGTACTCTAGTCTGTTCACCTATTATGAAAACTGAATGCTGTCCTTAGGGATCTTACAGTCTAGTACAGGTGAGAATTCATGCATATAAATAAGTATAACAAAAACTACGGAATCCAGGGGTTTGCTTTGGACAAGTCGAACACACATTTTCACTGTTGCCTTTTTCTATATTCAAAAACCAGCAGGAAAGAGGGCCCCGCTAAAAATAAGATCATCACAAACAGGAAAGTGTTATTTCCCATTTTCTTTCAGTGCCTTGTATTATAAGGGAGTAGGATCTGGGGGTAGATGCTTATGTAACACAACACCTTAATGCATTTTCTCCTGTGCTAATGTTATGTCTGGAACCTGTCAGGGATAAGCAGCAGAAAAAAATTGCTTAGCAGGAGAAAATAACAGAAATGTGGAGGCTGAGGATTGATTGGTACCTAGAAAGGGGCAAAGAAATTCTCCCCTCAACAGTGAAAACTGAAGGCTTTGGTGATGAACGAGGACTAGGATAAATGATCTCTTGCAGGTAAATCGCCCAGGAATTTCTAGGACTGCAGTATTCCAATTTCAGCAGTTAGTGGAAGATTCACATTCAGAAACCCTTCTTATTAAATCAAAGTTTCGAAAAATCTTTTCTGGTACTCTGTCTTCTTAGTAGTGGGCCTTTTGAGGAATGAAGGAATATGAGATCTAGTATATTGGGACATTGTACAGAAAAAGACCACAGCAGGCATTAGAAATGAGACAAAGTAAGGATCAGTAATGTAGGGACAATGGAAAACCATAATAGAAGGAAAGAGTTTTTATCCAAAATATGTAATGTATATCCCAGTCCCCAGCTCAAACCCTTACAAAGACTCTCAGAGGTAGTGGAAGTAAAAATAGATTTCCCTCTAATTATGAAACAAGGGTCTCTCAAGACATGGAACCTTGTTATGAGAGTGGAGGACAACCCAGCTGCTTTTGGGGAAAGGTGAGATGTGAAAATGAGTATCTGGCTTACAGTCAGAAGTGACCTCAGAGAGACTGAAACTGAGCTGAGGGTCTATTCAAGTAGGGAAGGACTGAAGTAGGCAGTTAATAGTGTGTTCTCAGGGATCGTGAGCTGTGGATGCTGCCACACGCGACATTCACTCGAAATCTTCATTCCTTTTCGGAAATATTATTCTCATCTATTTTTTAAAACTCATTTTTTCCAGTTAAGATACTTATTTTTCTCTGGCATTGTTGCCAACTGTTATAATTTCATCAGCTTCAATCTATGTAAAATATTTTCTTCTTCATAGACACATAGACAACAAGTTATTTTGTCCCAAATGGACAAATGCAGATAACAAAGTTTCAAAATTCAATATTATATAAATATTGTAATCAGCGAGTCGTGCACATAGTTCGTTGCATCGGTTATTTGGCTTCTCCGTTCTGGCGTTGCTGTTGTTGTTGTTGTTTGTTGTTGTTGTTTTTGACGGAGTCTCGCTCTGCCGCCCAGGCTGGAGTGCGGTGGCGGGATCTCGGCTCACTGCAACCTCCGCCTCCCGGGTTCCCGCCATTCTCCTGCCTCAGCCTCCCGAGTAGCTGGGACCCGCCACCACGCCCGGCTAATTTTTTGTATTTTTAGTAGAGACGGGGTTTCACGGTGTTAGCCAGGATGGTCTCGATCTCCTGACCTCGTGATCCGCCCGCCTCGGCCTCCCAAAGTGCTGGGATTACAGGCGTGAGCCCCCGCGCCTGACCCATTCTGGCTTTTTTACCTGGTCTTCATATTTACATAAGTTAGGATTGCCTAGAAGGGACTGAAGCCACTGACCACATTTAGCACAGTAGAATATATATGGCCAAATATAATGAAGACAAATATATAAAAACAGGCATTATTTGGGTACTTCAGAGAAAGGGGCTCTGTCAACATCAAAGTATTGTCCAGTGTTATTCTCTCAGCATCTCCATATGTCCTTGTACTTTCCCATATGACAAGGATCCTTAAAAAAAATCAGTCTCCAATAAGTGTAGATGTAGTTCATGAGTAACTTTATGATCTTATAAAATATTTTAGTTCCTACTATTGGCAGGCCTTATGTCGTGTCTATATTTCCTCTGCACGACATACACAATACTCAGAGATAGATGCTATCACACTTATATTTTACTTATAAGGAAATAGAAGCACTGAAAGGCTAAGTCACTTGCCCAAGCTGTCACCTAGCGAAGAGTGGATTCATACTTGAACACAGGTAGTCTAACTGCCCAGTTCACATTTTTATCCGCCATCCTTGGTAGCCAGAGAAGTATGCATTATTACACATTTATTTTCAGAAGCAATGCTGTCCATCCATATCGTTGCATGCACACTGATCAAGTGCGTGTCACTGTTCTCTGGACTGGTGATCTAAAGATGGGTCCTGGTCACACAGCGGGGCACTCTCTACCCTTTCTCCTAAGCAGTTATTCTGGTCAAGACAATCAACTCTGCTCCTACTAAAAGGCTGACTCGGGAGACTCAGTGGCTCAGTAAGAGAGCATGTGCCTCACCTAAAGGCAAAATGGTTCAGGAATGTGTCTGCTTCTATGCATATTAACTAGTTGCAGCATGAACTGGAACATTTATTAATTAATTGCAGTTCTTAAAGTGGATAGGTTTTTGCCCTACTACTGATGTCCTTCCCTTTACTAACTTTGCCCCTGGGAAGGGAGAGTGATGGCCTTACTGAAAAATTTCAGAAAACTGAATACTCTGTTCAGCCCTCTCATCCATTCTTTGCTAAGTGAATTGCTGCTTGATGCCGGGCTGGGCTGTTTATTTAGAAACTGCACTCCTTGGGAGATGGAGGGCTTCTGGGATGGGAAGGGGGAAGCCCGTTTAGCTCTGAGATTCAGTGTTAGCAAAACAATGTGGCCAATAGGCCTCTATTGCATCCTCCCACGTGGTCTCATCTCGCTCAGTCCATGGAGCAGAAAAGAAGGTATTTTTGTTTAGGGTGCCATATACAAACACAATCACTAATTAGATAAAATTCTATTCTCCAACAGGAAGCAAACAAGTTGTGAGTATCCAGGCCATTATTATCTAGGAAACCATGTAAACATACTCTAATAGTTGTCACTGTGAAATAAATATATGTGTGTGTGTCTTAGGTTATGCTGCCACGCGTAGACTGCCTACAGTCTTAGGCTATGCTGCCCCGCGTAGACTGCCTACAGTCTTAGGCTATGCTGCCCCGCGTAGACTGCCTACAGTCTTAGGCTATGCTGCCCCGCGTAGACTGCCTACAGTCTTAGGCTATGCTGCCCCGCGTAGACTGCCTACAGTCTTAGGCTATGCTGCCCCGCGTAGACTGCCTACAGTCTTAGGCTATGCTGCCCCGCGTAGACTGCCTACAGTCTTAGGTTATGCTGCCACGTGTAGACTGTCTACAGTGCTTGGCTGGGTCAGGGCACTGGGCTGCCAATAACTGAAAGAGATTTAGGCTAATTGGAGAAAAGCAATTTATTGAAAAGCTTCACGGAATTCGCAGAATGAATGGAAGGCTGCCCAGAGCAGGTATAAGAATGACAGGAATCCAGAAGTTGCAGAAAGACTAGAAGCAGGTATCAGGAAGGAAAACGGCCGTCTTCAAGCCAAAGCGGCCCGGACTGGAGGCTGAGCGCCTAACGCAGTGAGTGCCACCAGCGGGATGGGGAACTTCTGGCCGTTCTGTGAATTCTTGCAGCGCTTGCTCTAGATGCGAAGGCACGCGCGTATTTCCTGAGGGATTCTGGAACGCGGAGAGGAAGGTCTCGATCCTTGACTTTGTATGGAAGGCGGTACTTCCAAGTTTTCCTCCATTTCCTCTATACGCAATGGGGCGACCATCACTGCTCAAAGAGACAGAGACACCATTGGAGAGAAAGAGCAGGAGATGGGAAAACACCATAGACGCCATCTATTGCTCTGGACATAAAAAGCCCCTGGTCTGGCAGGTGTTGCAGCTTTTCAAATTATAGTACACATAGTCCAAAAGAATAGTGCACACTGAAAATGTCCTAGGCAAGGAAGGGAAGGAAATGCCGGTGGAGCCTGGAATAACTGGATAGAGGTTAACAGAGGATGTCAGGAGCGGGTGGACCTTGAAGGATGGTAGGAGCTGAGTAACTGGAGAATGAGGTGGGCACGATCCAGGGAGAGGGGTGTGTGGGCGTGTGGAGACGGGCAGGGGACGGGTGTGCAGAGTGGAGGTGGGCACTGGAAGGGGCTGCGGGCTCCTCATCCCGCACCGTGACAGATCAGCTGGGAGCCCTCCACGGGGAGCTGCCTGTGGAAACCCGCGTCTTCCGCAAGGAGGATTTTGATTTATTGGTTTAAAGGAAGCCAGTGCAGGCTCCTGAGCATCCGTGTCCCAGTGGCCCAACATCCCGCTTGTTTGACGTTTAAGATCAGAACAGCAGAGGCTGCTCAGAGGCCTGAGAACCTCGGATGTCATTAGTTTTCCTTCCAGCTACTGTTAAGAGGCTCCCTTGTACCTAGTATTTCTTTGTCTTTGGAAATCTTATTTATGCTTCTCTTTGTTTCCTATTTTCCTTCCAATTTAAACAAAAAAAATCTATTTTCCCCACATTTAAAATGATTTTTTAAAAATGCTTTGTTCCATCATATCATGAGAAACAAACTTATTTTGATTTTTTCCTAATGCAAACTAGTTTTAATTTGGAGTTGGGAAATATCTTTGCTACCAGAGGCAATAACAGCATGAGCAAGTCAGCCGCGACACCTCTGGGCACCCTAAGGTTTGAACAAACACTAAGTTGTGAATCCACCTTGGATGTGAGTGTATTTAAGTACAACTTTCTTATTTTAGTTTTAAAATAAGCATTTATTTTCTCGCCTGCCTTACTTTATGAAACATTTTTTACAGCTTATCTTTCTTTAAAATCTTTGATACATTTGGCTGATTTTGTTCTAGGTGAGGATCAATATGGATCTATGAACTTAAAAAAAAAAGGGAGAGAGATGTGGAGTTAAAACAACAACAAAAACATCACTCTTCAGTGGCTGCCACAACTCCTGCTTCTGCTTTCCCATTCGCTGCCAAGGACAGGCAACCTCAGCGATGTACCGAGTGAGACGCTGGGCAGGCGTGAAAGGTACAGTGGGAACGCTGGGACCGATGGTGTGGGGAAGGACAGGAATGAACCGTGCCTCCAATGAAGAGAGCACCGTCGCACGCCTGCCCCTTTGCAGTGTGACGTTGCTGTTGTGACATTGCTGTTCCTATAACCAGCAGGTGAGGTGTGTTCTTCAGCTCCTTGAAACCAGGCAGACCTTTTGATATGCTGAGACCAGTAGCATGTGGTGGAAGGGCCATGTGGAGAAGAGTCAGGTGCCTCAAACAACAGACAGCACAGACTGCCAGAGGAGCGAGTGAAGCCAGCCCGGACGCTCTACTTACTGCAAGCCATCAGGTCACTGCAGCTGCATGTGTGAACCCAAGTTAGACCAGCAGGACTGCCTGGATTGCCAGTGCGTAAAATTATGCAAAAGAACCAATGATTGCTGTTTTATGCCACGATTTTGGAGGACCTTGTAACAAGAACAATAAATAACTGACACAGGTGTTCAAGGCTGCAGTGAGCTATAACTGCACCACCGCAGTCCAACCTGGGTGACAGAGCAAGGGAGCCTGTCTCAAAAAAATAAAATAAATTACTGACATATGCTTATTATTTTTAAAATAATTTTCTTTTGACTTAATTCTTCAGTTCAGCTTGCTTATATGGATAATATCAAAATGAATCACTTTAATTTTCTACTATGGATTATAGTTAAGAGCTTGTCAAAAATAGACCAGATACCTCTACAACAGCAGCATTTATTCAGGTCATGGTACCTGCATGGGCAACTGAGATCCATCGTCTGGTCCCAGGTTTTGTATGTCAGGTTACAGGACGGATTCACAACATTCAATCTCACAAAACATTAACGTTCTATTTAGAATGGTCCATTTCTTAAAAATTAAAGTAATGCTGCAACGTAGGCAAGATTTTTCATCTCTTCAGCAGAAAACCCTGACCTATGTTGGTAACCTAAATGAAAAGTGAAAATATTTCGAGATATAAATGATAATTTGGATGCTATTATACTATCACAGGATCCTGATGCCCCTTATCAGTGATAAACAATGGAACCTGATAGTGCATCCCAGCAGATAGGACCTCTTCCACACTGCACAGTGTTAGAGATGCAACGAGAGGCTCCAGGCCAGGTGCAGTGGCTCAAACCTGTAATCTCAGCAGTTTGGGAGGCTGAGGTGGGTGGATTGCTTTAGGCCAGGAGCTTGAGATGGGCGTGGCCAACATAGTGAAACCCCGTCTCTACTAAAAATACAAAACTTGGCCCAGTGTAGTGGCACGCGCCTGTAGTCCCAGTGACTCAGGAAGCTGAGGCACAAGAATCGCTTGAACCCAGGAGGCAGAATCTATAGTGAGCCGTGATCATGCCACTGCACTCCAGCCTGGGCAACAGAATGAGACTCCATTTCAAAAAAAAAAAAAAAAATAGACTCTAGTGCTGGTATTCTAATTTCTAAGACTCCATATGGAAATATGGAAATACCTGTTGAGAGACACCAGCATTATATCACGCTGACATCATTGCATTGTGATCCGTTTTTCCTGGCTCTGCACTCTTGATGGAGACTTGAGAAAACTCGCTGGCAGCACATTTCTCAACATTCATATTTTTGCTTAGGTTAGTACTTTACCAATCTTATCCCCAAATTGTGGCAGATCACTCTGTCCCTACTATGTCTCCAGGAAAGCAGCAGAAATCTCTCAGCCATTTTTATATCTTTGGCACATCTTCAAAGTTGATATAATTATTTGCATTCTTTCTGATTACGTGAAAACCGAGGCCTTATTTGTTATATTAAGAGTTCAAGTTCCTTAATAGTAATACTTTGGCTCATTGTTTTCTTATGAAAATATAGCTATAACATCATTTTAAAAGAGATGGGACTTAGAAAGATTCCGCTCTACTGATTTTACAGCTGTTTGGTGCAATACATAATTACTGGGTAGCTTTACTCCAGTGGGAAAATGATGCTCCAGATACTGCATTAAGCATTTTTCCTCACAATGAATGCCTAGTTTACTTTTGCACATTCTCAAATTTATATACTTCTCCCTCTTCTATTCCCATCAATAAGGCCTTTCCAGCAACTCTCCTCCTACTCCCTTTACCAAAACAAACACAAATAAATAAAATAATCAGTCAAAAGGAGGCAGGCATGAGGGTACTTTGTCAGTATTGTTATCACCTGGAGTATTAGTAAACTGCCTCAGTGGTGTGCGAGATTTCTTTCAAACCTTTGTATTTTTAAGTGGGACATGTAATTATATCACGAAAATGAGAACGGAAACAAAATTAAAGTTTTATGCTATCATTATTAATCATTCTAGTCATAATATTTAATTTTCTGTCCCCTATGACATGTATAATAACTAAGGAAATATGCCCCATTTAAAGGATTGAAGCCAGTATCCTCCATCATTTGAGGGGAATTTCCAGCCAAAATGTTTGATTGGCACTCATGAGGACAGGTGCGACCCTGCACCTGGGTCACTAGTTAATTCCTCTGGATACTTGTTTGGGTCAAAATGAGCTCAAGTGAGTAACAGGCACAAAGCCTTCGCTTTCTGTCTCGACCCAACAAGGACCTGTACAGAAGATGAGTTTTCTCATCAGCCCATTCCCAAGTATCCCACATATTCAATGAGCCAGCAGGTCATCTCCTGTTCAGCAGTTGAAAATCACCTCCGATTCAGCTGACACACAGGAAGTCCATCAATGTCCATTAGCCCAGAACAAGCGTGTCGGTCACAGCAGCTGTCAGTCTAGGCCAAAGAGGTCCTGTCAGGGCCATTGTTATTTTTGTCCTGAAGTTAGGTATGAAAGTTATGGTCATGGCAGGTTTTAATTATTTGTGTCAACAAAGACAATGGACAGTCACCCAAACTCAATAACTCTGTATTTTAAAAGCTGTAAAGAAAAGCACATGTGATAAGCTTATCAATATTTCTGATATATTATTCAGGTACTTTGGTCCTTGTGTGTCTCTGATTAGGTGTCGGCTTTTAGATTAGATGGATTGGATTGATTATGGCTTTTGAAAATTGTTATTTATATTTAGATATCTCTATATTGGACACGTAGTTGTTTGGAGAAATGAGTCTAATACCCATGTTGAAAGCAGAAACGGGATATAACGTTTTTGTTCTGTTTCTATGATCTTTTTATGAACAAGAATGTTACGCCAACTCTATTTTTTTGGAGATAAATGGGTATATGAAAATAACACCTTCAGCACGTATTGCCTAACACTCATTTGTAATTATCACGTATAATGCCTGGTTGATTACGGTTTTAACGTCTTTGCATATTGTAAGCCCCCAATGATGCTGTGACCTACTTGGATGCAGAGCCTCTTTCACTGTGTCATTATGCCTCCAATAATACAACTAACATGAATAGTAAAGAGCAATAAATAGATAGCTCCCATCCATTGAGCTCTTAGTTGCTCGTGGCTTAATGCTAAACACTTCCCATATGTATCTTAACCCTGAAAATCATTCCATGAGGCAGCAATTATTTGTGTCTTTACAGACAATGGAACAGAAGTGTATGTAATTACTAACTTGCTTATGCTTATATTTTGCTAAAAGAAAAGGTTCTCTCCCCCTTTTAGGTGCATTTGCAAGGCAGCTCTTCGGAACAAGGCACAGGCGTTCTATTTTTTTATTATTAGTAGCAGCAGCAACTGCTGCAACAGCAGTAGCCTTAGTAGCAGTTTGCTGTTTATAATCTCCTTTCTCAATTGGATTGTTTGCATCTTGAGGTCCTCTTGCTCATATTTGTATTCTTAACATCCATGAGCCACCTCTCAGGTACCACTAATACAATGTCGAGGAATAAATGGGGAGAATTGTTATGATCTTGAGCCTCGCTCCTAGAGGATCACTTCTCTGTAAGAGGGATGTGTAATTCAGGACTCCCCAGATGGGAAACCAGTATGTGTGGAAATATTATAAAGAGGTTTCACTGTAGCGTACGTTGTAATAATTTACAACATTTGTTCAAATGCATATCCTACATGGTACAGCAATTACACAGGTAATAAATCTTGTATCTGAAAACACAGAACACATGATACCCAGCCTTTTCATGCACACTTGATTTCTCCTGATTTATTAATAACTTTCTCGTGTTTAAGTGACTGTCCTTATTACGCATTGCTTTGTTTCTCACTGTGGCATGACCTTAGCTCGACAGTTGCTAAAATTCTCCCAGGAGACTTTTTAATGCTACATTTGCTTAGAAGACATGTTCTGCCTTGTGGCTAATGATATAGTTGCGTGGTAAGAAAGAAGGATGAAAGCAGAAACACACAGACAGGACATTGAGAAGCGGATTAACAACAAATACAAAGGAGGGAAACGAAAACCAATTCATTCTCTTTTTTTGCACATAGTTTTAAGCATATCATGACATTTCGAAAGTAGGAAACATCCCTACAAAGCTGGATCAAACACGATACTAACCCCAACACCACAGTTCTTCAAGTGGCAGGTGGTAAACTATAACACACCATTAACACTTTGTAAAATGTTACTTAAAATACAAATGATAAAGGGACCAAAGGCCCTGGCGTTCTCAGTTTAACTGACTTGTTTACCTTTATAGTTTAGTCACATGATATTGTTTTTACCAATGAATGTAAGTTCTCATCTTCATTTCACGCTCAATCTGTTTTTAACGATTGTGTTTGTTCACAGAAGCTTCTTCACTGGGAAAGTGAAATGCCATAGAGACCACATAACTGTGGCAATGGTAGCATATGACGTTGAATAAATGCTAAGTGCTGACTTATTTTTGCCACTAAATAATTTGATTTTTTTCTGTTAGTTCTATTTAATTACTGAGGCAGGTGACATACGCAGATATATTTTTCATAATTAACCTTATGGCAAAAGTGAAAGTGAATCTGTTTCTATAAGTGCTGATAAAAACAGGACTTTTAAAGATTTGAGTAGTTTGAGTTGCAGTGGTTCATTAAACTCTCTTTGTGAATGGAATAAGTGTTATTTATCACTCCCAAGCATCTAATACTTAAAGATTTGTTAACTCTCCTTACTTTAACTAACATATATTAATTCTAATTCCCAAAATAACATTTTTAGGAGCAGATGCTATTATTCCTATTCCTTGGGAGAGGAAACACAGGGCCAGAATAGTTCAGTGACTTGCCCAGAACATCAGTAAAATAAACATTATAACTTAAGATTTGAACCCAAGTCTTCCTATGGCTAAAGACCATTCTCTTTCCAATACATCATTCTACCTCCTAGTTTATAGTAAATTGGAGCAACCAAGTCTGTTTCAACTTATTTCTAATAGGTAAGTATGCTCTTCAATACGTTCTAAAACAATTAGCCACTATCCATAAATAATCACAGTTGGAATAGATAACTAAACAAACAAAAAGTCTCTTTTCTCTCATCGTAGGTGCCAACATGGTTACGATAGGCCCATCAAATGTGTAACTTACTTCTCAAAACTCTACAGATATCTCATAATATCATGTGAGTTGTGCACAGCCGACTATTTCCATCTCAGAGCTTACAATAACTAGTACTTACTTCAGGTTACAGGAAAATGACTGGTCAGCTGAAAGCTCAAACTACACAACTTCCATTTTTCATGTACTGGGATGTAGGGTGTAATGAAAACTCACCAGCCAAACTAAGCATAAATATAACAGACTAATATACACCAAAGAAACTTCCTCCTGGCACACTTTATAGAAACTCCATTGTCATTAAAAATTAGCACTGGACAAAATAAGTAATATTGCGTATGTAACCATATGTCAGCGTGCAGTTATAGACAACAGTTTCTCTTGTGTCATTCAAATAGGTTTTTATGTGTAGTCAGTAAATGTTATAGTAGTGTAGCTTTCAAGCGGGATGTTACTCTTTAAAGATTTCTCATCCAGGCTTGGTGGCTCATGCCTGTAATCCCAGCACTTTGGGAGGCCAAGGCGGGTGGATCACCTGAGGACAGGAGTTGGAGACCAGCCTGACCCACGTGGTGAAACCCTATCTCTACTAAAATACAAAAATTAGCCGGGGCGTAGTGCCGGGCGCCTGTAATCTCAGCTACCTGGGAGGCTGAGGCAGGAGAATCACTTGAATCCAGGAGGCGGAGTTTGCAGTGAGCTGAGATCGCACCACTGCACTCCAGCCTGGGCAACATGAAAGAAACTCCATCAAAAAAAGAAAAGAAACCCAGAAAGAAAGAAAAAGAAAGATTTATCTCTGTTTCTAGACAGACAAATATTGTAGTGAAAAAATTCAAAAAGAATGATTGCCCACAATTAGCATGTCTTTATTGCCCAGTTTAATGACACTGTTCCTAGCCCCACAAAAATGACAAGACATTTGTTATATAGAATGGACATCACCGTCCCCTTCAACGGAGAACAGGGCTAGCAGGTGGAGGGTGGCATTATAATTCACTGGGAAAAGTTCTCAATTAAATGATTGTTAAGACTCTTTTGAAGTCCAAAATTCTATACTTTTATTATTTTAAGAGCAAAAGCAGATTTGTTTATCAAGAGACTTCAGGAAAACATTTGTCTAAGGTGTGCTATCACTGAGTGGGGCTAATGGGATGGATGGGAGAATTAGTCCCCTGGCCAGTAGGCTGGAGCTCTGTAGTCCTGCATCAGCCAGGGGTGGAGGATTAAGCTGGTTAGAATAATTTGGGTTCTTTGTTTCTCAGTGCTTCTTTTTAACCTGCAAAATGGGAGTTGGAAAACTGACTCCATGGAACAGGAAAAAAAAAATAAAAGAAGTGGTTGGCACAGGTGAGTGTATACCTGGATGGCAGTGTTGACGGCTAACAGATACTGTAGCTGTGTCAGAGCACTCCGCGGCTGTCATGAAGCAAGGATCTGAACTGGAAGGGTGTCCACCCAAGACCCTGACCCCACTCTCACACTCACCATCCCAAGCAAGACTGTTGACCAGTTTGAGCTGCAGGTGCCTCATGTGTAAATAAGGGTGTGGGAGAGATGCCTGCAGAGATTATTCTCTTTTTGACCACTGAAAACATTTGCACTCTCTGACAGAAGAGTTGGAACTTAAGTTTCAAAGAGATGGGAGCAAGGCTGACAACAAAAATATCCTAAAATTGAACCAGAATAATGGGAAGCCTCCAGAAAAAAAGGTGTTTTACTTTTCATTCTTCAATATATTTTCTCTTCTTAAAGCTCTTTATAAAGTTGTGTTTTCTACTTCAGAGTGGGGAAGTCATCATCTTTTTCTTAGAAATTTTGTCAGATAAGTTTTTACACACTTTCAAAATTGAGAGGATAGATATTTTGAGTTTATAGTTTAGTACTGATTGGTACTTGGTTTGTTAAGTAAAGTGATTGAGAAAAAAACTTTTTTTTTGTTTTGGAAAAAGTTTAAAAGTGGCTTAGTGGTTTAGAAAAGTGGTTGTTAGATAGGGAAAATCAGACTCACAGGTCTTAAACAGTGAATGGAGTTTATTGGCTTACAAACGAGAAAGTCCAAGGATAGACTGGTCTTTAGTCAAAGTGCGAGCGGATCTCTGTTCCCATGTTTTGGGGGATTTCTTTGTGTCTCCATCGATTGCCTGGCCTCTTTAGCTTCAAAATGCTTTCCTTGTGGTCATATGATTGCTGTCAGCTTCTTTTCCATACCCAGTACGAGAAACATGAGCACTGTCCTCCACTGTTGAACAGATGTCCTGGTTTTGCTCTCACTGGACCCTCTGGAGAGGTCCAGATTGAATTAATCTATGGCCATAGCAATGCCTGGTATTGGTTTAGGACTGAGGTAGATGGAACAATGATGAAACAATCCTAATGACAAAAAAGTGTAATCAGAAAGCAGGGAATACCCTTGGATCTGAGGATGAAGCAAATCCCACCCAAACTTTCTAGTTACTACATTATGGAGTGGAGAATAGTAGAGGAGAATGCTGGTTGGTAAGGCAACCCCAGTAACCACTGCAGAGTTCCACAGAAGTCAGTCGGACTCCATGCCTTCATAAAATTATCGTGGTAGAAAGAATTAAAGACAACTAGTCTCACCTTCATATCTTACTAATGATGAAACTAAAGGTCCAAAAGTTTAGAAGGTTTGACCAAGAGAAAGTAGCAGATCTGGAAGTGGGCTCCACCTCACTGACGCTAGTGCAATCAGCTTTCTACTAGACGTCACTCATGTATTTATTCATTCAATATGCAGTGAGCATTGCTGTCTCCAGCATGCTCCTGAAAAGTGTCTGCCTTCACAGCCCAATTCAAAGGCCACCTTCTCCAATGAGAATGTTTCAGTCTTCTAGTAAAAAATTCTCTCTCCATATTAGGCCCTATCGTAGCATTTTATGCCTCTTTCAATTCCCTTCTACTTCTACTCACGAATTTTTTTCTTTATCTCTCCTACTGGAATGAGAGTTCCTTGAGCAAAAAGGCTGTGTCCTGTGCATCTGTCTATCCTTTCAAGAGCTGTCCACAATTTCAGACGTGGTCTGCATATTAACATTTGAATACATGAGTAAATGAACATATAATTTTTGGCAATGTTTTGGCTCAGGAAATGGCGTTTTGAGAATTTATTAGTAGCAGACAATCTGTCTTTTTCTTGACCCACAGCATGGTGTTAATGTCCCCTTCATAGCTGGAATTGAACCAGACTTGCTTTTGTTGACCCAGCATTTGGACTCAGGCAAATGCTGATGTGGATGAAGTTTGCCTTTGTTCCTTCTGCACTGTCCTTTCCAGCATCACTTTCTCCTGAAGGTCCCATGTGGGTAGATAGCAGTATCACAGGTAACTTTCCCCAGCCCTATCAAGATGTAAATCAGTCTGTTCTATTCCAGCAGACTCTTCTAGGAATCATTTGAGATAAATTTATTCCAACTTTACTTTCCTAACACTCTCAGAGGTATCTGATTTTTATAGGCCCTTTTGAGGTAGAAGCTTTAAGACATCTGAATTAAATTTTGAGTTTTAAATAGCATGATATGATCATGGTGTGACCTTTAAGCACTAGGTGGTCTTCTTTTTCCTTTCTCTACATAATTTTCGTTTCTACTTGCCTATCCATAAGGCCAGCCCATCCTTTACCATGGGATGGTTCATCTCACAGTATCCCTTGAAATTACCTTATAGTGGGGAAGGAGCAGGCATTGAGAGAACATAGCAAACTTTCCTACAAGGGAGTGCACCTAATTGGACCTACTGGGACTCCAGTCTTCCTTGGAAAATGCAAAATTGATGTTATATTTGCTATGAGAGAAGCTAAAATTACCTGCAACACAAGTGTCACTGCCTCAGAGTCATAGCAGATGTACTGCAGATGCTGTTATGCAGGACAGAATCTACGTTTATTAAGAGGCCACACATTTTTGGGGACTGAATCTGCGGAGAGAGAGAGGTATTGAGACATATTGAGATGAGTCCTTTCTGTCTGTCAATGGTACATTACGACCGATTTGGATAGGGGAGTAAATCTTTAATTGCAAATGATATAGCTAAAACTTGGTCGTTTATCTTTGCTGTCTTATTACCACATATCAATGAGTGCCCTTCAAGTGAAGTGAGAATGGTCTCCAAGAGCAATTTTCACCATACCATTAGAATTTGTGTATATGAAATAAGAGTAAATTATTTCATGAATAGACAGTCCACTCATAGGGAAAAAAGATGACTGATTTTTTAAAACTCTACCCTTGCCTTAGACTATTTTGCTACTTTCCTTTAGTTTATGCTACATTTTTTTTTCAGAAAAAAATATGGATTGACTTCTTAATATGTGTCCAAACAGCACAGGCTTGGACATAACAATAAGACCAGGAAATACAAATGGACTGTTGAAAGGAGCGTTTACAGTGGAAACGCAATGAAAAGTGTGGATTCAAGCTGTCTTTATATTCCTATGTTTTCAGGGCTTTTGACATTTATAACCCTTTTGGCTTTAAAATTCAACTTTTCCATACTTCATCTAAGTGATAAGGTATATTTCTTTTGACAAGGTCTAAGAAAAATAATCCTTTCAGTTATTTTGAATTATGAAAAAAAGTGGGTGAACCAATAGCTAAAATGATTGAACACAAGCGTTTCAAATGTGGCTTGTGGCCAAGCCTCCAAAGCAATCCCTGCATTTAAAGGAAAATACACAAAGAGGTGCACAAAATGGAATTGCTTCTTCTAAGAGCCTCGCTGGCATTTACTGAAGTTTGACTCCAGGTTAAAAGAGACATTGTCATTGCTTGTGCTAGGTGGGACCTACTTCCAAACAAAATATTTAAGGACACAAGATTCTTAAGAATAGTAATTTGGACTTTGAAAAAATACGAAATTGTTGATAGATTTTGTACATCCTCCACATTTGCACTTCAGAGGACAGAGGATGCTTGAAACGGGATGGAATTCTCTTCGAACATATTCAGGAATATTCATTCTGTCTTACTCGTTTCTCTCTCTATACTTTGAATATGGAGAGAGCCCTTTCCACCTAATCATTTTTTTGGATGGAAATAGAAATAAGCCAATCTACATTCTTGTTTTTGTTTTAAGACAAAGTCTCCCTCTGTCACCCAGGCTGGAGGGCAGTAACACTATCTCTACTCACTACAACCTCTACCCCCCGGGCTCAAGCAATTCTCCTGCCTCAGCCTCCCAAGGAGCTGGGATTACAGGCACGCTCCACCACAGGCTAATTTTTGTGTTTTTTACAGAGATGGGGTCCCACCATGTTGCCCAGGCTGGTTTCGAACTTCGATACGCAAGTGATCCGCCCACCTTGGCCTGCTGGAGTGCTGCGATTACAGGTGTGAGCCACTGTGCCTAGCCTCTACACCGTTTTTATTCTTCCTCTTCAAGCTTCCTGTGGAGCAGACCCACCCAACATCTAGTGATATGGTAACAGTTTATTTATTTTTTGCTGCCAGAGGTTTTATTTTTCCACAAAATAAAATTTTAAGAAAACAAAAACTTACCCATTTAGGTGTTAAAAGACTGTCTCTTTTAATAAGTTTGTGAAAAAAACTTTAAAAATGCCTCACAGTTCATTCCTTCTCTTTCTCAAAAAGGGGATCTGATAACTATAAAATGTTGTGATACCTCCCGGTCATTTATCATGTCTTAATTAATGTAATCTACTAAAATATAGCCATGCTTTGGGATCAGGTAAGTATATAAAATTATTTTACCCTACAGTATAAAACTAAATTTTTTTGTTCTATTTTGGTAGCTGTTGAATAATTTAAAACTATTTTCCTGGGTATCTGTGTAACCACCCAACTGGTTCACTTTACCCATTGCCTGGACAAAGCCAATTTATCAAGATAGGTTGACTGCTATAGAGAAAGAGTTATTCATGCAGAGTAGGCTGTGCAGGAGACTGGAGCTTTATTATTACTCAAATCAGTCTCCCAAATAATTAGGGACTGGAGTTTTTAAGGATAATTTGCTGGTTAAGGGGCCTGTGGATCAGGAATTCTGGTGGGACAGAGATGAAATCATAGGAAGTCAAAGCTGTTCTCTTGGCTGACTCAGCTACTGGCATGGGGGGCGGGGCACAGAGCAGACCAGTCAGTTTATGATCTGGGTGGTGCCAGCTGATCCATCCAGTGCAGGGTCTGCAAAATATCTCAAGCACTGATCTTAGGTTTTACAATAATGATGTTATCCCCAGGAGCAATTTGGGGAGGTTTAGAATCTTGCAACCTCCAGTGCATGACCATAATTTCTAATCTTATGACTAATTTGTTAGTCTCGCAAAGGCAGTCTAGTCCCCAGGCAGGAGGAGGGTTTGTTTTGGGAAAGCGCTGTTATCATCTTTGTTTAGAAGCTAAGCCATAAATTAAGTTCTTCCCAAAGTTAGTTCAGCCTACACTCTGGAATGAACGAGGACAGCTTGTAGGACAGAAGCAAGATGGACTCAGTTAGCTCAGATCTCTTTCTCTGTCATAATTGGCTCAGTTATAATTTTTGCAAAGGTAGTTTCATTAGTGTTGTTTGTTTATACCTTTTTATGTAATATTCTCTCTTGTCTCTCACTTTTAAGCTATCATGTTTTTGCTTCTTTAAATGTTATTGTTCTAGTGGCCACTTATTCCTTCCAAAGCATCATTTATAATTTTCATTGAGCTGCTTAACAGAATAACTCAGTCTCTTAAAAAAATCAGTCCTTTTAAAGTATTAATCTGATGTGTTAATATTTCTGCTCAAAAACTGTAGTAACTTCCCATTTCACACAGTGCAAAAGCTGTTCCCAAAAGGGGCTGGCCAGGGCCTCTGGGACCTCCTCCTCTCCCCGCCCGTGACCCCACATCCCTGTCATTCCTTTGTCCCTGGCTCTAGCTCTTTTCAGCACACTCAAGACTGCTGAGTCATTTGCTGTCCTGGAACCCACCATGCATGCTCCTCCCTTAGAGTTTTGTATGGCTATTTCCTCTTCCTAATGGCTATTTCCTCTTCCTAACGGCTATTTCCTCTTCCTAACGGCTACTTCCTCTTCCTAAAATGCTCTTCCCCAGCTATCCCCCTGCCGAACTTGTTTGCACTCTTTTAGCCTTTGCTGAAATTTCACCTTCACAGTGATATCTAACCTGACCCATGCCCCTATTTAAAGTTGTCACGTGTGCACTCTCCACTACTCGCACCTCTGGTACTCTGCTCTATTTTATCTGAAGTATTGATCATCTTAGAACCCGCAATATACTTCACTTATTTATTACGCTTTTTTTTCTTTTTCCCCTTGCTAGTAGGCAAGGATATTGGTCTGTTTTATACACTGTGGCTTCCCTGGGCCACACTGAAAGAAGAAGAATTGCCTTGGGTCACACAAAAATACACTAACAATAGCTGATAAGCTTTAAAAGCACATTAAAAAATCTCATAATGTTTTTAAAAAGTTTATGAATTTGTGTTGGGCTGCATTCAAAGCTGTCCTGGGCCGCATGTGGCCTGTGAGCTGCAGGTTAAACAATTTTCCCTACCACATAAAGTAGTGGAATAGCATGTAGTATATAGTAAACGAGAGAAAAATTTTTAAATCTAATGAATATATTTGCAACATGAGTTCATGGTTTTAGAAGTCAATAATATCTAAAATTGTTAGGGCTGTTCATGAATAATTTTTAAAATTTTTGTCAAAATTATTTTGTCATGTATTGTGACTGCTCAGATTCCTTCTGTGCTGCATCTGAACAGTGAGATTCTTTTAAAGTGCTTTAATTTGAATTAGTAAGATTTGCAGATATCTGCTCTTTGAATAGAAAATATATTACTGTTAACAGAAAGTGAAGTTTTGTGATCCAAAACCACAGTCTAACTCTGTATTTTATTATTAAGCTTTAGAAAAACCAGAATAGAAGAATTCTTAATATGCATTTATTATTACTGTCTTTATTATTATTATTTGGTTATTATAGTAAAACAGTCAGATATTTTAGAAACAATAAAAAATGTATAAATCCTCCAAGGTCAACATCTTTTGGACTCCTCAGTGAAATAACTCTCTTATAATACCTCAGTAGATATAAAAGTTTGACTTAAGTTGGGGATAAATAGAGACTTTTTGCAAATCACTGCCTCTTACATCTAATTAGCCTGAGTCTAGTCATATTGGCATATTCATTACAAAAGACTGGAAAATGTAGTCTGTATCTCTGCAACTATGAACATATGACAAAAAAAAAAAGAATTGATTTCTGAGTTACAACATATGTATATCACCCTGACTGGGCTTCTCATGCCTGTGTTTTTCTGTGTTAGCAGTAAAATGTTACCAACATTCTGACTTCAGTGAGCAGGACTATCTGAAGATGCGGTTTGAGGTTTGCCTTGCCTTATAGCAGGAGGGATATAGGAAGACAGCAGGTGTTTATTTGATTTGCATTGAAATGATTTGCACTGAAGTAATTTCATTTGGTCCCACTCTGAACTTAGTATGATAGAAGCCTAGTTCTTGCCCCTGTTTCCTATTTATTCTAATTAATTATTTTCTTTTATTCTAGCTTTTCTGTAACTCTTATAGTCTACTCTGTACCCAACTTCTTAATTTTCCTGTTTCAGCAATAACTGGATTTCTACTTATGGATTCCAAGCTTAAGAGCACAGCTCCTTAATGGTAGCCATGATACCACCCTGAGGCTGCAGTTCTGTCTTTCTTGCTTGCTATTTATTGCCTTCTAAATGTGTCAGTCCATTCGCATTGTCATACAAAATCCCCAAGGCTGGGTAATTTATAAAGAAAAGAGGTTTAATTGGCATGTGGTTCTGCAGATTGTACAAACATAGCACCAGCAGCTGCTTGGCTTCAGTTGAGGGCCTCAGGAAGCTTCCACCCAGGGAAGAAGGTGAATGGGGAGCCAGCATATCACAAGGCAAGAGTGAGAGCAAGAGAGAGAAGGTCGACGTGCCACACACGTTTAAACAACCAGATGTCACGTGAACTCACAGCAGAACCCACTCATCACCAAGGCGATGGCACGAAGCCATTCATGAGGGTCCCACCCCCATGGTGCAAACACCTCCCATCAGGTCCCACCTCCAAGACTGGAGATTACATTTCAACATGAGATTGGAGGGGACAAAGACTCAAACCATATCATTAACCCATTCCTCCCGAATAGATGTCGAGATTGGAGGGGACAAATACTCAAACCATATCATTAACCTATTCCTTCTGAATAGATATCGAGATTAGAGGGGACAAATACTCAAACCATATCATTAACCTATTCCTTCTCAACAGATATCCAGATTGGAGTGGACAAATACTCAAACCATATCATTAACCTATTCCTTCTGAATAGATATCGAGATTGGAGGGGACAAATACTCAAACCATATCATTAACCTATTCCTTCTGAATAGATATCGAGATTGGAGGGGACAAATACTCAAACCATATCATTAACCTATTCCTTCTGAATAGATATCGAGATTGGAGCGGACAAATACTCAAACCATATCATTAACCTATTCCTTCTGAATGGATATCGAGATTGGACGGGACAAATACTCAAACCATATCATTAACCTATTCCTTCTGAATGGATATCGAGATTGGACAGGACAAATACTCAAACCATATCATTAACTTCTTCCTTCTGAATAGATATCGAGATTGGAGGGGACAAATACTCAAACCATATCATTAACCTATTCCTTCTGAACAGATATTGAGATTGGAGGGGACAAAGAGTCAAACCATATCATTAACCCATTCCTCCCGAATAGCTATCGAGATTGGAGGGGACAAAGACTCAAATCATATCATTAACCTATTCCTTCTGAACAGATATCCAGGACCTTGGACTCCATGTCTCGGCAGTGAATTGCGAGCTATCCTTTTGCCCCTGTGAACAGATATCTCAGTTTTGCACCACCTTAAGATTTCTGTTTTGCCATTTCTATTACTAAAATAAACACACTTTTCCTTTGCTTCATTTAAGAAACTCCAGGTTATTTTCTTACCAACCGGATATGTTTGGATTTTGTTCGGATTCCTCTGGTCAGGATTTTCCTGCTGTCACTGGGATTCTGCTTATATCATCTTCCTGAACTACTGTTTTATAAAATATTCTGTCAAAATAATAATTTCAGTATAAAAATAAGCTTATGTAATTTATACATAAGGAAAGATAACATTTTTATGCTGCTCGTGAGAAGATAAACATATAGCAAAATTTAAATAAAATGTAAACACATGCAACTATGAGTCAAAAGTAACGCTATTTGAAAGAATGTTCCATGAAATGCAGTTGTTCTTCAGTCTCCATGGGAGATTGGTTCCAGGAGCCCTTGTGGATACCAAAATCCATCAATGCTCACGTTCCTCAGTACTTTCAAATCATTGTCATGTACTCTATGCATAAAGATTATTTTCAAAATGCTAACAGCAATTATTCTATATACTCATCATATTGAACTACTGGGGCATCGATGTATGAAGCACATATCTGTGCCATATGTGTTTACAAATTTTCTAGAAGTGGAATCAATAAGCATTGAATTCCTCATGATGGATGGTACTTGGTGTGCAGCTTAGGGTTCCTCTTGCCCATAGGGGCCCAAAGCCTGTGGACATATTTAAACAAGCTTAGTATTATACCTTCTTATACTCTCATGTAGGATTCTTTCCAGCTGTGTTAGTTGCTCTTTCTATTATAGATTTCAGGCCATAATGCTTGCTTTTAATATTTCAACCCAAAATATAGCATAGTATCTTATCACGCAGAAGGACTGTAATGAGACACAATGGAAAGTATTGAGAGGTGACCTTCTGCCCACCTGCTTCTGGCTCTTGATGCATGTATTAGCCATGAAGAAATGTCAGGTAATTCTCCACCGGCCCCTTACTGGCTCCTGATGTATGTGTTAGCCCCATGTGGAAATGTCAGGTAACTCTCCACCGGCCCCTTATTAAGAAAGAGACTTCTGAGCTTAAGAGTCCACCTTTGATTTGCTCTGCCACTCTTTTGGCTAAGATACTTGAACTACACATCTGGCTGAGTTTATTAAACTCCCTGAAATCTCCAGTGCCAGGAGGCCAGCTCCGTTTGCCTGGCCCTGTCAAGTGGCATCAGTCCTTCCTAAGAGAGTTGCTGTGAGCACGTAAAATATCTTTCAAGTCTCATCTGATAAATTTCTGCAAATGAAAAATATTATGATGTTGGTCTAGAGAATATGAAATTCCAACACAGAAAAGTCGTGGTTCATATCACATTTGAAAACTGAAATCAATTCATGTTTTTTTTGTTTGTTTGTTTTTTCTTTCCCTTTTTTTTTTTTTTTGAGATGGAGTCTCGCTCTGTTGCCCAGGCTGGAGTGCAATGGCATGATCTCGGCTCAATGCAACCTCTGCCTCCTGAGTTCACGCCATTCTCTTGCCTCAGCCTCCTGAGTAGTTGGGGCTACAGGCGCCCACCACCACACTCGGCTAATTTTTTGTATTTTTAATATAGATGGGGTTTCAGTGTGTTAGCCAGGATGGTCTAGAACTCCTGACCTCGCGATCCGCCCCCCTCAGCCTCCCAAAGTGCTGGGATTACAGGCATGAGCCACTGCGGCTGGCCCAATTCATGTTTTTCAATATGAACATTCTAGAAGTTCATGTTGCTTTGTTTCACCTGAAATGGATTAAACAAGAACAGGAAAAATGAAGCAGTTTGGTTTTTAAGGTTCAGGCTTACTTGGATTTGAAGTATTGCCCAGCTAGCACACTCCTCTCTATTTAACTGATGGCCTGTCACGTACTGTATGCCCCAATCTGCCCGACTACAATAAATGATATGGAAGCGGGGCTGCCTGATAAGGTTGCCCAGATTTCCTCACCTGGAGGAAATGTTCTGTCAGGTATATAGTCATTTTGTGCTTGAGAGAGAGTTCAGGGCTTTGTAGTTATCCAAGCAAGTCTTGCCTGCAAGAGAAAATACAGTTCCTGTTGGAAAATATGGTTTCTGTCTACCAGGAAATAAATTTTAATCCTTGTTTTACACTGAAGTCATATTTACTGAATGTCCTCATATTAGTCTGAAGTGGTTTGGACTTAGGTGGCATTTGGGTTTGTCCTACGCCCTGTCTGATGTGCATGTAGGTCATCTCTTTCCTCCAGGCAGCGGTCTCCTGCCATTTTGTTGAGAGTATTTTAGGTGATTTATTTTGGTCATGGTCTGAGACTTCAAGGCAGGGATTACCTGAGAGGCAACTAGCATTTAGTTTGCTTCTCATTTGTATTCTTCCTCAGGTAAAAGAATAAAACACTTTTGCTACAACAGACCAAAAGTCAGATCCCAAAACCTCATTTCTTTATGAGCTCACAAATTAGGTGGCAACGGCTTTTCAGAGTGATCATTAATGTAATTAATTAGCATCCCTCCGATACTGTGGAAGACCAAATATTTTCAGGTATGGCCATCTTTCAGACAAAGGAAAAAGTCTCTTTCAAGATGCTTTCAGATTTTTTGTTCTGAAACATTTCTTAATTTTTGTTTTGTTTTGCTTTGTTTTGAGACAGAGTTTCACTCTTGTTGCCCAGGCTGGAGTGCAATGGTGCAATCTCGGCTCACCACAACCTCTGCCTCCCAGGTTCAAGGCGATTCTCCTGCCTCAGCCTCCCGAGTAGCTGGGATTACATGCATGTGCCACCACGCCCGGCTAATTTTGTATTTTTAGTAGAGACCGGGTTTCTCCATGTTAGCCAGGCTGGTCTCAAACTCCTGACCTCAGGTGATCAACTCGCCTCAGCCTCCAAAAGAGCTGGGATTACAGGTGTGAGCCACCATGCCCGGCGTCTTACATTTTTTAAGTTTTAAAAATTGTCAACCATGTATGTCAGTTGTATTCAGCATTTGTAATATGGATTCATTTGAAAAGATTAAATTTTAAAAATCAGAGCGGAAAATCTGTTTTTTCAATGATCCAGACAGATCTAAAGAGTGTGATGTTGTATCACATGGAGACTGGTCCTTTTCATCAGCTATTTGTAGTGTTCCCTCCTTTGTCAGCTCAATATCAATTCTCTTGAAGGCTGGCAGGATCCCACAGTAGATCAATCCATTATGTGGTGGGAGCTATGGGTGGTGGCCATTGAAGGCATAGAGGAATACGTTAACTAAGAAGGAAGCGGAGAGAGTTAACTAATGAATAATACATTGAATGAATAGCGAGATCCCATTGTATACTTATATTTTAACTTAGCGTTTTCCTCCTTTGGAATCAGTTGCTTCCTCGTATAATTTTATTTGGCCATAATTCTAATTAGGAAACTGACACAAGAGGCAGCATCTTCTCTTCTTTCCACTCCTTCTAATTTTCACTGTGGATATCTGGGCCGTTCACTTCCAATCTGGAATTTTAGTTGAATATTAAGAAATATGATTGGAATGGATAATTTCACAGGACTCTACTTATGTTTTTAGTATTAATACAAATTTTTATGTTGGAGTCTCTGATTTATCCCAGGCATACAATATGTTCTATGCTCTGCCCACAAGATGTACAAAAGATAATTTAATGAAGCCTGGAGTTATCAAGCTTTATGTCCTAGGGCACCATTAACATCGCGTTAAGACATAGAATCAAACTTCATGTATTTCTTCCTCTCCTTCTCCCTTCATCTCTTACTCTTTCTACTGCATTTCTCTTTTCCACTTCACAGTTGTTCTTCTCAATTAAGTTCTCCTGTAATTCCCCAAATCATATTTTGTTCCTGATGTTGATTTTGTTCAATTTAATGTTGCCTCCTCTGAACTTATATGCAAATTATATCCAGATATTATTGTGTCATTTTAATGGACCAAACTGTCTTTATTTTTTTTAATAATTTTAGGGTAAAAGCTGAAATATCAAATCTGTATGTTACAATGCTTTTAGTGCATACTCAAGAACAGCTTTTGCAATTGCTGAAAATAACATTATAAATATTAATTTGTATTACCAACGTTCTTAATATCTATGTACATTTACTTTTAAGTTTAATAAATGTTCTTGACTTTAAGATCATTCACGATTTTCCACTTGATAGGACATGTTTTGAATTTATACCATGGGGAGTGGTGGTTTGAGGGTAGAAATGATTATTGAGAAAAAGTGGAGGAAAAACACATCTTTATTTAGCAATTTGAAAAAAAAACACTGGATTGTTCACATGTCAGCTCCTGTTTCCTACAGAATTCTACTAGTCACCATTTACACACCACTGAGGTCTCATAAGAGAAAATATTAAACTGCCATAAATTTCCATTATGGTTCCCATTATATCATCCTTAAAATATTCGGTCACTCGATTATTTCTGTAAAAAAGTCTATCTTTGGGCCCAGCGCGGTGGCTCACACCTATAATCCCGGCACTTTGGGAGGCCGAGGTGGGTAGATCACGAGGTCAGGAGATCAAGACCATCCTGGCTAACATGGTGAAACCCCATCTCAACCAAAAATACAAAAAATTAGCCGGCGTGGTGGCAGGTGCCTGTAGTCCCAGGTACTCGGGAGGCTGAGGCAGGAGAATGGCTTGAACCCGAGAGGCGAAGGTTGCAGTGAGCCGAGATCGCACCACCGCACTCCAGCTTGGGTCACACACACACACACATGCACACACACACATACACACACACAATCTATCTTTGACTGAATAAAAATGTTTCCATCCACTGTTAACACTGCTGCTTTAAAAGAATACGTGTCTTAGAAAAATAAAGGAAGAATAAAAAATTTTTAAAAGGAGGAGGAGCAAAAGGTTCTTTCCTAATACTATAAATGCAATTTATGGAGACAAAAAGACATGATGGAAAATATGGTCTCAGGCCATCAATAATAGAGGTCTGGGAACCAGCAGGAGGCAGTAGCTGGGGTAGGGTTCTTTTCCAGGTGAAGTGTAGCATCTTCCAGAGTGGCTCTTTAGCTATTCATTGGTTGAGTTTTCATGACAGTAGGTGGCAGACATGAAGTGTGGCACCTTCCAGAGTGGTTCTTTAGCTATTCATTGGTTGACTTTTTGTGACAGTAGGTAGCAGACATCGTTATTTTCCTACTCAGTATCTCTTCCTTTCTTTTGTGCTAAGTAGAGTTCCATTTATTCAGTTCCTCGGGCCTCAGAGAATGGCACCCTGTCCCTGGCCCACGGAGTGGCACCCTGTGCCTGTCTCATGGATACATTATTTTTCATCAAAGCCAATGTTTGTAATTTCCATTCCTTTGATCAGTGGCTTGTAGAGAGGTAGACATGTAACTTACTAAGTCACTTCTGGCGAGTGAAACTTGAGAAAAGATTTAAGACAGACAAAAGCAGAGGCTGCTAGAAAAAAAGATTTTCTCAGTTATAAGAAAAAGAACTGAAAGAGAGAGTCCCGCCTCTGCTGTATCTGGATGTGATCATCTTGCCATCAGCATGAAGATGAGATCAATAGAGGGAAAAAGACAGAGCCAGGAGAATTAAAGAAAAGTGATCAATGTTCTCGCAATGCCGTGACAAGAGTTACTCTATCTCTGAACCTACGTTTTAGCTAATACATGTCTTTATTATGTAAGTTCATTTGAGTTGGTTTTTCTATTATTTAGGTCAATATTTTCTATCGGATAAAACTTTTTTTAAAAAATGAAATAATGACCAGGCTTGTCTGTGAAATTTTTGCTTAGTAATTTCTGGTTTTGTATAAACATTGTTAATTTTCATTACTTTAAATTGATTAAATAAAATAAAGCCAAAAACACATTTCTAATTTAGGTTGGCAGACCTCCAATCTTCCTCCACTTTAATCCACCACTCGCACCATGCTAGAGTGATTTTCACCAATCTCATCATGGCACTCCAACTTAAAGCTGTCCAAGTGTGTTTCACCACGTAAATGTGGCAGAAAACTCCTTAGTACAGCTCTTAAACCATGACCCGTCTAGCATGATCTCCTCTATGATTTCAGTTGCTTTAATTGAGGCATTCAAAGCCTTATTATGCCAAATACAGTCAGGTTACACAAGCTACCAAATACTATCAGAGTTCTCACTTCCCTAAAATCCATTCACATAGACTACTTGCAGTCAATCTATGGAAATGCTTGGAATAATAATGCAACAATCAGTTAATCTAAAGATATTGTTGTTAATAACTTCAGATATACTAAGACAAATCTGTATGTCTGATATCTAAATATGTCTTGCAACACTAAAGTTCAACTTTTCATACAAGGCTGTGTTGCTTTCGTTCCTTTGAACTTTTAGAACTAGTGTCTTGATAACATTCCATAATAAATTGAATAAGAATAAAGTTTCATGTTTTTTCAAAGTAGACTCCACACTGTAACTAAGTAATCTGAATATTTTTAGCAGCTTTCATAATAATAACTATTGCTTATTTATTGTTTATTATGGGCTTGGCACCTAACATACACAGACACGCACCTGAAGTAACGTGTGCCGAGGAGCTGAAAACTCACCAGGAAAAGAAAACACCAGACTATGTTGGTTGATCACTGTCTTCTACGACCGTTTGGAACTGTAGTAACTGTCTGAGCAGCAGCAGCAGAGTACTTTGTTTTCAAAGTAATGCAAAATTTTATGCTTCCCTAAACCTTTATTATATTTTTATAAAACAATTTGCCTAATGTTGAATTTGTATAATTCTAGAGTACGTAACCTGTAAAGTTTTGAAGGTAGTTATTTCTTTTGAGCCACACAAAGGCCCTTTAGCTTTATTGCCTTCCCCTCCCCCCGCCACCCTTATATTTTCTCCCAGCATCAGCCCAAATAGAGTTGAGTGGGTATTAGAAGACTCTCTTTCATTGTGAAATTGTCTTTATATGCTGTTGTTGTTCTTATCTTCGGGTCCAAGTAAAATCTATTTCTTAGAGCAGCAAGGAACAAGTCAGCAATACCTTTATTGTGCCTCCTTGAAGGTGTCAGAGAGAGCTTTCAAGCAGGAGTGATGGAGATGTCATTTCAGAGGGAATGGGCAGCTGGATGCTTTCGAGCAGGAGTGATACAGACGTCATTTCAGAGGGAACGGGCAGCTGGACACTTTCGAGCAGAAGTGATACAGATGTCATTTCAGAGGGAACGGGCAGCTGGACACTTTCGAGCAGAAGTGATACAGACGTCACTTTAGAGGGAACGGGCAGCTGGACACTTTCGAGCAGAAGTGATACAGACGTCACTTCAGAGGGAATGGGCAGCTGGACACTTTCGAGCAGGAGTGATACAGACGTCACTTCAGAGGGAATGGGCAGCTGGACACTTTCGAGCAGAAGTGATACAGACGTCACTTTAGAGGGAATGGGCAGCTGGACACTTTCGAGCAGAAGTGATACAGACGTCACTTTAGAGGGAATGGGCAGCTGGACACTTTCGAGCAGGAGTGATACAGACGTCATTTCAGAGGGAATGGGCAGCTGGACACTTTCGAGCAGGAGTGATACAGACGTCACTTCAGAGGGAATGGGCAGCTGGACACTTTCGAGCAGGAGTGATACAGACGTCACTTCAGAGGGAATGGGCAGCTGGACACTTTCGAGCAGAAGTGATACAGACGTCACTTTAGAGGGAATGGGCAGCTGGACACTTTCGAGCAGGAGTGATACAGACGTCACTTTAGAGGGAATGGGCAGCTGGACACTTTCGAGCAGGAGGGATACAGACGTCACTTTAGAGGGAATGGGCAGCTGGACGCTTTCGAGCAGGAGTGATACAGACGTCACTTTAGAGGGAATGGGCAGCTGGACACTTTCGAGCAGAAGTGATACAGACGTCACTTTAGAGGGAATGGGCAGCTGGACACTTTCGAGCAGGAGTGATACAGACGTCACTTTAGAGGGAATGGGCAGCTGGACGCTTTCGAGCAGGAGTGATACAGACGTCACTTCAGAGGGAATGGGCAGCTGGATGCTTTCGAGCAGGAGGGATACAGACGTCATCTCAGAGGGAATGGGCAGCTGGACACTTTCGAGCAGAAGTGATACAGACGTCATTTCAGAGGGAATGGGCAGCTGGACACTTTCGAGCAGAAGTGATACAGACGTCACTTTAGAGGGAATGGGCAGCTGGACACTTTCGAGCAGAAGTGATACAGACGTCACTTTAGAGGGAATGGGCAGCTGGACACTTTCGAGCAGAAGTGATACAGACGTCATTTCAGAGGGAATGGGCAGCTGGACACTTTTGAGCAGGAGTGATACAGACGTCACTTTAGAGGGAATGGACAGCTGGATGCTTTCGAGCAGGAGTGATACAGACGTCACTTTAGAGGGAATGGGCAGCTGGATGCTTTCGAGCAGGAGTGATACAGACGTCACTTTAGAGGGAATGGGCAGCTGGATGCAGTTACACAACGAGGGATGAACGGCGTGCTCATCTGCAGACAGTGGCAGTTCTTGCTGTGGGCTTCAGCTCTCACTTTGAGATCACTCATGTAAACTTGGTGACATATACACGCACCTTACATTCTGTGCACAGTTATGTTTGTATTTTCCCTTTCTATTCCATGTCACAACATACAAAACAGCCACAGGATCAATCTGGGAGAGGCAGTTCGTCTGAATTCAGCAGGAGTAAGGGGAACAGGCAGAGCTCTGACATACAGCCTGAACAGATGGATTCAAGGTCATAAGTCACAGGTGGCCAGAAACCAAAGACAGAACACCGGTATCCACAGATTTATTCTGGGATCAATGGTAACTGCATGATTCTGAATCCATGAATTTGGGAATTTCTGAAGCAATTTGTCTTCTTGGAAAGTATAAAACAAGCAGACTATCTCTGCCTGCATAAAAGGGCTATCTGGATTTGAAAGGATTCTGACCAACAAATACAGTAAGTCTGTCCTCTGGAATGCAAATTCCTCAGAAAGCTAACAGATAATACAGGGAGTATTAGCTGAGTAACTTTGGGGGATTCTGGTTTAAATAAGGTTAAAAAGAATCTTTCCTATAAGGATTTTCAGAGCTTATAATACATTTCTAAAACATATCAGATCACGGAAGCTTTCAAAACTAAATATCTGGTGGAACTAGTGCTCTGCAGAAAACTTTTTGAGGAAAGGACACCCTATTCAATAAACGGTGCTAGGATAACTGTCTGGCTACATGCAGAAGAATGAAACTGAATCCTCATCACTCACCTTATACAAAAAATAACTCAAGATGGATCAACGACTTAAATTTAAGACCTGAAACCATAAAAATTCTGAGATAACTTTGGAAAAACTCTCTAGACATTACCCTAAGCAAAGAATTCAAGATTAAGACCACAAAAGCAAATGCAACAAAAACAAACATAAACTAATGGGACCCAATTAAACTAAAAAGCTTCTGCACGGAAAAAGAAATAGTCAGCAGAGGAAACAGATAACCCAGAGTGGGAGAAAAGGAGAAAATCATCTGACAAAAGACTAGTTTTAAGAATCTATAAGGAACTCAAACAAATCAGCAAGAAAAAAAAAATTCCATCAAACAATGGCAAACGACATGAATAGATAATTCTCAAAAGATATACAAACAGTGAACATATAAAAAATGCTCACCATCACTAATTGTCAAGGAAATGCAAATTAAAACCACAATGAGATACCACCTTAATCCTGCAGAATGGCTGTAATTAATAAGTCAGAAAACAATAGATGTTGGCATGGATGTGGTGAAAAGGGAACACTTTACACTGCGGGTGGGAATGTAAACTAGTAGAACCACTATGGAAAACAGTACAAAGATTCCTTAAAAGACTAAACATACAACTACCATTCAATCCAGCAATCACACTACTGGGTATCTATCTACCCAGAGGAAAATAAGTCAGTATATCAAAAAAATACATGCATGTTTACAGCAGTATAATTTCCAGTTACAAAGATATGGAACTGGCCTCAGTGCCCATCAACCAATGAATGGAAAAAGAAAATGTGGTGTATATACACCATGGAATTCTATTCAGCCATAAAAAGGAATGAAATAGTGGCTTTTGCAGCAACTTGGATGGAGCTAGAGGCCATTATTCAAAGTGAAGTAACACAGGAGTGAAAAACCAAATATTGCATGTTCTCATCTATAAGTGGGAGTTAAAGCTACGAGATTGCAAAGGCATAAGAATAACATAGTGGACTCAGGACCTCAGGGGGAAGGTTGGAAGGGAGGTGATGGATAAAAGACTACACACTGGGTGCAGTGTACACTGCTCGGGTGACGGGTGCACCAAAATCTTAGAAATCACCACTAAAGAACTTATCCATGTAGCCAAACACCACCTCTACCCCCAAAACCATGGAAACAAAAACAAAAAGAAAAGAAAGCTCTTTGAGACACCCTGTGGTAATGGTCTCCTGACATTCTTAAGGAAGGAAATCTGCTACCTTGGCAGGTACATTTCCAGATCTCTTCCCTAAGACTTGGCTGGCCGAATCCCTGGTGTGTGATTGTGATTTCACCAGTTGCTTTGTAAAGGAAAACTAGCTATTTGATTCCTCTGTTTTCATCTTACCTCATCCTAGCAAAACATTCACTCCCAATATGTGAACTTTTATCCCATTTTAATTAAATTTATTTCTCAATTCTATACCTGAAGCTAGAAACTGTCTGAATACTGCATCTCCAGCAGTCTGCAGGGTATTCGGCAAGTCAGATATACTTAAATCATACCAGATCTCCTTCTCCCTTCATGGATTGTTTGGCTGATTTGAAAAGTAATTAGCACCATAACAGCAATAACGAGTTACTGACAGTTATTGAGACATTACGTGCCAAGCACTTTACATGGGCTACTTAGTTAATCTTCACAACAAACCCGACAGGCAGGCATTGTTATTATTCTGTTTCGTGAGTTTAAGGAAAAGAATGTCTTAAAGATTATGTGACTTGCCCAAGGTTCTTCAAACTGTTGAGACAAGGTACTGACCAAGTAGATTTTCATCAGAGCTCACATGCTTAGTTACAATTATTTCATCTCTTACAGTTTACTTATTCTGTCCACAATAGTATAATTTTTCTAATAACAGAGGCTAATTAACATTTTGGAGTTACCAACTTCAAATTTAAATACCAGTCATTAAGTGTTGTCAAGTCCTCCTTAATTTCTCACATTTATTCGTTCTTTTTATTCCCATGACCAATACCATATGCTTCCTTTGCTAGGTTTTAGCAAAAATGAATCACTAATCTCCTAGGTGCCAGTCTTTTCTATTCCAACAAAATTTGCATACAGTTGCCAGCTAATCTGCAAACAGTGCTCTCACCACTTTACCCTCTTACTCAAATATCTTTAACTACTCTTTCTTCTTTAAGATAAATTCCACAACTATAAGTGGTATTGCAGAAATTCTAACATTTACATTTCATTGTTCTTATAAATGAAGCTTCCATTCCAACAAAGAGACCTGCTAATCATGGCCTGGATGTACTCTATAAAGTCCCGACTCAGGTTTTCACACACAATTATTCCCTTGAGGAATGGACTATCCCTTTCTCTTTATTATCCAGATTCTGTCTGTGCATTATAAATGCATAATAATTTTTAAATAAATAACTACACTAAAATGTCAAAGACTATGTTGGTAGAACTCAATTATGAGAAATCATTCAAATGACCTTTCCACTCAAGCTTTGCCGACACTGCAGTTCAGCTAACATCCTTCAAGGAGATTGGTCTTGCTGCACACGGCTCTCTTGTCCACTTACTGAACAACTATCTGTAGGATAATTTTTTTTCTTGCTATAATTTGGCTTCAGGAGCTTGAGATAATCCATTTACGTTATTATAAAGGAATAAAAGAGTTATAATAAATTCCTTGAACACTTCTGTCCATTCATTGTTTGATTGAGACATAGGAATCCTAAGAATAAACTTTCTGCTCTCTCTATAATTAGAAATTTTCTGGTTTAATAACTTGATTAAATTACACAGACATCCATACTGTCAAATTAAAACTCTCACTAGAAAAGTGAGAATTTTGAGAGCATTTTAAATATACTCTACTCCAGATTCCTGTACCTTAGAGACAGCCTCACACTTGATTCTAGGTTAATTTGGGACCTCTGGGCAAAATGTTAAATATCAAAAATTTTAGCCGGGCGCGGTGGCTCACGCCTGTAATCCCAGCACTTTGGGAGGCCGAGGCGGGCGGATCACAAGGTCAGGAGATCGAGACCATCCTGGCTAACACAGTGAAACCCCGTCTCTACTAAAAATACAAAAAATGAGCGGGGCGTGGTGGCGGGCGCCTGTAGTCCCAGCTACTCGGGAGGCTGAGGCAGGAGAATGGCGTGAACCTGGGAGGCGGAGCTTGCGGTGAGCCGAGATGGCGCCACTGCACTCTGGCCTGGGCGACAGAGCGAGACTCCGTCTCAAAAAAAAAAAAAAAAGTCAAAAATTTTCTGGCATTGCCCATGTTATCAATTACCTAGGAACACGAAAGCTACTTTTGCAAACTTCTAAGCAATGTATATCACGTTTTTCTCCTTTGTAAGTACAATGATAGCATTCTTCTGCAGTGCTTTCAGACAATGTCTGTATCTACAAGCACAGAGAGATACAGGGAATTGAAAGCATAATGGTATTTAATTTGATTAATTACTTCATTATGGCCTTGGTTTTCTGTCTCCCTCTGTGAATGAAACATAGCCAAAGTAAAAATGTTCTGAAATATTCCAGGTATCGAATTACATGTAGGTGTTTTAAGGAAACATCTAAAATCCCCTGGATTATATCACCAAGTTAAGCCTTTACTAATGATGAATATTCACTGAAATCAGTTTGCATCTTCAAACTAATCCTATATCATTTTATTTCCTATTGAATCAAGTGGCAAAAAGTTTAGTTGCATTTTCTGCAATATGAAAACTGTACACTCCCAATCTCAGTGCAAGCTCGTCTCATCATGAGTTCACAATTCAGCCTACACATCTAGCTTTAAATGATCTGCAATTTGATTCTTAAATTTATAAATGTCAGATTTATGAATGGGACCTGAAGGAAAATGATGAGCAAGGTTTCAAAGTCTAGATGTAAAACACATGAAAATTTGTACACGGACAAAGTTACCTGCTCCTATTACACTACCTACCCTCTAGAGAGAGTTTAGACTAAAACGAAGGGAAAATACTACAATCCTCTTTTTTAGCTGTTAACTAGTAGACCTTCTGATCTGATATGATTTATTTCTGTCCTCACATGCAGTTGTATGTCAGGCCTGCTTTGAGCTGAGAAAGCTTCCAAGGTCTATAACAATTTGTTTTCAAATTGGCGTGTAACGGCTGGTGGATTATCATCATTGTGAGGATGGACCATGGGTCTTCTGTAGTGAGGCCACTTACTCAGCAATCAATACTCTTTCCTTCTTTCCCTGGCCCCTTCTCTGACACTGAGTCACATCAAGGCCCAAATTCCCATTTCTAGATAAGACTTTACAAGAAGGTGAAATGATGTTGATTAAGCCCACTTATAACTACAATATATATCTCCAATTTCAAATAAGATGAATGATCCACCAAACTTGTTCAGTTGTACTAGGAAAGCAACATCTCCACTCCCTTTACTGTTTTGATCCTAATGACCCAGGGGTTAAATACAGCTCTAATTGGAGTTTGATCACATTTAGTGCTTTGAGATAAACAGATGAAAATTTGAAACTGGTAAGTATATATTTAAGTGTGTGAAAGAAAAATCATCCCTGATTTAAAAACAAAAACTACGCAAACAAAATGAAATTGTCCATGTCAAAAAGTAAAATAGAAAATGGGGGGATTGCAAGCTAACAAAAAATATTTTTGCTTCATTTTAAGCTTTTTTTAAAAAGTTATCAAATAAATTACCATGATTTTAAGCTGGAATTCATGTATGGACTTGCAAGATCGTGAAGACTGTATTCCTAATTGCTATAAAAGCCCTAGCCCTGTTAAAGATGAGTCTATGTGATTAAACTTTAGAAAGACATGTTCTCAATGGCATCAAAAATAATGACTTTTTTACTGAAGGTTTTCAATTTACTTTGCCCAGATCCATCAGAGGAATCATTATCTAGGGCAGCTACAGGCTTATAACACGTAATTCTTTTTTCTTTTTGTCGTGTCTTTTCTTTTCTTCTTGAGATGGAGTCTCTCTCTGTCACCCAGGCTGGAGTACAGTGGCACGATCTCGGCTCACTGAAACTTCCTTCTCCCGGGTTCAAGCAATTCTCCTGCCTCAGCCTCTGGAGTAGCTGAGATTACAGGCAGGTGCCACCACGCCTGGCTACTTTTAATATTTTTAATAGAGATGGGGTTTCGCCATGTTGTCCAGGCTGGTCTCAAACTCCCAACCTCAAGCGATCTGCCTGCCTAAGCCTCCCAAAGTGCTGGGATAAAAGGTGTGAGCCATGTAATTCTTAAACAATAAGATTGGAAATCTAAATTAGTTCTTGATCCATGGGCTGTAGAATGAATGTTGTATTAACAGGCATAAAAACAACATTGATCTCATTGTACACCCCCATCAGAGCTCTCAGTGACAGGTGCCTTGTCAATGAGCAGTAATACTTTGAAAGAAATCCTTTTTTCTGAGCAGTCAGCTTAAACTATTTAGTAAAGCATATGGTAAGACAGATGTGCGGTCATAAAGGATTTGCTGTTCTAGTTATAGAGCATAGGCAGAGTAGATTAAGCATAAATCTTAAGACCCTAAGATTTTGAGAATAGCAAATGAGCACTGCCTTCAACTTAACCCCACCAGCTGCATTAGTCCCTAACAAAAGAGTCAGCCTGTCCTTTGATGCTTTAAAGTCAAGCATTGACTTGACTTCTCTTCTGTAGCTATGAAAGTCCTAGATGGCATCTTCTCCCAACCGAAAGCTCTTTAGTCTACATTGAAAATGTGTTGTTTAGTGTGGCCAACTTTATCAATGATCTCAGCCAGATCTTCTGGATAACTTGCTACAGCTTCTACACAAGTACTTGCTGCTTCACCTTGCACTTCTATGTTACAAAGATGGCTTCCTTCCTTAAGCCTCATGGACCAACAATCTCTGCTAGCGTCCAGCTTTTCTTCTGCAACTTTCTCACCTGTCTCAGCCTTCACAGAATTGAAGAGAGTTAGGATCTTGCTCTGGATTAGGCTTTGACTTCACGGACTGTTGTGGCTGCTGTGATCCATCTAGACCACTACAACTTTCTCCTTAGCAACAGCAAGCCTGTTTTACTTCCTTATCGTTCATGTGTCCACTAGGTTAGCACTTTTAACTTCCTTAAGGAACTTTTCCTTTGCATTCACAACTTGGCTAATTGTTTGGGACTAGAGGCCTTTTCAGCTTATCTTGGCTTTCGGCACGCCTTCCTCACTAAGCTTAACAATGTCCAGCTTTTAATTTAAAGTGGGAGATGTGCTTTCCTTTCACTTGAACGTGCAGAGGCACTGTAGGTTAGTAAGTGGTCAGTTTGATACTGTTGTGTCTAGGGGAACGGGAAGACCTAAGGACATACAGAGAAACAGGGGAACAGCTGGTCAGTGGAGCAGGCAGAACATGCACACTGTTTCTCGGTTACAGTTCACCATCTTAT
The DNA here is from genome assembly GCF_000001405.40 of Homo sapiens. NCBI lineage: Eukaryota > Metazoa > Chordata > Mammalia > Primates > Hominidae > Homo > Homo sapiens. The sequence goes on along the minus strand of NC_000004.12, from coordinate 189,003,392 downwards.
ACAGGCACAGTTCATGGTGCTCCAAAAGATTTATAGTAGTAACCTCAAACATTACTGATCATAGATCACTAAATCAGATGTAATAATAATGAAAAAGTTTGAAATATTGAGAGAATTACGAAAATGTGACAGAGACGGGAAGTGAGCAAATGTTGTTGGAAAAATGGTGCCAATCTACAGAACTGCTCAACTCAGAGTTGCCACAAACATTTAATTGGTAAAAATCACAGTATCTCTAAATGCAATAAAGCTAAGCACAATAAAGCAAGGTATGCCTGCATTTGAATGCTTTGGGAGGGAAAAAGCCTCTAGACAAACCTCAAAAAGACTATACATATAATTGAAAGTAAATTTCATAAGAAACATTTGCATACCCTTTAATATAAATACAAGATGCCAAAAATATTTCTAATTATGATTTCTATCTTAAAAATATTTCTAATTGTAATTTCTATCTTAAAAATATTTCTAATTATAATTTCTATCTTAAAAATATTTCTAATTATAATTTCTATCTTAAAAATATTTCTAATTATAATTTCTATCTGATACTGGAGTGTGTGGTTACAGAATGAAATACCATTTTGAACCAGGAAAACTTACTTCTGGTTTTAAAATATTTCAGAGCCAAGGGAAGCAGTGAGTGAATGTGCGACCCTGGGAAACCACGCCTCTTCCACGGAACTTTGCACCCGTCGGATCAGGAGAGCCCTTGAGAGCCCACCTCCAGGGCCTTGGGTCTGACGCACAGACCTGTGTGGAGTCTGGACAGAGCAGCTGCTCGGGAATGCACAGAGACCCAGGAGCTTTCCATACTCTAGCCCTGGGCTCCCTGACGAAGGCGATGGAACTCAAACAAGGCGGAAGGTCCATACATACCCCTAGAAAGGGAGCTGAATCCAGGGGGCTGAGTGGCATCAGTACGCAGGCCCCACTTCCACAGCACCTCACAAAATAAGACCCCCTGGCGTGGAATTCCAGCCAGCCACTGGCACCAGGGTGGAGCTTGCCTGAGACAGGACGGAGCCCTGGAGGAGAGGGGCAGGCGGTCATCTTTGCTGTTTGGATAACTGAGCTGTTCCAGCCTGCTGGCTTTGGAGAGTCCAAACAGTCTGCACCAGGAAGGGTCACCCCAACGCAGCACAGCGGCTTTGCCAGCTTGTGGCCAGGCTGCTTCTTTAAGTGGGACGCTGACCTACTTACTCCTCCCTGTGGGGTAGGCCCTCCCAGCCAGGGCCTCTGGCCACCCCCACTGGTGTTCTGGGGACGGAGTTCTGATTTCTCCCTGGGAGGCCGTGCCCAGCGGGAGGGGCGTGCCGCCATCTTTGCTGTTTGGAAAACGGCCATTCCAGCCTGCGAGCTTTGGAGAGACCAAGCCCCCTGAGGCAGAGGCCGCGCCTCAGCATGTTACAGCTGTTTTGTTGAGGTGTGGTGAGGTTGCTTCTTTAAATGCGACCCTGATACATTCCTCCTCCCTGGGCAGGTCCTTCCCTCTGGAGCCTCCAGCCACCCCTGCCTGTGTTCTGTTGCGGAAAGACTTCTAATTTCTCCTTGGGGCAGAGTGCCTGCGGAGTGGGGCGGGCCGCCGCCTTGGCTGTTTGTGAAGCGGCATCGTTGTCTGGGGTAAATATCTGAGGTTCATTGCCTTATGCCAATGAAATCAAGGACAGGGGCACACATGGAGTGAGGGTAAGAGCAGAGGTTTAATAGGCAAAAGAAAGAGAAAGGAGAACAGCTCTCTGTCCCCTGAGAGTGAGGGGTGTAGGAGTGGGACCTCCAGCCCACGGTGGAGTGCACAGGGTTTTATAGACAGGCTTGAGGAGGCGGGGTCAGATTTACATACGGCCCAAAGATTGGTTGGACCAGGTCTGATATTTACATAGTGTGCGAGGAAGCTGGTGGCCCCACCCTAATCTTTTATTATGCAAATGGAGTCTCTACATGGCTGGTGCTATGTTGCCTGCTCCTTACTGTGCACATGGTTGACCAAAAAAGGGGAAGATGGAGCTGTGATGTCAGACATGTCCAGCCCACAGCCAGCCTTTTCCTGTTGGCACAGCTGCCAGCATTCACCTGTGCAAGTTTCCAGCTTGCTTGTCTATGTATGTAGCTTGATTTTACACGCTGCTCTTTGTTAGAAAAGAAAATGATATGAGTCTGCTTTTCAGTAAAAGGAATGCTTTACTGAACACTTCTTTATCCTCACTGTCTGCGTAAATAATTTCTTCTTAACTTGTATATCATTTGGGCGTCTTAGCCAGGCCAGCCTATGGGCCTTGGAAAGCCCAAAGCAATTGAAGGCTAAAAAGATCCCAACACAGCACAGCTGCTCTACCAAAACATAGCCAGACTGCTTCTTTGAGTGGGTCCCTGATCCTATTCCTCCAATCTGACTGAGACCTCCCAACCAGGGTTTCCAGCCACCTCTTACAGGTGCATTCAGGGGCAACAGGTCAATACCCTACAGGGATGGAGCTTCCAGAGGAAGGAGCAGGCTGCCATGTTTGCTGTTTTGCAGGCTTTGCTGGTGATACCTCCAAGTACTGAAAAAATGGAGGTTACTAGGGCCTGGAGCAGACCACCAGCAAACTACAGTAGCCTTATGGAAGAGTGGCCAGACTATTCAAAGAAAAACAAACAAACAACAAAAACCCCATCCAAAGGTCAGCAACCTCAAAGATTGAAGGTAGATAAGCCCACAAAGGTGAGAAAGAATCAGCGCAAAAATGCTGAAAACTCAAATATCCAGAGTGCCCCCTTTTTTCCAAATGACCGCAACACCTCTCTAGCAAGGGTTCAGAACTGGGCTGAGGCTGAGATGACTGAAATAATAGAAGTAATCTTCAGAATGTAGATAAAAGCAAACTTTGCTGAGCTAAAGGAGCACATTGTAACACAATGCAAGGAAGGTAAGAATCATGATAAAACAATGCAGCTGATAGCCAAATAACCACTATAGAGAGAAACATAACCGACCTGAGAGTTGAAAAACACATGGCAAGAACTTCACAATGCAATCACATGTAATAACAGAAGAGACGAGATGGAGAAAAGAATCTCAGAACATGAAAACTGTCTTTCTGAAATAAGACAAGCAGACCAGAATAGAAAAAAAAATGAAAAGAACAAAACCTCCAAGAAATATGGGATTATGTTAAGAGACCCAGACTATGACTGATTGGCATACCTGAAAGAGACGGGGAGAATGGAATCAATTTGAAAAAAATATTTCAGTATATCATCCAGAGAAATTCCTCAACCTAGCAAGACAGGCCAACATTCAAATTCAGGAAATGCAGAGAACCCCATTAAGATAACCCACGAACAGATCATCCCCAAGACACATAATCATCAGATTCTTCAAGGTCAAAATGATAGAAAAAATGTTAAGGGCAGCCAGAGAAAAAGGCCAGGTCACCTGCAAAGGGAAGACCATCAGACTAACAGTGAACCTCTCAGTGGGAACTCTACAAGCCAGAAGAGACTGTGGGCCAATATTCAACATTTCTAAATAAAAGAATGTCCAACCCAGAATTTCATATTAGGCCAAACTGAGCTTCATAAGAGAAGGAAAAGTAAGATCCTTTTCAGACAAGCAAATGCTGAGGGAATTCATTACCACCAGACCTTCCGTACAGGACCTCCTGAAAAAAAAAAAGTGCTAAATGTGGAAAAGAAAAACTATTACCAACCACTACAAAAACACACTTAAGTACACAGAACAGTGACACTATAAAGAAACCACATAAACAAGACTGTGAAATGACCAGCTAGCATCATGATGACAAGATGAAATCCACACATAACAATACTAATGTTAAATGTAAATAAGTTAAATGCCCCCATTAAAAGACACAGAATGGCAAGCTGGATAAAAAACCAAGACCCATTGGTATACTGTCTTCAAGAGACTCATACACAAGACACACATAGGCTCAAAATAAAGGGATGGAGGAAAATTTACCAAACAAATGGAAAACAAACAAACAAAAAACGGGTTGGAATCCTTTGTTGGTTTAAAAAAGACTTCAAATCAACAAAGATCAAAAAAGACAAAGAAGGGCATTACATAATGGTAAAGTTTTCAATTCAATAAGAAAAGCTAGGCTGGGTGCAGTGGCTCACACCTGTAATCTCAGTACTTTGGGAGGCAGAGGCAGGCAGATCAGTTGAGGTCAGGAGTTCAAGATCAGCCTGGCCAACATGGCAAAACCCTGTCTCTATTAATAATACAAAAACTGATCAAGCGTGGTGGCACACACCTATAATCCCAGCTACTTGGGAGGCTGAGGCAGGAGAATAACTTAAACCTGGGAGGCAGAGGTTACAGTGAGCTGAGATTGCACCAGTGTACTCCAGTCTAGGCAACAGAATGAAACTGTGTCTCAAAGGTTGGTTCAACATTTGCCAATCAATAAAAGTGATTCATCACATAAACAGAACTAGAGACAAAAACCACGTGATTTTCTCAATAGATGCAGAAAAGCTGTTTGATAAAATTCAACATTCCTTCATGTTAAAAACTCTCAATAAAATAGGTATTGAAGGAACATACCTCAAAATAATAAGAGCCACATATGACAAATCCATAGCCCATATCATACTGAATGAACAAAAGCTGGAAACATTTCTTTTGAAAACCAGCACAAGATAAGGATGCCCCCTCTCACCACTCCTATTTGACATAGTATGGGAAGTTGTGGCCAGGGCAATCAGGCAAGAGAAAGAAATAAAGAGTATTGAAATAGGAAGAGATGAAGTCAAACTATCTTTCTTTGCAGAAGACATGATCCTGTATCTAAAAAACAACATCTTCTCAGCCCAAAATCTTCTTGAGCTGATAAGCAACTTCAGAAAACTCTCAGGATACAAAATCAATGTGCAAAAATCACTGGCAGTCCTATACACCAACAACAGGCAAGCCGCATGCCAAATCATGAATAAACTCCCAAACACAATTGCCAAATAAAATAAAATACCTAGGAAGACAGCTAACAAGAAGAGTGAAGGACCTCTTCAAGGAAAACTGAAAAATCACTGCTCAAGGAATCGGAGATGACACATACAAATGGAAAAACATTCCATGCTCATGGATAGGGAGAATCAATATTGTGAAGATGAGCATACTGCCCAAAGCAATGTATAGATTCAATGCTATTTTCATTCAACTATCATTGATAATATTCATTGAGTTATAAATAAAAAAACTATTTTAAAATGTACATGAAACCAAAAAAAGATCCTGAATAGCCAAGGCAATCCTAGACAAAAAATACAAAGCTGGAGGCATCACACTACCTGACTTCAAGCTATACTACGGGGCTACAGTAACTACAACAGCATGGTACTGGTACAAGAACAGGCTTGTAGACCAATGGAACATAACAGAGAATTCAGAAATAAGACCACATAACTACAGCCATCTGATCTTCAACAAACCTGACAAAAACAAGCAATGGGGAAAGAATTCCCTATTCAATAAGTAGTACTGGGAGAACTGGCTAGCTATCTGCAGAAAATTGAAAGTGGACTCCTTCCTTACAGCATATAGAAAAATCAACTCAAGATGGAGTAAAGACTTAAATATAAAACCCAAAATGATAAAAACCATAGAAGAAAACCTAGGCAATACCATTCAGGATGTAGGCACGAGCAAAGATTTCATTATGAAGACACCAAAAGCAATTTTGACAAAAGCAAAAATTGACAAATGGAATCTAATTAAACTAAAGAGTTTCTGCACAGCAAAAGAAACTATCAGCAGAGTGAACAGACAACCTACAGAATTGGAGAAAATTTTTGCAATCTATCCATCTGAGAAGAGTCTAATAACCAGCATCCATAAGGAACTTAAACAAATTTACAAGAAAAAACAGGCCGGGCACAGTGGCTCACGCCTGTAATCCCAGCACTTTGGGAGGCCAAGGCGGGCGGATCACCAGGTCAGGAGATTGAGGCCATCTTGGCTAACACGGTGAAACACCGTCTCTACTAAAAACACAAAAAATTAGCTGGGCGTAGTGGCGGGTGCCTGTAGTCCCAGCTACTCAGGAGGCTGAGGCAGGAGAATGGCGTGAACCCAGGAGGCAGAGCTTGCAGTGAGCCGAGATCGTGCCACTGCACTCCAGCCTGGGCGACAGAGCAAGACTCTGTCTCAAAAAAACAAAAAAAAAAAACAAAAAAAAAACACCATTAAAAAGTAGGCAAAAAGCATGCACAGACACTTCTCAAAAAATACCTACATACAGCCAAAAAACATGAAAAAAGCTCAACATCACTGATTATTAGAGAAATGCAAACCGAAACCACAATGAAATACCATCTAACACCAGTCAGAATGGTTATTACTAAAAAGTCAAAAAACAACAGATGCTGACGAGGTTGTAGAGAAAAAGGAACACTTTTATACTGTTGGTGGGAGTGTAAATTAGTTCAACCATTGTGGAAGACAGTGTAGCGATTCCTCAAAGACCTAGAGGCAGAAATACCATGGGACTCAGCAATCCTATTACTGGGCATATATTCTAAGGAATATAAATTGTACTATTATAAAGACATATTCATGCGTATGTTCATTGCAGCACTATTTACAATAGCAAAGACATGGAATCAACCCAAATGCCCATCAATGATAAAGCTAGATAAGGAAAATGTGGTACATATACACCATGGGACACTATGCAGATTTAAAAAGGAACTAGATCATGTCCATTGCAGGGCCATGGATGGAGCTGGTGGTCATTTTCCTTAGGAAACTAACACAGGAACAAAAAAACAAATACCGCATGTGCTCACTTGTAAGTGGGAGCTGAATGATGAGAACACATGGACACATGGTGGCAGGGTGCAACACACACTGGGACCTGTCGGGGGCAGTTGGAAGAGGGAGAAGATTAGGAAGAATAGCCAATGGATGCTGGGCTTTTACCCAGGTGATGAGATGATCTGTGCAGCAAATCACCATGGCACACTTTTGCCTATAAAACAAACCTGCACATCCTGCACGCGTACCCCTGAATGTCAAATAAAGACAGTAAATTGTGCCATGCATGTGTGTATGTGTGCATATTTATATTTATCCCACATTCCTCGGAAGTCCACAGTGTGCCAAGGGTTAACAATAATTACTCATTAATTTTTTTAGTATACATTTTTATAAATACTTCAAACTTCTTTAATATGCTTTTGCAAAAATATGGATTAATATAATAAAATACAAAAGTATATTAATAAAAACTGATATTACCCTCAAAAAATATTTCAAGAAATTCATATTAGTATTTATGCAGTTGTGATGTAACATTTGTACTTGTAAAATGCTATGTAGATAAAATAATATGAGCCCTTATTGCAGTTTTCTTGAAATAACAGTACAACGAATATAATCTTCTAAAAACAGCAACAACAACAATTTCTTCATTTTCACCCATGCATGCCTAAAATAGTTCACTAGTTATGGATTAGGAAGAAGTTACCTCCAGAACTGAGTGTATTCTCTTTAGGAGAAGTTACCTCTAGAGCTGAGTGTATTCTCTTTCTACAGTGAATGAAAAAATTCTACTCAGTTTTGCCGTAGAAAAAGTCAAGCTATAACTCACACACTTTAATAGAAGTGAAAGAGACAATGTTCACTTAAGGTAGTATTTTCATAATGGCTTGATTAGAATAATTTTCTACAATAATTTCAAGTCCCCCTTTTCAAATCTAACATATTTGTAATTTCACAATTACTGATATGTGTGCATGTTTCTTCCCCTACTGCATCTCCACTGTCCTGCTTCCATGATATGCGTCTTCGTTTGGCTTGCTTCCCTCCTTTGTCGCGTGTTAAGTGGATCGGAGAGAGGCACCTGTTGGACCTTTGTCCTTCTGCTTCTGCTCCTCTCATACTTCAGACACAGTCGGGCCATGAAGGCTTTAGGCGAAGCCTCCAGAGTGAGGAGCATCCTGCTTCTCTTTCCTTGTGAAAGTGAGTGGGTGTACATTATAAATGAGCAAATAATTGGTACAAAATAGGAAAAAAATCCAACTGAATAAACACAGCTGTAGACACATACCTTTATTTGAAGAGGTGAACAAAATGCGGCAGAATCAAAGTGGGAGCTAGAATATATGTGACATCTAAATTGTATCAACACCATCAAGCCCCTCAAAACCTAAATCCCACACTTACTAGCTAAACAACCTTTGATGAGTCTTTGAATAACTTTTGAGTCTTATTTGGTTTATTTATAAAATAAGAAAATAGACCCTGTATGAACATGAAATAATGTGTTGCATGTAAAAATACCTGGTACGTGATGGGCAACATTATTTTGAACTTCATAGGCTACTGAGAACAAAGCTACTTAGACATTCAATAATATGAATAAAAGAAAAGATAATTATAAACAATTATGTGGGCGCTGAGTACATATATTCAGTTCTTCTACAAATATTTACTATGTGGAAGGCTTTTCTCATTCTAAGGACACAGCAGTGAACAAAACAGTAAAATACGTACCTTCACAGAGCTTACCGTCTAGCAATAATAACTCCTGTCATATGTGATACATGGTTAAAATGTTTTCAGCACATATTTCTTAAGTAGCTAATTTATGATATCGTTACCAAAACACTAGGGGTTCAGTCCAGGTCCTACTGCTCACTGCACAGAACCGCAGTCATTGAGAAGAGTTTTGCCAAAGAAGAAGGCTTTAATTGGATGCACCAGCCCAGGAGATGGGGGCTCAGTTTCAAATCCATCTCCCTGAGGGACTAAAACTAGGGGTTTATATAGCAGAGAAGAAATGTAACTGTGTAGGAAAACAGGAACCCGGGAGGGGCGAGGAAGGGATCCTGGTGAATGAGGGGTGGCATCCCATTGTCTGGTGTGGTGATCTGGTTTCAGTTATTTGATACTTTTTTGGAGCAGCCTGTAGGTCATTTCCTGAGAAAGAAACTCAGATACAACCAATGTAAGCGTTAAGCTTTAAGACCCAGAATGGCCAATTTCTATGTTTATCAGAAAGAACTCTTTATAGGACTATTAGTTGGGTTTCAGTGTGGTTTGTAGCCTTGCTTATTGTCTGAGTGGTTCCATGAACAACGTCCCCACCAAATCTCTCAGATTGGACTGTCACCCTGATTATTCTCTCATAAGTAGCTATTGACAGCGAAATTCGAGTTAATTTAAGAACAATTTCACTCAGCAGTATTCTCTGAGAGTAAGAGTGGTGGTCGATCTGTTTTCTAAGAATGTGGCAACGGACTTCCAGCACTTACTAATCCAGGCTAAGAGCAGGTGGTTGCAATCTGCAGCAGTTTTACTTAGCTGCTTTTCTTCATTTTGCAAGCTTTGCTTTCTCAAGTTCAATGACACTGCACCTGAGAACTCATCAGTATGTAAAGACAGGCACGCCTGCCTACAGTAAACATGAATCTCTCTTAAAAAAAAAATTAAGAACACCACGAGACAGCACTTTCTTTTGTAGGATTTGTCACTCATCATTTCAAGGATTGTGTTTTTCTGGGGATGAAGCTTGTTTTGTTTTGTTTTTAAATTTGTCATTGATCCAAACTGTGAAGATGCACAGGTGTGAGGATTTAAATGGCTGTGATTGACCTGCCCACCGACAGGGAATTCTAATGAGGAAATTAAGGTTGTTGTCGGTGTGTGCCAGCTTGATTGTACTATCCAACATTAACTCATGATCTCCAAGATGCTTAGCATGCCACAAGGCGATCCTTCCCATTTTTCTCTAAAACCTTCTGGTAAATCATATTATGCACGTAACTAACAATAGCATACCTAGACCGGGCAACGTCATGGATTTATTTTAATTTTTTTGAAAAACAGGTTGTCAGACAAGCTTGAGTCAGTCCCAGTTAACACCATCCACAAGGCATCCACGTTCTGTAATCCCCAGGCACCTCTTTCTGACCAGTGAAGGGGCAATGTTCATTTAAGGCAATCTTTCCGTAATGGTTTGATTACAATAATTTTCCACAATAATTTCAAATCTAACCAGTTTGTAATTTCACAATTATTGAGGAGGCAGGTATGGAAAAAAACAACTTAGAAGATCTTCTTGAAGACCACAAATAAACTCTAGATACATGTGAACATACCTCGTGGGAAATGAGAACTGGCTAAGCCATGAGAGGCAATGGGTTACAATGGTGAAAGCAAAGGGCCTTTTTGATCCCAAGCACATACAGTCAAGTGCAGTGTGGGAGTGGGTGAGGATGGGGAGAGGCGTAATAGGTATGATCGTAGGAGAGAAATTATGACTTACACTTGGGAAAGGGCTGGTGGAGAAGCTGAAAGAGATAAGCTGTGGATGACAAGAGTTAATGGTTGAGATTATGTGATCTGTTACTTCCAATGACGATCTGATAATAATGGCTGTCCTACCATCCCCAGAAAAGTAAATAAATAGGAAAGATAATAACTTATGCAAGCCAGAATGTGGCATAGCTATACTGCACCTCAGAGCTGAGTAATTTCCAAAACATAATTCTGCTATCCTCAGAAGAAGTGACTCACAATTTGAAACTCCAAGAGAAATTATGTCACTAAAATCATTGGAAATTTTAAGAATATATACATAGAATTTTTTATCCTTAGGTAATTCTTTCATATTTGCTAAGTCCTTCCAAGTCTTTCTGACTAGTGATCTCTTTATCTGTCTAGCCAAGTGGGTGCTCATGGAAAGCTAAATTTATGAAGATTTAAATAAATTTTTTTAAAAATCCCACTTTGCTTTCCAAATATTTTATTTTCACAGATGAAATCTTTCTAAAAAAATTAACATTCATAAATCAGAGCTTAATGAACTGGTTTAAACAATCTATTTTCAGTAAATAACAGATGGTCAAAGAATAACAGGTACTTACACATTCTTCTTTCCACAATGGCTGTACGTGAAGCATATTCACCTCTTCAAACAAAATTCAACGTTCACGGCTACTTGTTCTTTTCAACTCCTGTGACCCTGAATTTTACAAGAACTGCTCTTGTCCTTACACGTGGTTTTTCTCCGAAAGGGAGGGTTTTTTAAAATAAATAATCATTGATTTTTTTCTTTTCTTTTTTATTTTTATTTTTTATTTTTTTGAAACAGAGTCTCACTCTGTCATCCAGGCTGGAGTACAGTAGTGTGATCTGGGCTCTCTGCAAGCTCCGCCTCCGGGGTTCAGGCGATTCTCCTGCCTCAGCCTCCTGAGTAGCTGGGACTACAGGTGCCCGCCACCACGCCCGGCTAACTTTTTGTATTTTTAGTTGAGACAGGATTTCATCATGTTGGTCAGGCTGGTCTCAAACTCTTCACCTTGTGATCCGCCCACCTCGGCCTCCCAAAGTGCTGGGATTACAAGTGTGAGCCACTGTGCCCGGCCTCATTGATTTTTTTAGTAGTGTTAACAAATGAAATCTAGATTAATTATGTTCATAATTTTTTTGTTTCCTTGGAAACAAAACCATCTCACATAAAACCAATCAGTAGTAAGTTATCTTTAAATTCGCAACCACAAAGCAAGAAAAATCCATAATTTTAAAACTTCACAAGTAGGAATGATTCAGTTTTTAATGCTTTTAAGTCATTACTTATTAAAATGCTAAAATTTGAGTTTTTGGTCAAATCTGCCTGTTGACTTTGATGTACAGAGTATTGACTTGATGTAGTTACATCTAATGTTTGCTCTTAGAAAAGACAAACCCTCAGCCATTGACACAAGGTAAAGCCAATTCTTATGTCGTTCAGATGATGATTGCAGGGTCGGGTTTGTTGGACTGTTGTTTCAGTGCCAGATGAATGGGTCATTTGCTGCCTGAGAATTAGGACACCTTTAATAATGCAATTATAGCAGCTGTATTTTGTGATAATCCATTTTTCAGTAATATATTCAAACATTTGAATATACAAAACATAAAGTCAAAGTCCATGCTTTTTTGGCTTCATCTAATATTGTTATTCACATCAATATAAAAATTCCTAGCTAAAATAAAAAACACATTGTTTGAAAATTTTTTAAATATAACTTTCTTTTGTTTATATAATTTATATTTTATATGTAATATTTTAATATGTCTATATCTTATATATAATTTACATTTTACCATTACTGTTCCAATGCTATTTTTCACATTATTCTTAGTAATGTTTTAGTGAGTGATTAGCTATTAGTTGAATGTCTATTTATGTATGTGGAAATTATATTTTAAGAAGTTAATGTGGCTATGTGTAAAAAGTGGAGACTAGTTCTTTGTTATCAATAAGCAATATAGCATTTTACTTATTTTGCATATTATATGAAGGACATTGTATGAAGACAATATAACTAAATTTGTTTTTTAGGTATGATTTAATACACTTTACCGACCTGAATTCATTGGATATATGTAAAAATGAAGGAATGCACGTTATTCTGCTTGATGCTCTGCAGAGAGGAGCTGCCTGAGAGGTTGCACCTGCAGTCCTGGATGCACTGGCCCCAGGGGTGGTTGGTGCTGACTCCACATTTGTCTAATAAGATGTCCAGATACAAAAATGTCTGTGATGTGGGAACCGTTACAGATCTAGGAGAGTTTTTTCAACAGCAAAAAAAGCAAAGCCTGTTTCTGTCAAAGTCTTTTATTTTATTTTTGAATTTGACCTTTTAAAATAAGATTAAAACATTCCATCAAGACTCCCTTTAGAATTGACCCATAGGATTTTTTTTTCTTGACGATTCCAACTTTACTGATTTTCTAAGATTATTTTCTCTAATCTCTATGTGAGTCAGATAATGTGAGTGAAGAACGGATGAGACAATTATAAGATTAAATCAGAAAAAACAAACCATAATTCAGAAGATGCACAATGGCTTTAATAAATAAGTTTACAATTTCATGCCTCCAATCCTAAATTCTCTGTTTATGAGATATGAAGAGATTTAAATTTTCAAATGAAAATCTAAAATTGGGCCAGGCGTGGTGGCTCACGCCTGTAATCCCAGAACTTTGGGAGGCCAAGGCAGGCAGATCACAACATCAGGAGTTTGAGACCAGCCTGACCAACGTGGTGAAACCCCATTTCTACTAAAAATACAAAATTAGCCAGGCATGGTGGTGCGCACCTGTAATCCCAGCTACTGGGGAGGCTAAGGCAGGAGAATCGCTTGAACCTGGAGACAGAGGTTACAGTGAGCCGAAATGGTGCCACTGCAATCCAGTCTGGGCAACAGAGTGAGACTCCATCTCAAAAAAAAAAAAAACAAGAAAATAAAATCCAAAATTGAATTTGCAAATCTGTATTTTAATAAAATACTCTCATTTTTTTGAGAGGTATGATGGAAAAGTTAATTTATTAATTTATTTATTATTTGTTTTTAAATTTGCTTTTAAGCCTCACATCAACATCACCTCTCCACTGACTAAGTTTTTTAAACATAAACATAAAAGATATAAAATATTCTTAAAAATGTGAATGCTTTTATAACTGTATGAAAGGTAACTATATCAAAATTGGAAATATGGTGAATGATAAATTATTATTTGTGTCATTTTATTTTTGTTTTGATTAGATCTCACATATTTCATTATCACTTGTAATTTTAATTTTAATGGCACTTTTTAAATGTATGACTTTACACAGTGTGGCAGAAAGAGATTTTGATAATTGTTCAGTCAATCTGGGTTTTAGTTCTGATTCTAATTGTAACTAGATGTCTAATTTTGAGTGTATGTCTTTAACTTTCTTGACACTTAGCTTAGTCATCTGCTAAATACAGGCTTGGACCAAGTCCACGTTTGTGCATAATTTTTATTCTACCTTGAAATGCATGATGAATGATATTGCCCTGTGGGTTACACGCCCAGGTGGTTCCTAAGAACATACTGGAGCCCTAGGTAATTATTAACGTTATGATCATTTGCAAGTTAGTTAGTATCTCTGACCTCTGAATTTGCTCACCAGGAAAGAGGATAATATTAATAAGTCCAATAAGAAAGGCATGGAATGAGAACAGGGTTTGCCATTAGAAATATTTATCAAATGCTAGTTATTATAATATTAGGCCAAATCTTATAGAGTTATACTATGTTAGTGAATACTTATTATATATAGTTATTACTATTGTCATTATTATTATCAAAGGTAGCTTCACTAATTTCTTCCTCATCAAAAAAGCACATTGGGCCAGGTGTGGTGGCTCACGCCTGTAACCCTTGCACTTTGGGAGGCTAAGGCAGGTGGATTGCTGGAGCTCAGGAGCTGGAGACCAGCCAGGGCAACAAGGTGAAACCCCATCTCTACTAAAATACAAAAAATTATCCGGGCGTGGTGGCGGGTGCCTGTAATCTCGGCTACTCAGGAGGCTGATATAGGAGAATCCCTTGGACCTGGGAGGCAGCGGTTACAGTGAACCGAGATCGTGCCACTGCACTCCATCCAGCCTGGGCAACAGAGTGAGACCCTGTCTCAAAAAATAATAATAATGCACATTGGAGTACAGTATATTATAGTAATAATTTTGTATCTTTCATCACTTAGTAATGAAATCAATTACATGAACATCTGTGCTATTTATGCCACATAGGTTAAGAAACAATGAAATAAATGATTGGAAAATATCCTTTGTGCATCATAGTTATTTGTTCTAGAACATTCCTTTATTAGTTGACTGGGGTTGTCATAATAAAACATACCACAGACTGGGTGGGGTGGTTTAAACAATGGACACTCTCACGGTTCTGAAGGCTGGGAGTCCAAGATCCAGGCACCACTGGCATTGGTTTCCCCTGAGATCGCTCCCCTTGGCTTGCAGATGGCCGCCTTTTCATTGTGTCCTCACGGGGCATTTTCTCTATGTGCACAATCATTTCTAGTGTCTCTCTTCTTATAAGGACACCAGTCCTACTGAATTATGGCTCCACACTTGTGGACTCACTTAACATAATGACCTCTGTAAAGGCCTGTCTTCAAATTCACCCACGTTGGCGATTCGGGCTTTAAGGTATAAAGTGGAGGGGATACGATTCAGTCCATAACAATCCCATAGGGGCACACCTTCCTGAATCAGCACCGCAGAATCATCAGAACATTCTCTGGGGTATATGAGCTCTATGTAATGGCTTGTCTGATCATGCAAGGAACCAAGCTCTAAGCCCTCAGAACAGGTAAAATAACGCGCATAATTTAATCACTGTGTGTATAAATGCCCTTCAAGTACATTTGGAAATGATTTCAGAAAAATACTCGACATGGTGTGGTCCAGGCTACATTTCCATAGGAATGACCAAACACAGATTCTGCCATAAAACACTCCAGATGCCAAATAAATTACAACTACGAACATGAAAATGTATTATTGAGTCCACAAGAAAGTGACAGAAGGTCCCAAAAGGTCGCTATACCAGCTAGCTCAGGGTCCAGGGGAGAATAAGGGGAAATATTTCTGCTCATGGAGGGGCAGAAGCAGTTTCCGAGGTATTTTATCCTTGTAATTAAGTACTGTTGTCATATGCAAACATAAATATATGACATTAAGTAGAACCAACCTCCTAGTCAAACAATTATATAATTTGGCATATTGTGTTCTACTATGAAAAACATCTTTGATCTGTCTGTAAAGTAGGTTAAATTTAAAATCTAAATATTTAACTATTGGAGTGAATCTTTTTATTTCAGTAGCCCAAATTATTCTATATATTTCGTTTATCCTATTGTTTGTATTATTAGAAAGTTCTAATTTTTGGCCAGGCACGGTGGCTCACACCTATAATTCTAGCACTTTAGGAGGCCAAGTTGGGTGGATTGCCTGAGTTCAGGAGTCTGAGACTAGCCTGGGCAACATGGTAAAACCCTGTCTCTACTAAAATACAAAAAATTAGCCGGATGTGGTGGCAGGTACATGTAATCCCAGCTACTCGGGAGGCTGAGCTGCGAGAATTGCTAGAACCCACGAGGCAGACATTGCAGTGAGCCAAGACTGCACCACTGCACTCCAGCCTGGGCGACAGAGCGAGACTCCATCTCTAAAAAAAAAAAAAGTTCTCATTTTTCAGACTCACCAAATTTCATTGGAAATATAACATTAAAAACAAAACTTCAAGGCAAGAAATAGTAGCTCAGGCTTGTAATCTCAATGCTTGGAGAGTCTCAGGCATGAAGATTGCTTGAGGCCAGGAATTTTGAGACTAGCCTGGGCAACATAGCAAAACCCCATCTCTAAAACAAACAAACAAAATACCCAGGTGTGTGATGCACACCTGTAGTCCTATAGCTACTTGGGCAGCTGAGGTGGGAGGATCCCTTGAGCCCAGCATTTCAAGGTTGCAGTGAGCTATGATCACACTGCTCTCCAACTGGGTGACAAAGGAAGACCCCATATCTGAAAAAAAAAGTACAAATTTTTCTGGTTCATCAAACTTCATCAGAAATATAACATTAAAAAGGAAACTCCAAACTTCCAGGGTTTGCTTCTGCAAGCAGTATTGTAAAAGAAATACTCTGACTTTGTATTACCTCATTATTCCTTCACCACAAATCAAGTAATCAATGCAGGCAGTAGATGGGCCACACTCGTTGACTGAAAGCCAGATAAACACCCTACTTGTGCAATGTAAAAAAAAAAAAAAAAAGTTGCATTCTAGAAAGTTAAAGATTTTAGAAGGCCAAACTTTGAATGGAATTAGACCAATGCTCAGATAGAGAATACAAAATGCGGACACCATAACCATTAAAGTCAAAGTAAGCCAGGATTTATTTGCATTTTTTAATGGGCATGCAGAGGGAGGCAGGTGATATTACACTGTTTACATCAAACCACATGTGCTGAATGAGCTAAAAGAAACAGTGGGATTATCTGTGTGTCAGCATTCTAATCCCATCCGGTCTGTCAGCACTATAATTTCCAACCTATCACTTAGTTTAAAATACAGTAGGGGAGAGCCTCAATGTTTGTTTTTTCTGATGAGCCAGATGACTCACAGCAGACAGAAATGGAACGCTTCAGAAAATGAGGGAGTTTTGAAAATTACAGTGGTTTTGTTCACAGCTGTATATATTTATTTTTTCTGTAAAGCAGGTACACAGTGAATCATGTTTCCTGGGGCCCAAATTCCTCAAACAGTAATTTTCTTCTCTTCTCTGGTTGCCTGAAACCAGGAAGCTTTCAAGTTTGCCTAACTCAAGTGAAATAACTTTGTAAACTTTGTAACTTTGTAAATGAGACAATCTTGGTTAACTGTTACTGTTTGATTAAAATTTTCCAATGCAGCAAAAGACACGTGCTTCACGACATCCTTGTTTTCAGGCCCTTATATAACATTTCTTAATTGTTTGTATTATTTACTATAAGAAATAATATTCCTTATACTATTTAATATAAATTTAATTGTATTATATATATAATTTCTCCAATATTATATAAGGACACAAACACAAGGACAAAACTAGGTACATGCGTAAATTACTTCAGAAAGCACCTGAGGGCCCTAGGATATAGATTTATTTTGCCATCAGAATGGCAAGGTAGATACTCTGAAACCCCTTTCTGGCATCAAACATATAGATGCTGGACGCATTACAATCATAAATCTTAAATGCATTGCTGAGTTTACAGGAAGGTAAGGGACATCCCTAAGGGCCTCCTACTCTGTTTCCCCCACACCCCAAAAGAGGAAGCTGACCCCAGAGTGGCAAATAAATGCAGAGATCGGGGCTGTCCTGGATGCAAATGCCTTTGGCAGGAGCAGAGAGCTTTGATAGAAATGAGACACTGGAACTTTGCCCTGGCAGATGGGAGACTGCTCAATCTCTGAATGCTGCATAAATTCAGGACACCTAATGGTGCCCTGACCTCAGTAACAGTTGATAGGCTGAAAATTGTCCTCTAAATCAGGGGTCCCCAGCCCCTGGGCTGCTGACCAGTTCCCTCTGGGGTCTGTTAGGAACCGGACGCCCAGTAGGAGTGAGTGTCAGGCAAGCGAGCATTACTGCCTGAGCTCCAGTCAGATCAGCGGCAGCATTAGATTCTCATAGGAGCGTGAACCCTATTGTGAACTGTGCCTATGAGGGATCTGGGTTACGTGCTCCTTATGAAAATCTAATTAATGCCTGATGATCTGAGGTGGGACAGTTTCATCCTGAAAACCGTCCCCCATTGAAAAGTTGTCTTCCGTAAAACCAGTTCCTTTTACAAAAACGGTTGGGGACCACTGCTCTACATGGTATGAACCCAGAAAACAGTTTGCCTTTGTACATTCCATGTGATTTCTAAAAATAATATTAATTTTTCCTCTGAAAATTGGTAGGCCTTTCCTCATATAGTCTGGGGTTTGAATTTACATTCCGTACACGATCAGGGAAATCTCCTATAAACATTAACTTAAAGTGCTCCCAGGTGGGTAATCCCTCTTGGTTTCTGTCAGGAGTAAAGGAATATCCTTACTGGATGCCATTCCTCACCCAGGCCCCTCAGAGTGTCTAGCAATTAAGTTTGGACAGACAGTATTTAACAGTAAAATAATAAAAATAATGATAATGATAAAATATGGGGAACTACAGCCTATCAGACTTATAATACTAAATACAGTGGGGATATCAGACACAGAATCTAAAATGCCTGTATATGAAAAAGTGATTGGCATTTAAAATTCAATGAAAAGATTAAGGAGAAAATTAGATACAACTAAAGAGAGAATTAGTGATCCAGAAAAACCTTTTGGGAAAATTATATAGACCTAAGTACAGGGAGGTAAATAGATGAAAACAGAATAAAAATAAAATTGTCTAAATTGCTTCTAATTAAGATTCACCTAAGAAATTCTCAAACTTATTGGTGTTAAAATTTATTTATTTTCTTAAAAATTACCGAAGAGAATTCCAGGGCATTTAAAAAGTAAAATAAGATTTTAACACGTTACATGTAAAAATGAAATTCTATTAAGGCCATATACTTAAGGGTTGAGATTCAATAAAATTAAAAATTTTCACTGTTTCATCAATATATCGTCCAGTAAAACTATTTTTTATTTCATATATTACTGCTTGTGTGTAGTGGTAAATAATGTAATGACTACTAGTGCAGTTTGGTATAAATATCATGATCTTTGCTGAGCTGCAAAAAAACTTTCCCTGCCATTGCTTTTGCTTTGTGGAAATGTCAACATTTAACTCTGCTAAATAGAAAATAATAATAATAAAGAGTATTAGAAGCAGTCAGAAAGAAAATAAATCACCTATTTAAAAAACAAACAGATAAAAGTTTAATTGACAGAATTTTGATAGCAAATGTCCTCTGCCAGAAGGCAGTAAAAAATATGTATACAACTGATAACTTACACATGTGGATTTATTCAAGTTATCTTTAAAAAACAAAATTGCAAGAGGAAAATCAATTTTCAGTTAAATTAGAATTGAGAAAATTAACTGTAACAGAACTTATTGTGAAGCAACTTCCAAGTTTATATTCCAAGAAAAGAAAAATAAACTCAGAAGTGATACCTGGGATTCACAAAGGAATACGCAAAGAAATTGGTAAACGTGGGTGAACCTAAAAGAATATTTTCCACACATAATGTTAAAAATATTTAATTTGCAGAATAAAATCTATAAGTATGTAAAATTGGGATAAGAATAAAATATAAGCTTGAGGGGGTGATTAGAGCCAAAAGCATTCTAAAGTGTGTACATTTTCAGGAGAATGTATATAGGATAACAATAATTTTAGATTTTTGAAAGATACTTATAAAAACTTTCAAGCACATACAACAATAGATTTTTGCTATGTGACTTCTAAATCAAGTTAAATTTAAAATGAAATCAAAGAAGAAAAAATACCGTGAAGGGAAAAATGACACAGAAAACACGACAAGTAGAAAGAATACAAAAAGATGTCAGCAAAAGAAAAAATGAAGACCACAGTCAATGTCAATGAACATCTAATTCACGGGATTCAAGTCATCTTCTGTGATTAAATGTAACAAAAATATCAACAATTTACTTGTTTTCACAAGAAATATTCGAAGAAAAAAGAGAAAGACTGAAAATAAAATTATGGTGAAAGGCAAACCACACAAATACTAACCAAAATAAAGCAAGGTAGCCCTGTTAATATTGGATAAGCATAGCAGGAAGGTAGGTCATTAAATAATTAGGAAATTGCCCATTCAAAAAGAGGTTATTACACTTTTAAACTCATGTCTTATATCAGAAAGTGTTGCTATGTAACAAACACCCAGAAACTTTGTGACTTAATACAATCATATACGGAGCTCACAATTCAGTGGGTGATTTTCAGCTTGTGTGACTAGAGGGACAGGGTCACCTGTCTCTCAGGAGCCAGCAGTCTGTCCATGGCCTCTTCACGTAACAGTGTTAACAGGAATCCCAAAAGTACCAAGAAATGGGAAAACCAAAACACTTGTGATTTTAAAGTTTCTGCCATTCTCACTTTTCCTAATATCCCACCTGTCAAAGTGACACACAAGGCTAAATTCAAGAGGTAGAGCAAGATTCCAAGTATCCATGGGTGGAAGGACCTGCTGCAGCACATCATAAAGGTGTGAATTTAGGGAGGGGAAAATTGCATGGCCACGTTCATAATCAACTTCAATGCATTTAAAAACTCAGCCTTAAAATAAATAAAGCACAAGGTGAAAATATTGAGACCATCCTGGCCAACATGGTGAAACCCCGTCTCTACTAAAAATAGAAAAATTAGCCAGGCGAGGTGGCGGGCACCTGTAGTCCCAGCTACTCGGGAGGCTGAGGCAGGAGAATTGCTTGAACCCGGGAGGCAGAGGTTGCAGTGAGCCGAGATTGCACCACTGCACTCCAGCCTGGTGACAGTGTGAGACTCCGTCTCAAAATAAATAAATACATAAAATAAATAAAGCAAATATTGGCAGAATCATAGTCAGAAAATTCTAAAATAAAATTAGAAGACATAAAATATCTCCTAATAAATCATATATTTATCACTCAAAAAATTATTAAAAGTATGGGTGATTCCAGAGACACATTAATTGGCCTAACCTCACAGTTGTATAAAACAGCTTGCACTAAACAACTCAAAAACACACCTATTCTAAAGTACACACAAAACATTGAAACATTTAACTAGTCATATTTTTGGAGTTTAACTTACATACAGTAAGTTGTATACATTTTAAGTGTACAGATTTTACTATGATAATTTTGTATGATAATTTTAGGGTTTTGTTAGATGTCCTTTATCACATAAAGAAATTTCCCTTTTATTCCTAATGTTCTGCATGGCATTTGAACCTTAAATGCCTAGTAATTTCAGAAAATTTATTTTCTGCATCTTTTGAAAAAATAATATGCTTTTTCCTTTATTATGTTAATGTGTTGAAGAACTGATAGATTTTCGAATGTTTAACCAATCTTAGATCCTGGAGTTGTACTTTTGACCTATTGCTGGATTCTAGCTTCTCACATATTTTTTAAGACTTTTCAGTCTATATTCATGACAGATAGAATATTATTTGTAATTTCCTAAGATCTTGGTCAGATTTTAATATCAATTATGTGATGGTTTTACTAGGCAAGTTATGAGTTTTTTTCTTCCTTCACTATTTTCTGAAAGAGTTTATAAGATTGATATTATTTCTTCACAAAATATATGATAGAATTTACCAATGAGCCATTAATACCTCATTAAAATTATTAATCCAATATACACACCTATTTTTTTTCTATATCTTGGTGAGTCCATTTCAGTAACTTGTGTCCTAAAAAAGACTTTTTTTCCCATTTCATCTAATTAGTCGAATTAATCGGCATAAGGATTTCGGTATTTGTGTGGTATATGGTGACCTCCCTCCCTTCATCCCTCATACTGGAAAATTATTATTTTTTTGCTTGATCAATCTTGCTAAGTGTTCATCAGTTTTATCAATCCTTTCAAAGCATCAGATTTGTCTCTTCTGATTTTCTCCACTGTCAGTTTTTTAATTTTATTTCTACTTTCATTTTTATTGGATCCTTTCTTTGAGCTCCTGTGTTTAATTTGCTCTTAGCTTCGTAGCTGTTTAATTAGAAGCTGAGATGATGATTTTAGACTTCTCTTCTAACATTTCTTTCAAGATAATTCAATATAAAATGTTTTCATTTCCCTTGCTTTTCTTCTTTGACCTAAGTAATTCAGAAATTCATTAATTTCAAAGTATTTGGGGATTTTGTAGCTATTTCCTTTTTTGATATCTATTTTCATACTGTTGTAGTAAGAGAATCAGAACACAGCCTTTTTAAGGATTTTGATCCTATAGAGGTTATTAAGGTTTGATTTATTGATCAATCTATCATCTATCTTGATGAAAGTTCCATGTTCCTTAAAAAATGTGTGTTCTGAAGTTAGGGCATAATGTTCTAGAAATGTCAATCAGGTCAGTTTGAGTGCTAGGATTGATTAAATCTTCTCTATTATTACTTATATTTTTCTCTGTTTTTCTATCAATTACTAAAAGAGAGGGATTAAAATCTCTATCTGCCTGTTCCTCTCCTTACTTCTGCCAGTTTTGACCTCACAATTTTTTGAAACACTGTTATTAGACGCATTTAAGATTGTTTTTGCTTCCTGTTTAATTGACTTTACATGATCATGAGACTTCCTTTATTTTTGGTTTACCGATGGTCTTGAAGTCTGCCTTTTTAAAACCATAATACTGACACACCTGTTTCCTCACGCTCAGTGCTTTCTTGGTCTCCAGGTTTCCTTTCATGCACATTCCACTTGTCTCTTTCTTGATATTTCAAGTGTGTTTATTTAAACAGCATATTGCTGTACAGTTTGTTTTTTAATTAATCAATTAGTGGACTAATTTTCATTTACAATAATAATTTCTTTTCACATGCTGTTCTCAGGGTATTTGAGTCAACGTGCTAATGTGTGTTGGTTTAAGGCTACCATCTTAGAAAATGTTTTCTTTTTGTCCCATTTATTATTTGTCCTGTTTCCATTTTCCTGCCTTATTTTGGATGATTCACATATGTTTAATACTCTTTATTCTGTTATCTTTTAGTGATACTTCTTTATGTACATCTATGTGTGTGATTTCAGTATATTTCAAAAAGTTATAATGCAAGCGTTACAACAAAATTTCAACAATATCTCACAATAAAAATAGAAAGACACTTAAGTAAAGAGAGTAGACAAGTTACAAAAAAAATACATTTGTGTATCATCACACATAAAAGAACCCATTTGTAACACATTTTTTGTTCATATTGTATATATTTCCATATGTGTACACATATTTATGATAGAATAAATGTTTTGAAATTGAAAAAAGTAAGTACTTTCATTAATAAAAGGCCTACTCCAGTCTCCTACGTACACTTCCCTGTTGGAACATTCACTTATTTTTGACTTCTTCATTTGCGTGTTTAAGCCGGCAAAGTTTATAATTTCTATTTATTTTTCTAAATGTTGCTTTTAGTACCAGTAACTAGAAGTTAGGTAAAACTGCTTGTAAAATAGAAATATGTTAGCCACTGGCCCTGAGCAAGCTATTAATGTGTACAATACTGCTCTTGGGGGCAAATAGAGGACTCCAGGCAATTGTGACTATTGGAAGTTTTGCAAGTCCCATGTCCTGTACATCATTTGGCTGAGGTTTTCCACTAATGCAAACCATCAACATTATACATAAAAAATTGTACTCAATTCAAATCCACCTTAAAATTAATTTTAAAGCAAAAAGCCACATTTAACAAGAAAACTTTAGTTACATTCTATATTAACAAAACAATTCATTATCAGATTCCTGTAGTTAGCAATATTCCTTCAAGTATTTAACCTAGGAATAATTTACTGGGACAGAAACAGCTATACAAGAATTCATCTGTTGTGCCAAATGAAACATACAAGTATTTGCAAGGATAAAGTAAAAAAACCCAATCCTGTCATTTCTCCTTCAAAAAAATCATATCATAATTTTGATTTAAAATTTACTCTAAGAAGATCAATCATTTTGAATGTTATTATCTTTCAAAGTTGATTTATTTTAATAAAAACTGCTATATTATCATTGGTGCTGTTCATTTTCTGATGTACAGTGACATGTTTATCTATAATCTGAACTCGGACTCACTTACATATTCATTTTGTTAAGTCATCTCAGCAAGTACACTCAGATAAACTGCAATTTATCAATTAAAAATAAGAAGATTCATTCGCTAATTTCAAGGAAATGGCAGTAAGCTGATGAAATGCACTCATATAAAATGAAAGTAATGGCATCTATAACAAGGAAATGAATCTTTTGTCCTTCAATGATGTGCAACATATTCATAAATATGCTTTCAATACATCAGTACAGAAGTTATTAGACAAGTGGCCTGCATACCAAGCCATACAAACTATAAAAATATCCCCATTTATTTATAATTCTATTTAGCAGTTTCTGTCCTCATGAAAGATAATTTTATATGGGAAAAATTTATATGATATATATATAAAATAAAAAATAACCAGTACGTGAAGTAATGTGTAAATGATAAAAATGAGCAAGATAGATAAAGTGTCCAATGGCTGCTATCAGTTTTGAATGATATTTTAGTCATTTACATTTAATTTTCACCACTTCAACTAATGAAATATGAAGTACAAGGGGAGCTTGTGACCACACCATAACACACCATAAAGACAAGTAGTTGACCTTTCCAGTGAGAAGCCTCAACATCAAAATCAAACAGATTATCATCCTTGTTAACTATATTTATTATGCATCATAATTTATAGAGATGACTCTAGGACTTCATGAAGGGGTCTTGTCTAGTTTTGGTGATATTGAGTGGAAATGGTCTAATTTTCAATCTTCTCTTAAAGAGCATTTTCATAAGTGATACTTTGTAAATTTTTTAATTTTCCTTTTAGTTTTCTTTTCAGCTAAACTAACTTCCAATTCCTCCACTGTTTCTACTTGACAATCAGTGGGACGAGTCATAGGCATGGTCTCCTATCTTGTTCCTTAATCTCTGGAAAAGAAAGTTGGGAAGCTTGGAGATGGATCTTCCATAGCCCATGTTCTAATATTTGGAGTCTTTGATCTGTACCTTATATTATTTTCTGTGATCAGCCTGCACTGAAGCAAATCATTAATTTAGGAAGAAGCCTCTTCATAATGGAGACTTCTTCAGCAGTGAGCCATTTTCTCAAGGAAAGCCATTTCTCTGTCGGAGCAGCTCTTCCCCACAACAAAGGCATTCAGCCTTCAAATGTACCGGGGGTCCAGATAGTTGTATAAAGAGAACACCTTGCTTCATAGACTCATCACCTGCAAGTGGAAAAGGAGGGAGCTTTTTTAGCAATGTAGCAAATTGCAGACTTTGCTAAAGGTAGCATGAAAAACAAGGTGCTTCTTATAGCAATCAGAGAGCATGGCTCACCGAGCAAAGGTGTTACACAGCTGAGGGGAGAATATGCAGAATGAAAGCACTCTGCCTGCTAAACACCCAAAGGATCATCTTCCTTCATTGGTTCTTTACAATTTCTATCAGCCTGTTATATGCAAACATAACAGAAGTTAGGGGCAGTGTTTAGCAATCTAGGACATTCGAGTGGAAGCAGTAAGTATTCAGATAAAGCATGCAATCATGTTATTCGGATTAATCTAAGGATTACTCTGATATACTGTTAGCTCAAAATTGTAAAGTAGTTCCAGAAATAAAGGGGTTTGTAGCATTTGCAATATGTTCTGCACACAACATATTCATTAATCCCTCATGTGTCAACTTGTCATGCATCTGGAATATTTGATTTCAAATAGCTTTGTTCAAGGAACTGTAAATGCCCATCTTCCTGATGGGAATGCCAGCTCCTTAAGAAAAGGTTGGTGGAAAAATAAAACCCATCTCTTGACTTTACACAAAACGCGGAGGCCTGAATTTTCAGAAAAGTCCAGTCAGCGCTTAGGTTTCCTGAACCGCTTCGTAAAACCCAAAGCAATGCTGGAGAAGAGGGAGAGTGTGAGGGCCCTGAGCACACAGCATTGTTCCAACGACAGAAACACCTGCACTGTGGGGCTTAAGCAATGCTGGAGAAGAGGGAGAGTGTGAGGGCCCTGAGCAGAGCATTGTTCTAAGGACAGAAACACCTGCACTGTGGGGCTTAAGCAATGCTGGAGAAGAGGGAGAGTGTGAGGGCCCTGAGCACACAGCATTGTTCTAAGGACAGAAACACCTGCACTGTGGGGCTTAAGCAATGCTGGAGAAGAGGGAGAGTGTGAGGGCCCTGAGCACACAGCATTGTTCTAAGGACAGAAACACCTGCACTGTGGGGCTTAAGCAATGCTGGAGAAGAGGGAGAGTGTGAGGGCCCTGAGCAGAGCATTGCTCTAAGGACAGAAACACCTGCACTGTGGGGCTTTATGCTGATCTGTTGTGAGCATTTTACAGAGTGTTTAATAGTCCTTCAAATTCCTCCTTCTGCAAAATCCAAAATGGGCTGGGGGTGTTGCTGGCATGCTAGGGGCCTTAGGAGGCCTCTTGCTGGGGGTAATTTGATACTTTAGCCACAGTGGAGAATGCTTGGCCTTGTAGAGTCTCAAATGCCACCCATAGACACACTAATTAACAGCCGCTGTGTATTGGCTGCTGGGGAAAAAAAAAAGAGAGAGAGAGATTGTTTTCTTTTACTTAGTGGGAAACCATTGTTGGAAAAAGCAATGACTCAGCTTTTCAGCAGTGAAACTATTTACATGGGCAAGAAACGCTGCAGCAGGCTTGTAAAAATCTTGCTGCAGATATATTTTTTTCTCTTTCCTTATGCAATTGTGGTTCAGGTAGAGCCATGCATTTTCAAACATCTTTTTGAACATCTATTGCTTGAAATAAACGTACTTTGCTGCCAGAGGACCCGAACAATAATTACCTTAATTATTTCTGTTTACCCTTGGAGAAATGTGGCATCCGAAACTGCAATATGAGACTTGTTGGGCTTTAAATATTCCTTTTCTGTATGGTTAGTAAACACCAAAGGATGAATATAAAGTTTATCTGTATTTATGCGATGGTTTAAAAAACCACACTTCTAAAGTGCAGCTCCAGCAGTTTTTAAACCCTGCCTAGTGTATTTTGAAAATCTCCTTTGGAGTAAAACATTAATGAGGTAGCATAGTTTGCTTTTCTAGAGACAAAACTACATTTGGAATCCTTTCCAGTATTATTCTTACTGTGATTCCAAACCTCAAAGTAAGAAGGGCACATGAGTAGGGAAATAGCATGAAAGGAATATGACGGAGACCGTTCTGTTTATGTCACCAAAAAACGATACAGACTAAGCCCTTCTTATATTTTGCTGGTGGAAGGCAAGTACCAACCTTCATGCCTTCATGTTCTTAACTTCCTCATTAAAGAAACTATTCCAGCAAAGAAGTAGTGACTTCTTATTTTAATTCTAACTGCTTAATTTTTCAGTGACTTGAGTTAAATTAGAATATTTTTCTTCAGCAATATTTAAATTCACTGGAAAATAGCTAAATTTAATAATCCATCCTCGAGGATTTTTAAAAATCACATAGCAGAAAGAAATAGATATCTCTCATTATGGCAATAAACTACCATTGTTAAAGCCATGAAATGCAAAGTACACTAACAATAACAACAACAACTGTACAAGAAAGCCAACATTCAGGGACCCCAAAAGTTACTGAATATTACTATTAAAATCCGATTAATAGTAAGCCACATTTTAGCCATTGGCTGCGCCATCAAAGTTGCCACGTATCTAAGACTAAA
Organism: Homo sapiens; assembly: GCF_000001405.40. NCBI lineage: Eukaryota > Metazoa > Chordata > Mammalia > Primates > Hominidae > Homo > Homo sapiens. The sequence continues at coordinate 188,975,664 of NC_000004.12, read as the reverse complement.
ATTGCTTTTTGTGTCTCAAGGCCTCATCTAAAACCAAAATATGTGCCCACTTATGTTAAGGGAGTGCTGTGAGCCTGACTCTTCACATGACCGCAGGCTCTGTTAGTTTATGTACCTGAGAAGCGATTATGCGAATCGGAGTCATTCCTGTCACAGCCAAGGAATCAGAGTGAAGGGGTTTTGGTAAAAAGCAGGACACACAGCGCCCGCTCCAGGAACTGTCTTGAAAGCTCAGCTACCAGAAGAGCAGTTAGAACCTTCAGACCAGTTTTGCCTGGAGGCTGCCCAGATGACTTGGCCTGACTCTAAGAATGTCCAGGTGAAACGGTGCCCGCCATCACTCCCCGCCCTGTAGGGACATCATTCCCCCCCCTGTGGGGACATCATTCCCCGCCTGTAGGGACATCATTCCCCGCCCTGTGGGGACATCATTCCCCGCCCTGTGGGGACATCACTCCCCGCCCTGTGGGGACATCATTCCCCCCCCTGTGGGGACATCATTCCCCGCCTGTAGGGACATCATTCCCCGCCCTGTGGGGACATCATTCCCCGCCCTGTGGGGACATCATTCCCCGCCCTGTGGGGACATCACTCCCCGCCCTGTGGGGACATCACTCCCCGCCCTGTGGGGACATCATTCCCCCCCCTGTGGGGACATCACTCCCCGCCCTGTGGGGACATCATTCCCCGCCCTGTGGGGACATCATTCCCCGCCCTGTGGGGACATCATTCCCCGCCTGTAGGGACATCATTCCCCGCCCTGTGGGGACATCATTCCCCCCCCTGTGGGGACATCACTCCCCGCCCTGTGGGGACATCACTCCCCGCCCTGTGGGGACATCATTCCCCACCCTGTGGGGACATCATTCCCCGCCCTGTGGGGACATCATTCCCCGCCTGTAGGGACATCATTCCCCGCCCTGTAGGGACATCATTCCCCGCCCTGTAGGGATATCATTCCCCGCCTGTAGGGACATCATTCCCCGCCCTGTGGGGACATCATTCCCCGCCCTGTGGGGACATCATTCCCCACCTGTAGGGACATCATTCCCTGCCCTGTGGGGACATCATTCCCCGCCTGTAGGGACATCATTCCCCGCCCTGTGGGGACATCATTCCCCGCCCTGTAGGGCTTCACTCCCCGCCCTGTGGGGACATCATTCCCCGCCCTGTAGGGACATCATTCCCCGCCCTGTGGGGACATCATTCCCCGCCTGTGGGGACATCATTCCCCGCCCTGTAGGGACATCATTCCCCGCCCTGTGGGGACATCATTCCCCGCCCTGTGGGGACATCATTCCCCGCCCTGTAGGGACATCATTCCCCGCCCTGTAGGGACATCATTCCCCGCCTGTAGGGACATCATTCCCCGCCCTGTGGGGACATCATTCCCCACCTGTAGGGACATCATTCCCCGCCCTGTGGGGACATCATTCCCCGCCCTGTGGGGACATCACTCCCCGCCCTGTGGGGACATCATTCCCCGCCCTGTAGGGGCTTCACTCCCCGCCCTGTGGGGACATCACTCCCCGCCCTGTGGGGACATCATTCCCCGCCCTGTGGGGACATCATTCCCCGCCTGTGGGGACATCATTCCCCGCCCTGTGGGGACATCATTCCCCGCCCTGTGGGGACATCATTCCCCGCCCTGTAGGGACATCATTCCCCGCCCTGTAGGGACATCATTCCCCGCCCTGTGGGGACATCATTCCCCACCTGTAGGGACATCATTCCCCGCCCTGTGGGGACATCATTCCCCGCCCTGTGGGGACATCACTCCCCGCCCTGTGGGGACATCATTCCCCGCCCTGTAGGGCTTCACTCCCCGCCCTGTGGGGACATCATTCCCCGCCCTGTGGGGACATCATTCCCCGCCTGTAGGGACATCATTCCCCGCCCTGTGGGGACATCATTCCCCGCCCTGTGGGGACATCATTCCCCGCCCTGTGGGGACATCATTCCCCGCCCTGTGGGGACATCATTCCCCGCCCTGTGGGGACATCACTCCCCGCCCTGTGGGGACATCATTCCCCGCCCTGTAGGGGCTTCACTCCCCGCCCTGTGGGGACATCACTCCCCGCCCTGCAGGGCTTGCCAGCTCCCGACAGGCTTCACTAGCACCAGTGAACTCACTTTGAAAACAATTTACATCACATTTCTCCTTCCCAATAAAACTCCAACCTCTTCCTTTGTTCTTAGGGCATACGGGACCACCGTGGTCTGTGCGTACACCCTGGAATGCAGTTCTGTTTTTATATATATTCTCAAGGAAAACCGTTTGCTCAGAGATTCGTCGCTATCTTTTATTTCACTGCGACAGTGTGAAGCTATTCTGAGGGTAAAGTAGGCCTCGGGTAGCACCATTAGCCCTTAGGGGCCATTCCAGCCAGTATATGAAAGTGCTGGTGCATGGGCTGGCCTTTTAGCTGTGGGTGGGGGCTGCTGAAGTCTCCTCGGATTACAGTCAAGTACCAACTTTAGACCATAACTAAAGGGTAATAGATTATTGCTGTAATATTGTTCAACTCACTGCTAGAGAAAGATCTTTAAAAGGTCGAGTGACTCTGGCACTTTGTATAAACCTTCAAGGGTGTATTCTGTAAAAAAAAGCTTTGAAATTACCAATTTCTTTTCTCCCTTGATCATTTTTCCCCCCACAACATAAAAAGAGGTGAAGTAGGAATTAAGAGTTGTACCTGAAACCAATGGGAATCAAATTTAGAGGTGTATTTGTGGTATTAGAATTCCTTGAATTCTACCCTCATTTAATTTGAAACAGCATTTGCTCTCTTGGTTTCCTATTGTTTCTTTTTTCCCCTATGCATTTAAAATTTCATTGGTTCTCAGTTTAGCTCACCCTACAAAGCAATATATTAAAGTTAAATCTGTGTTCTTTACAATGACTGTAATTTTGTAGAAAATGCCTTGTATAAAAAAGTTATTTTAGGCCGGGCGCAGTGGCTCACGCCTGTAATCCCAGCACTCTGGGAGGCCGAGGCAGGCAGATCACGAGGACAGGAGATCGAGACCATTCTGGCTAATATGGTGAAACCCTGTCTCTACTAAAATACTAAAAATACAAAAATTAGCCAGGTGTTGTGGCAGGTGCCTGTAGTCCCAGTTACTCGGGAGGCTGAGACAGGAGAATGGTGTGAACCCGGGAGGTGGAACTTGCAGTGAGCCAAGTTTGTGCCACTGCACTTCAGCCTGGATGACAGAGCGAGACTCCGTCTCAAAAAAAAAAAAAAAGTTATTTTAAATGATATTTGCTAGTGAGCTTTCTCTCATTTTTGTTCATTTATAGATGGAATTAAATCTTTACTCAGAAGGGAAGAAAATGCTTGTCATACTTACAGCAAAACGAAGACACTTGGGGGTCTATGTAGAAATGTAGTGTCTGTGTATTAGTCCGTTTCCACACTGCTGATAGAGACATACCAGAGACTGGGCAATTTACAAAGGAAAGAGGTATCAGGGAGAACTCACAGTTCCATGTGGCTGGGAAAGCCTCACAATCATGGCAGAAGGCAAGGAGGAGCAAGTCACATCTTATGTGGATGGCGGCAGCCAAAGAGAGAGAGAGCTTGTGCAGGGAAACTCCCCTTTTTAAAACCATCAGATCTCATGAGACTTAATCACTATCATGAGAACAGCAAAGGAAAGACCTGCCTCCATGATTCAGTTACCTCCTACCAGGCCCCTCTCACAACATGCGGAAATTCAAGGTGAGATTTGGGTGGGGACACAGACAAACCGTATCAGTGTGCCATTTAAACAAAAGCTAGGGCAGGTGTGGTGGCTCACACCTGTAATCCCAGCACTTTGGGAGGTCAAGTTGGGCGGATCACCTGAAGTCAGGAGTTTGAGACCAGCCTGGCTAACATGGTGAAACCCCATCTCTGCAAAAATACAACAATTAGCTGGGCGTGGTCGTGGGTGCCTGTAATCCCAGCTACTTGGGAGGCTGAGGCAGGAGAATCACTTGAAACTGGGAGGCGGAGATTGCCGTGAGCTGAGATCATGCTGCTGCACTCCAGCCTGAGCAACAGAGCAAGACTCTGTCTCAAAAAAAAAAAAAAAAAAAAAAAAGAGAGAGAGAGAAGCTACAATGTTTGTTTCTTGCTGGGTACATCATCAGTCAATGAGGATTTGTCTTGGAAATGGCTGCAGGTGGAAACACCTAATGGCAAGCCAAGGACAGTACTGCACACACACTCAGTAAGCATTTAGGAAGTGTTTGCTGATAACAGTGACTAGCGGAAGGCACTGCCACTCAATGTATGTTCAAAGTGATTTCTAATGATGCACGGGCCAAATCATTGCTGATGAATTATGTGATAACAGCACTGCCACCTGTAGGCAGGCCTTAAAACCAACACAGTTTATTATCAGCCTCCAGGCCAATCACAGAAATTATCTTGTTTTCTTTTACAATGATTTAAAAATGTGTGTAAGCATTGCAGCTATTTGAATGCCCCCCCTTTTTTTTCTACAAAAGTCTCACTTCGTCTCTCTTCCTGATGTAGATCTTTAACTGACTGAAACTTTCTTTAGTTCAATTAAGTACAGACTTTTTATTATTTGACTTAAGATCTTTTGACTTTATACAGTGCAAAAGCGATCAACACTCGGTAGTCACCATGCTTCGAGCACCCATGCAACCATCTTCTTTTTCACTTTCAGTACAGTATTCAAAACATTACGTAAGATAGTCAACACTTTATTACAAAATAAGCTTTCCGTTAGGTGACTTTGCCCAGCAGAAGGCTAATGTGAGTGCTCTGAGCACATTTAAGGTAGGCTAGGCCAAGCTATGGTATTCGGTAGGTTAGGTGTATTAAATGCATTAAATGCATTTTTGACTTATGATAATTTCAAGGTATGATGGGTTCATCAGGGTCATAACTGTATTGTAAATTGAGGAGCATCTGGACTCAATCATCCCAGGACTACTTTAATAGGATGTAATTTGTAAAGACACCAGAAATAGAGCTAGAATGGCTTCAGAAAAATCCTTTATCTGGAGAGTCAAGTTAAGACCAGTTTCCTCACTATTATACCTGAAAGACAAATATTTAGTCAACTTGGAAGTTTTCCATTCAAACATTCCGTAACCAGGTTGGTATCTATGCACATCCATGCGTGGACGCAGTGGTGAACTCAGGCTCTACTTAGGAAATGCTGGTTTGGGCAAAAATAACTCGGGGATTCTGCCTTGTTGGTCATGATGATGTTCTCTTGAGAGTTTAACTCTATTACATTGTAGATGCTGGATCACAAGGTAAGTGGGTTGAGGGAATACTGACTTCCAATTAAAGCAGTGCGACAATTTCATTGTAACGTACATGACAACTGACCAGGCAGAAGACAGTGACAAAGGGGACTCTTTAATGATGAAAATCATCCAGGAAAATGGCGTGATTATAGGCATATGAGGGCCTAGAATGCATTTTAAATTGTTTCCAATTTATAAGAGTGATTTTAAGGAACTGAGAGAGCCACATAGAACCAAGAAGAAAAAATAAGAGTCATTCAGAAGAGAAGCAGCAGCACAAAGGAAAGTCAGGTTTGCTGAGATTAAATCTATCCTTTGAGATATGAAACTCTCATTCTACAATACTAAAACATTGCATAATAATATTTTCTTTTAAACAGTACATTTAGCCATATAAATTGATTTGAAAACACAAACCCAGTCACTAAATGCCCAGGAATTATTTGCTAGAGATTTACAAGTAGAAAAGAAGCCGTCCAACTCACAGGGGTGTGGGATCAGCTACACCTATTTGTTTGCTTCCAAGACAGCTTGACATTCCTTCAGATTTGATCTAACCGGGTCAACCAAGTGGGCTGGAAATATTGCTGATGTACATGGAACGCTTGCCGGTTGGGCTGCTCTTATCAGCTCGGTGTAAAGTGGACTAAAGAAGCAGAGATTTTAGAAGAAACGCTTTGTGAGATTCCAATTTTGAAGCTATTGTCTCTGTACTGCGAGGAGTAACACAAATAAAAATCTGAAACTGGATGGCATAAGAGAAGGAAGTGTGTTCCTTGGAAATACCATGCAGATTTTTGACTAGGTCCTAGGAGGACAGAGCTAGAAAAAGAAATTACTTTTTATATGCAATATATTTAGCTGAAGCCCTGGGGTGAAATGAAAGGCTCATGATGAATAGATACTTTGGGACAACTCAGAGGTCCCTTGGCTTTAAAATTCCTGGATACTGTATTTAACCTTTAGAACTCTCCAAAAGCATACTGCATGCAAGTTGCTCCCTTGAAAATTCCCATTTTGAAAATAAAATCTAGAATTACAGAGCAAATTATGACCCAGTGCCTGTGTCCAAAACACATGTATGTGGCCTTTGAACAGTGGTTACAGCTGGGAAAGGTCTGCTGACAGAAAGTGGAGGTAGTGAACTGTGGGACTGCACTTGAAAACATGTTTTTCTTTCAAATTGGTGAATATACCCTTTAATACTGAGGTGTGTTAAAGCGGCTTATTTCCTAATCATTGCCCATATTTCCTGCTGGCATATATTTATTTTCTCAATGCAAATTTCTATTGCAGAAGTCCTTTTTGATTTAGAAGTTGGTTTTGCCAAATCAATATATTTGTTCTCCAAGAAGACGGATGTTAGGTGAGTTTGAGCACTTGTGAGAAACACTGCGAAACTTGATTTATATTTGAGCAAAGAGATGGCCTGTGACAAGGGCCAAAGATACTGAGCAAGCGAGAGAAACAAAATGAGTCTTTCGTCCAACCTCCTTCTTTGACAAGTGGGGAAACAGAGGTTTAGATTTTTATTCCAGCTCATTTAGCTTGGGAGTTTATAGAAGAGAACCTAAGCTCCTTTTACTCCGTTCAGTTCCATTGCTAGGAAATCTACGTATGGTTTACCTGGGTTGCTTTGTCATTGTTTAACTGGAAAGAACAATTATAATCAAACCATTATTGTTGACCTATCCTAAAGGTGACATGGTTTTCCTGACTTTTTTCAAATCTTAAATTAAAGCATACATTATTAAGTATCCATAAATTATAGAAATCTCAATTCTCAATCATCCCAGATTATCCACTGGGGTGTGAGACTCCAAATTAGGGGCATATAATTGGTGGTAAAATGTTATATTCCAACAGCTTTTCATGTGTCAACTGAGACAAATGAAATGTAAATAAAACATTATTAAAAAACAGGTAAACAGAAAGCAACCTAAGTGTCCATCCATGGATGAATGGATAAACAGAATGTAATGTATACATGCAATGGATATTATCCTGTCTTAAAAAGGAGGAAATTCTGGCCGGGCGCGGAGGCTCATGCCTGTAATCCCAGCACTTTGGGAGGCCGAGGCGGGCGGATCACGAGGTCAGGAGATCGAGACCATCCCGGCTAACACAGTGAAAGCCTGTCTCTACTAAAAAAATACAAAAAAAAAAATTAGCCGGGCGTGGTGGCGGGCGCCTGTAATCCCAGCTACTCAGGAGGCTGAGGCAGAAGAATGGCATGAACCCAGGAGGCGGAGCACACAGTGAGCCGAGATCGCGCCACTGCACTCCAGCCTAGGCCAGAGTGAGACTCCGTCTCAAAAAAAAAAAAAAGAGGAAATTCTGACCCACTACAACATGGATGAGCCTTAAAGACGTTGTGCTAAGTGAAATAAGCCAGTAATAAAAAGGCAAACACTGTTTCCACTTTCTTTTTCTTTTTCTTCTTTTTTTTTTTTTTTTTTTGAAACAGAGTCTCGTTCTGTCACCCAGGCTGGAGTACAATGGTGAGATCTTGGTTCACTGCAACCTCCGCCTCTCGGGTACAAGCGATTCTCCTGCCCCAGCTTCCTGAATAAGTGGGATTACGGGCACACACCACCAGGCCTAGCTAATTTTTTGTATTTTTAGTAAAGACAGGGTTTCACCATGTTTGCCAGGTTGGTCTCTAACTCCTGACCTCAGGTGATCTGCCCGCCTCGGCCTCCCAAAGTGCTGGGATTACAGGCATGAGCCACTGCGCCCGGCCTGTTTCCACTTTTATAGGAGGTGCGTAGAGTAGTCATACTCATCTACAGAAACTAGAATGGTGGTTGTCAGGGGCTGTGGGGAGGGGACACTGGGCAGTTGCTTAATGCATATAGAATTTAATGCATACAGACTTTTAGATTTGCAAAAAGAAAAGAGTTCTGGAGTTTAGTTGCCCAACGAGAAGGTACTTAACACTACTGACATGTGCACGTAAAGATGGTTAAGACAGTAAACTTTAGGTTCTGGGAGCTTTATCACAAGTAAAAAAGAAAACAAGAAGCAAGCGTGAAAACAAACAACAACAGCAACAACAACAACCACAAGTAAACAAAATACCTCCAAGGGAAAATTCAGGTCTGATTGTGAGAAGTGAAAGGACAAGTTTCTTTGATTTTTCTTGCTTTGGTTTTTAAAGAAGCAGTAGGAACAAAGCTGTCAGTTTGGAAAAAAAGGAAACCAAAGCTGATGATAGTGATTATTTATTTATGATTAAGGCGGAATTACAATTTTAATGTGTGAAGAGTCAGCACAGCGCACAGGGTAAAACCTGAAAGTTTGCTCAAACTGTGTTTCAATCCCAGCTCAGCTATCTAACGGCTGTGTGACCTCAAACACGCTATCTATCTACAAAGCGCTTCAGGTTCCTCACGTTCACATGGAGATAATCATACCATTTATCCAAGAAGGTTGTTGTAAGGATGCAAAAAAATTAAGATATCTAATGCACACAGAAGAACTTAAAATCTGACATCTAATAAACTCCATATAGTAATGTTACATTTAGAAATCCAAAATAAAAATGAAAAAATATCACTGGTTAATTTCTTTATAGTACATAGTCTACATTGTATACTATTAGTAAAAATTATAATGATCAAAATAATGCTTTTATTTGGTTGCAGAAATATTTTACATTCTTCCAAGATGATTTTATTCCAACCTGTCATTTACAATCTCTCTAAATATAAAACTTCAAGAGAGAATTCCAAAGTTCTTGCATTTCTTTTTTTAATGACAATACTGAACAATGTTTCACATTGAAAGAAAAAGAAGGAAAGAAATATGGAATTCATTTTTTTATCAGGAACACTGGCTGAGGAAGAACAATTACGTTTCTGTTGTTAGGTACTGAATGCTGAAATCAGCGATGATTGAATGATTCATTGCTTAGCTGGGTTCACATATTTTTTTTCTGCTTTAGAATCTGCCATCAACTAGTGGTTTAGATTTGATACTGATGATGCTGCATAAAAGAGTCCATCAGGATGAATAGCAAGTGGCATATATAAGAACATCATATGATACATGTAAGATGCCTTCACCGTTAGAGTCTGCAATGTATTTGGAACAATGCATTACAGATGTGTCTTCATCAATACGTAAGAAACTAGGGTAGAATTATTCATTAAATTTAACTCAATCATTGGTATAATCAATGTTAGTACAAAGAAGATATAATAACAAGAAAAGGAAAAAATTCCCAGGAAATTATGTGAAATATTCTTCACACAAGATGAAATAAATGTTAAGGAAGCCATGGTAAAATTGTTGAGGTAAAGGCAAAACAACCAGACAAACAATCAATCAAACTTCCAGGAGAGTTTATCATTAAGATCTTAGAATGAAGCACATGCTGAGACTATTATTGCATTCCTAATTAATGTCAAAAATTTTATTGGCTACTATTCCAACATGAAATTTTATATATCTGACCTATTTTGCAAAGTAAGGACCTTAAAATATTGCAGATCTTTGCATTCATCATCTGTGATCTCTACTTATGAACCAAACCAACCAACCAAACAACAACAACAAAAATAAAAACACTTGCAACATCAAAAAGCTACTTTAAGTGATTTGTCACTAAAACTCCCTTTAGGATAACAAAATGCCTTGGGAAAGATATTATTAGACTCCAATGTCAAAGAGGCTATGAAAACCAAATGTCTCTCTGAACAAAAGATCCATTCTACCCCAAGTTCATCATCTGCACACAGAAAAAGACAAGGATAAGAAGAATATGTACACACTTGTGTATACATTTTCCAAGCCACTAAAACACTGTGAAATGAAAATAGGGAGCCATATGGTAGTTAAAAATTAGATGCTCAATGAAATTTTATTGGCTGAAATTGTAAGTGAGAACTTAACATTATGGTGTAATGCTATTTAATCATTTAGCTTAATATTTAAAGAGTTTGTTAGTCTGTTTTCATGCTGCTGATAAAGACATACCTGAGGCTGGGCAATTTACAAAGGAAAGAGATTTCATGGAGAACTCACAGTTCCACGTGGTTGGGGAGGCCTCACAATCATGGCAGAAGGCAAGAAAGAGCAAGTCACATCTTACGTGGATGGCGGCAGGCAAAGAGAGAGAGAGCTTGTGCAGGGAAACTCCCATTTTTAAAACCATCATGCCTGTAATCCCAGCACTTTGTGAGGCCCAGGCGGGCAGATCACGAGGTCAGGAGATAGAGACCATCCTGGCAAACACGGTGAAACCCAGTCTCTACTAAAAATACAAAAATTTAGCTGGGTGTGGTGGCGGGCACCTGTAGTCCCAGCTACTTGGGAGGCTGAGGCAGGAGAATGGCATGAACCCAGGAGGCGGAGCTTGCAGTGAGCCGAGATCGTGCCACTGCAGTCCAACCTGGGCAACAGAGTGAGACTCCGTCTCAAAACAGACAAACAAACAAACAAAAAAGCCCATCAGATCTCATGAGACCCATTCACTATGATGGGAACAGCAAAGGAAAGACCTGCCTCCATTATTTAATCATCTCCCACCAGGTCCCTCCCACAACACGTGGGAATTATGGAAGCTACAAGATGAGATCTGGGTAGGACACAGAGTCAAATCACATCAAAGAGGGAGAGGTAGTTTTGAGATCTGCTCTAGTTCTAACTATTCCTACGACATGCTGGACAATTTTTTTCTTTTAAACAAATTTGGAAAAGCTTTGACTAATTAATAAATGATGTGATTCACACAGTATATTTCTTAAATATGTTTGAAGCAATCCTGGTCAACTAAACAAAATAGCTAACCTCCTAAGAAGGTGAGAACTACAGTTCATATCATGAAAATATATTTGAAAGGCATAATTTAGAACGTTTCTTCAAAATATTTTTTGCCTTAGCCATGGTAAGAATTTCTTTACACACAGAATTTCTATAGGTTTCAAAAAGTACAAAGATAAGAAATCTAAAAATTGAACTTTGTAGTAACACTCATAAATATTTTAGATATTATTTTTCAACAACACACAGAACTAAGAATCCTTGATAGTGATTAATCATCTAAATATGCCTAATTATTTTGTATATACACCAAATATTTAAAAGCATGGCATGACCACAATTTTCTTCAATTTCTATATTTTTAAAGCTTTGTTGACCCCAAAATTTATTATTCAAAATTACCTTTCCGTGAATTTACTTCCTTTTAAAACCTTTTTTATTGTTTAATCTTGGTAGAATAAACCAAATGTTGACTGTCTATATGACCTATGGTAAACTAACTGCTATATAACAGATTGTTTCCAGAATGTATAATGGTTCAAACACAATAAAAGTTGACGTCTTACTCAGGTAACATTAGTTAGTAGTTGGATACGTCAGTGGGTGATCCATCTCCTCACAGTCATTTAAGGATTTGTGTTAATAAATATTTGTCATCTACTATGTGTGGCTTCTAAAGTCAACCTAGGGATTATCTGCATTGCAGCTGGCCATAAAGGGTGAAGGACATGAAGGCACATCATGCAGTTTAAGGACTAGACCCAGATGGCACTTCTTACTTCTGATCACATTCTTTTGGTTTGAACTTGGTTACATGACCACATCTATCTTCAAAGCAGACTTGAAAATAAGTGGAGCTGTGTCCCTAAAAACAGGAGTTAACATCTCCCACAATAGGTAGCACAATTCACTGAGTCCATGAGCTCTTAGGAGGCAGGAATCTTCATAAAATTACAGACCACCTGATTGGGAGGAGAATAATGGCTTTAACTGTTCTTTATCCATTACAGATACATATAACTGGTTGATATTTATCAAGCCAAGTTGTATCAATTTGAGAAACTTTTAAAATGACTGGCTTTTATCATAACACATAGTGAAAAGCAATGTCTTTTGAGGACATTGGGTAAAATAAACATTGGGACTTCTACTGACCTCAGATAGGAGCTGATCACAGTAAGAAACCTTCATATAAATCAAGGACATCTTCATACACCTCCAGAGTTCAAAATGACAGCAGCTTGGAATTGCCAAGCTCCACTCTTTGTTGGACAGCTTGTCTAGTCTTCTGGGTGTGGCTGTGCATCCCTAGATGGGTGAGTTGTAACATGTGGAAGAGCTTTGAGGAAAGCTTCATGACTGACAACCGCTGTCAGGAATCCCTGCTGCTGAGCAGTACGGTGCCTCCTACATGGGATAGGGAGCTCTCAGTCTACCAAGTGGGATCTAAGGGGAACTTTCAACTTACTCCAAAGCTTGACAATGTAGAGAATGCTAAATAATAAGGGTGGTACAATATCCTGCTTCCCAACTCCGATACACGCTGCACATCGCTTCCAGGCCAATCTGGAAACACACCTTCAATCCTGCCGTGCTCTTGGTCAAGACTGTGGGGATTCCTCATTTATTCCAGATTCCTTGGTGGTGTGTTTGAGGACCTTTACAATTGTGAGCTAACCTATCCAATAAACGTATCCTCCACTACCCACCTATTAAAAACATTCACTTCAGCTAATCTGACTCACCAGCCCTCAAATATGGTTTATATATTTTCTTCACCCATACCATGAACATTTGACCTCTTTTTCTTGCCTAGATAATACCTTGATTTCCTTTCAAGATGAATCAAGTCTAAATTTCTCTATAACAAGCATTATTCAGAATAAGTTCTAGCCTCCTTTTATATCCTGTAGCTGTTATCACCTAAACCATCCATTTTTCTTCTAGTTTATTAGCACTTGAACGGTTAACAATATGTTTATTTTCCTTGTGCTCCTTCATTGCAGCAACAAAATGTTTAAAACATCTGAAAAAGTTTGATTTTGCCTTGTTTTATCCCTCAATGTGTTTCCCTTATGGAATGCTTAATAAACGTTCACTGACTAGCCTACAGGTATACCATCAACCCCTGCAAAATAATGCTGAGCACCGAAGAAGGGGCTTAACTGGAAAGAGCACCGAAGAAGGGGCTTAACTGGAAAGAGGCTGGAATCATATATACCATCGACCCCCGCAAAATAATGCTGAGCACCGAAGAAGGGGCTTAACTGGAAAGAGGCTGGAATCATATATACCATCGACCCCCGCAAAATAATGGTGAGCACCGAAGAAGGGGCTTAACTGGAAAGAGGCTGGAATCATATATACCATCGACCCCCGCAAAATAATGCTGAGCACCGAAGAAGGGGCTTAACTGGAAAGAGGCTGGAATCATATATACCATCAACCCCCGCAAAATAATGCTGAGCACCGAAGAAGGGGCTTAACTGGAAAGAGGCTGGAATCATATGTATAAACCAACTCCTCCTCCAGTGACCTCTAATGTCAAAAGAACGGTAGCAGGGCTACATGACCAGACACATGGACCAGACAGACACTTTGAGCACCAGCAGTACAAGAATAACCATCACAAAAACCAGAATCTTTTTGAAGGAACTTCTATATCTAAACTACAAAGAACATCAACATAGTCATCATGAGAAAAATCTGAACCTGGTTGGCTACCACATGAGATAGGAAAAATCTAATTGTTTTTCCTACTTTTTTTTTTTTTTTTTTGAGATGGAGTCTCACTCTGTCGCCCAGGTTGGAGTGCAGTGGCATGATCTCGGCTCACTGCAAGCTCTGCCTTCTGGGTTCAAGGAATTCTCTGGTCTCACCCTCCCAAGTGGCTAGTATTACAAGTATATGCCACCACGCAGGCTAATTTGTATTTTTAGTAGAGACGGGGTTTCACCATGTTAGCCAGGATGGTGTCAATATCCTGACCTCGTGATCTGCCCGCCTCGGCCTCCCAAAGTGCTGGGATTATAGGCATGAGCCACCGCATCCAGCCTTCCTACTCTTACACTCAACACAGCACAGATACTTTTCTCTAGCAGATACCAATTAGGCGTCCTATAATTCAGAGCAAGCCTGACATTGTCTACTGGAGTAAGAGTCAAATCCCATGAGCTAAGGGCTCAGTCTCACAAGGCTGCCCCTGACTTCAGTTGCCAATCACAAGTCTGGACCTCCAGAATTTCTGACCAACGATCTAGCTACTCTGTTCAATTAATTTGCTAGAGCAGCTCACAGAACTTAGGAAAATAATTTACTTACATTTACTAGCTCATTTGCAAAGGACACATATGAACGGCCAGATGAAGAGATACATAGGATGAATTCTAGAAGGTTCCTCAAACACAGGATCTTCTGTCCCTGTGGAATTGGGGTGTGCGACCCTCTTGGCCTGTGGATATGTTTGCCCACCTGGAAGTTCTCTGAATCCCACAGTTAAGAGATGTTAATGAAGACTTTATCATGTAGGTGTGATTGATTATCAGCTCAGACTCCAGTCCCTCTCCCCTTTCTGGAGGATGGGGGCATAAGACTGAAAGTTCCATCTTTCTAATCGTGGCTTTCTGGTGACCAGCCCCCATCCAGGAGCACCAAGGGACATCTCATTAGAACAAAAGACACTTCTATCATCCAGGAAATTCCAAGGGATTAGGAACTCTGTGTCCTGAACCAGGGTCAAAGACCAAATACGAGAACAAAGATGCACCTAGCACTCTTATCATTCAGGAAATAACAGGGGTTTTCAGAGCTCTGTGCCAGGAATTGAGGATGACGATAAAAACATATGTTTCCTATTAGAAATCACAATATCACAGCTTTTCTCATCTTATTTTATAGTTTAGCATTATTTTCAGATTGGATCACAATGGGAGGTGTGGATGCCGGGAGTGTGAGCATCTAAAATGTGTAACCCAATCCTGCATTTGACAAGAGAAAGTAGACTTTTATGACCATTTCCTGTGTCAGTTTTTAAATGGTTTGAGTATTTATTCAGCTGGTATATGCATTCCTTTTTAACATTTCCAAGTACAGGGAATGATGATATCCTGTCCATTGTGAAGCAGGTTATTGACTGGGGTTTCTCAGTATTATGTGGGTTTGGTGGAAAATATTATGTCTGAAAAGTTACTTCATCTTTTCAGTAACTATGTACTCCAGTAGAAAGGATGAATAAATAATGGAAGGATAAGAGGGAGGAAGAAAGGAAAGACAGGAAGAAAAGAAGGGAGGAAAGGAGAAAGAAGTGAAGGATGGAAAGAAAGGGAAGATGGAATAAAAAAAAGGAAGGAGGAAGAGAGAAGAAAGAAGAAAGGAAGGTAATCTTTTAAAACATGTCTTTCAATATGAGATAAGGTGATTACTTTAAAACAAATATTTCAGATTTATTGCTCCGTTTGCAGAAATTTAGGAACTACATGTTAAGGAAACATCTTCACTTGGAAATGGAAGTGATAAAAACAAGTGTTACTCTTCTATTCCTTTGTACCCTTTGAATTGCTATAGTTAAGTGGTAAAGTTTGAATGAACATGTTAAGACATCTCCAAGTAACAGAGATAGATGCGGCACTGAGGTTTTCTAATTGCTGTGCTTGCCGGATTTGGGGGCAAGTACAGGGAAATGAGAGCCGGCACTGTGCAGTCCCCTCTTTCCTCTGGGCAGAGTAGGCAATGGTAAGTAAAATAGAGCTGCAAATATTCTTTCAATTCCCATCACGTTCAATAGAAGAATTTCTGAAAATTGTGAAACCTATTTATACTCTTCTTAATCAGAATGCTAGCAGGTAGCTGCAAACGTTCAATTTGTGGGAAGAGGGGATAATTTAGGTTCAAAGATTGATATGCCAAAACCTGGGTGGAATTAGAGCATGGAGGGTGTTGCAGGAATCAGCTGAAGAATGCAGGCAGGCTTACAGCCCCCAGCTCCCTGCAGATCAGCGCGTGTGCAGAAACCAGTCTGCAGCCTTTACTTGTGTACACACGTTGGTGGGTTAGGTGTTTGGGGAAGATAACAGCATTTGCAGAAGGTCCTCAGGTGGAGTACGCTTACTCACACTGTCACGGGCAAACCACTGAAGCTAATCAGTGTGAAGTAATATTTTGTGAGACCTCCTCCACCTGCTACCCAGAGCTGGTTCTTCCTTTCATCTGTTATTCCCTGGATTCTGAGAGAGTAAATCTGTCTTCTCGAGGTTGCTTGAGGCATCTCTTCCTACTCATTACATTCACAATTCATTCTAGTCTTGAGCCTATGGAAGGTGCGTGTTCAGCCTGGCCGTCTGGGAGGTCCTAACTAGCATTTTGGTGGCCGCACTTTTTCACATGCAGCCAAAGCAGCAGCAGGAAGGGTGGCTGAGGACAGTGGGGTGACAGGGTGGCTGAGGACAGTGGGGTGACAGGTACAGCAAACTGCATAGTCCAGACCTTAGTTTACACAGTGTATTCTGAAGCATATCTATAAGCCTAGGGACCTGTCTGCATTGGTATTTGTATGAAAGGAAACACTATCTCCTTATCATGGTTCATTATATTCCTCCAAGGATGAGCCCCCTACCCTTGCTTTACACATAAGCTCAAGTGCATGTCGGTGAAACATTTCAGACAACCTGGGAATGAGAAAGCTCTTGAAATCTTCATGCCAATGGCAGTTGTTTGGTGGATGAGTATCTTGGAAAAAAACATCCCTAAGTTTGGGTGATGCGAGCCATGTATCCAGTCAGAAATAATGTCCACACTAAGCTAATTCAGATGATATTGCAAAAGGAATTATACATGTAAAAATCATTAGGCTAGAGCTTTTCATATACATTTGCCTTCTAAGCTGTTAGAAATAAAAATACATCACAAGTCTAAATACTACCACAATAAAATGTATTTCAATGAAAGGCCATTATTTCATTAAATGTTACAATGCAATACCTTTTTTTCTGAGCAAAACCTAATGTAATAGAATAAATTTTTTTTTAATGAAAACAGTACCCAATATGTTTATTGTTGGCCTCTTGAACTATAGCTGTCTTGGGATAATTTCTGGCTATATTAGTCACTCATTCAGTGTGTAACTTTAATTCACTTGCAATAAAACATTTGTATTAGTCCTTAAATGTCTTTTGTACTGTATAGTTCAGTCATCCATAGCAATTTATTAGCTATAGGTTATATATCATGAGACTATTTATAAACATATTTTCTAGCAAGAGATTCAACATGCAATCTAAAGATAGGACATTTAACTTTCTCTATAAATAATATTTTTCCTGTGGCAGAAGTGAAACACTGTTCTAATAATAACTTTTAGCATTGTCTCATTAAAATAATCTTTTAAACAAATCAGTTTTAAGGAAGTAAATTGACTGAAAATGGTAGCATGACCTATATACAGTGTTTTGTGGGCATGACTGCCAAACATATTTACTAGGAAAATATTATAAAGACCAGTATAAGAACAGACACACTTGGAATAAATAGTTATACAAAGTGGGAAGGTTTTCCTTCTGCCATTACAAATTCATTGCCTCTCTTCTGAGCCAGGCCTGAATAATCAAGGGCAACCACTCCATGTGTCTCTAATCTTCTTGACTTTTCCATTTTCCACAAATGATTCCTGCCTTTTTTCTTGTTCTTCCTGGACCTTGGTGTCTATGTTATGGAAATAATAGAGGACATTCATGAAGACTTTTTCGACTTCTCGAGTTCACTATAAAATTCTCTCGGTTGGCTTCCTCCTTTTCCTTTTTCTGCAATTCAGTGGAAGAGCTATCTTTTTCTCGCCGAAATCTGATCCTTCTTTACCTTAAACCTTTATGCCTCAATCCCACTCTCTCGGCTGTACCTTCCCCTGTCACCGTGGGTACCTCTTTCTCTACAACATAGAACATACTCCTCTCTCCTATTGAAAATTCTCCCATTCCCTTCATTGCAATCTGGTGATTATGTTCATCTATTTCCTTCTACCAAGCTGTTTGAATAAAAATTTCACATTTGCTCTATTCCATCACTTTACCATATGTTCTTCAAAGAGTCATTCTCATAAAAGATAACTCAGATCAGTGCACGCCAGTGTTCAAAACCCTCCAAAGTCTCTCCAACATACTGAGAATGTGTTCAGAGTTCCCTACCCGATGCCGTTCACAGCCCTACATGCTCCCACTGTTTTCTGCCCCTCATACCTCATCTTCCCGCTCGCTCCCCTTTACTCATTCCCCTTCGGCCACGCTGGGCCCTTTGTTGTTCCCCAGTCCCACTCCACATGGGCCCAGCTGACAGCCTGCCCCGCTTCATCTGCCCACAGTGCTTTCTCCCTCACTGAATTCAGGGCCCTCCTCAAAAGCTCCACGGTAAAGCCTTCTCTGTTCTCCCATACATAAATATGTTTATGTTTTCTCTCTTTCCGCATCAGAGGCTGGGCTCTATTGGGCCAGCGAATTTGTTTGATTAGTTCACTGCTATAGGACCATGCCCAGCACAGCATTTGGCTCATAGCAGCACTCAGAAAAAAAAAAAAAAAAGTCGAAAAAACGAGTGAAAGGTTGATTGGAATTTATTATCAATTCTCTCCACATCCCTGTGGCTTCCCCCTTTCTCTCACTTCTGTGAAAATTCAACAGATAACTTCGTATATAAAAGGGGTCATCGAAGTCCCCAGTGGATACATTGCTTTTGTCATCTCTCTGTACTCTGCAGCATTTGAAAGTGTGAGTGTCTATTTCTCCTTCTGGAAACCCAGGCCACTGTTTTTCCTGCTCTTCTTCCTGGTTACTCACTCCCTTTATTTACTCCTTTTTCCCTTTAGTCATGATTTTTCTGCCCATTGCTCTTCAACTGTTGGAATTGTGTTGGTAATTCTGCGATTTCATCATCAGGTTTCTCGTCACTTTTTCCTAAGTTATCTGGGTAATCTGAGCTAATCCCATGATCTCAGTTTACACAGGCTAATCTCTAAATGAAGACCATTACTCTTGATAGTTCTGTGGAGCACCCTGTATGCATTTATAACTACCCATTGGACCTATCCCATCAGGTAACTTGAATTCAAAATCCCCTTCAATATGTTTCTCTATTGAGCATCTCTAATTTAGGTTAATAGCTATACGTCTCCCCATTGTCTCAAGACAGAAACTTGGAAAGAAATTCATAACTACCCATTGGACCTATCCCATTGGATAACTTGAATTCAAAATCCCCTTCAATATGTTTCACTATTGACCGTCTCTAATTTAGGTTAATAGCTAGACATCTCCCCATTGTCTCAAGACGGAAACTTGGAAGTAATCCTTGACTCCTCTGTTCTTTGCCCTTCTTGCATATGATTAGCAGTCATTAATAACGTCATGTCATTTGCCAAGTATAGTTAAAGATACTTGCTTGGTCTACAGAAAATCATTAATGTTTTGTAACCATATAAGTTGTTAACAGTGGATTATTTTAGGTCTAGGTATTATTGTTAAATACAGGGACTGTTTCCAGGCATTCAATATGAATCATAAATTAGGGTAGACATGAGATGTGATTATGATGATATTCTAAAGGTCTATGGTCCTAGATCTATAGATGCATGGTGAGAAATTAGAACAACCTGGAGACAGACTATTGATATGTGGACTCTGCCCAGCTGTGTTAGAAAAATACTTTCACACCAAGGCTTAAAATACCCACATGGCATCTTCGGCACTCACCTTGTTCACACAAAGAGCTCCCTTGACATTGAGCCACTGATGAGAAAAGGTCTCCCTGGATGAAGAACACCAGGGTTTGCCAGGAGGCTAATATAGGAGAGCCTGGGCAGGGCTGGGCCAGCCTCGGCAGCTGCACAGCAGAACCCGCTTCGATATCTGTATTCGTTATCACACACAGAACTTGGATCTTTTGATCAGGTTCCCCAGGTTATTTTGAGGCATCCGTGTTCACTGCTGGAGCTTTGTGTCGGCAGCCCCTGCCCGAGGTTGCTTACAGGCTGGGCTTCATCTTACCTCCCAGCTGAGGAACAGACAGCAGCCTTGTTCTGAGGAGGTGCATGTTGAGAACACATTTATTTTTTGCTGTGACTTGTTCAGAACCACATTTTGCAAAATGCCCAGTGACATGGTTTGGTTCTATGTCTTCACCCAAATCTCATATTGAATTGTAATTTGCAACTCTGGAGGAGGGGCCTGGTGGGAGGGGATTGGATCAAGGGCAAGATTTCCTCCTTGCTGTTCTGATAGTGAGTTTTCATGAGATCTGGTTGTTTAAAAGTGTGTAGCACTTCCCCCTTGCTCTGTCTCCTGCTCCAACATGGTAACATGTGTTTGCTTCCCCTTCCTGTCCACCATGATTCTAAGTTTCCTGAGGCCGCCCAGCCACGCTTCCTGTACAGTCTGTGAAACTGTGAATCAATTACAACTCTTCTTCATAAATGACCCAGTCTCAGGTAGTTCTTTACAGCAGTGTGAGAACAGACTAATACACCTGGTTTCCTTTATTACTGTTTCTGGAAAGCAACATTCTATTAATAATGTTTTGGTTTGAATACAAAATAGTTGTTTTAAATTACTCATTTTGAAAGATCCTGGGTTTAATTCAAATGTATGCCAATATCTTCCAAAGTAAGGTAATATTCAGAGACTGTTGTTCAGATCAGATGACATAGAGAAATTTCTGGAATATTCACATTAGAAGACTCCTTATTAATGAATGTCTTTGACTTAAATCTAACCCCAAACTGCAACATAATTATTTGTACTTTTTCATTATATAGTGTTGACAAGCTCAGTTGCAAACAAATAAAATACTTAAACTATTTGTTTAAATAAATAAATAAACATAATCATTTCCTTTGCACCTTCTGGGTCTTCTTGCCCAGTCTTAAATCATCTAGACGCTTCTCTCAACCCCCACTGCCCCAGTTCAGGTCTTAATCATTCCATGTTGATTATAGCTGCATCTCAGTCTCTGTCCTCTTGATTCACCTACTGCTATCTGAAGGTGAGCGTCCCCCAAACATGAGTCTGTCCAATGTATCTTCCTGGCTTACAACCCTTATTACCATTAGAATAACATCCCTGAAAATTGCATATGACATGCTCCTTACCACCTACCCAGCACCACGTTGCGCCACTCACCTTGTTAAACTATGCAGTCCAATCACACCATATTGTTTCTGATGTATAGAAAGTCCTTGCCTATTCACTTTGGTGTCTTTGCACCTGTGGCTCCCTGTGCCTTTGGAAACCCTGCCATCTTCAGCTTTTCACTCCTACTCATCCTGTAAGGCTCACATCGGATGATTCTAATGCTCATTTAAGTAATGGTGGAAAAAACTAATTCAGAAGCCTTCACATTTTATAAAGATAAAATGTAATATTAAGGTAGATTTCAAAGCAAAAATAACTAAAATTAGTAGAGTACTTGACCACAAATAAACAGATTGGTGAAAATAGATCCAAAATTCTAGAAACAGAAAGAACAATCTGTCTTGTATCAACATGGCATTTCAAGTTAAAGCTAGGAGGAAGATACACAAACGTTGCTGCTGAAACAGTTTGCGGGGTAATGGGGTGAAAAAACACTGGCCTATGTCTTCACAGACCCCAACAAAAAAATTAAATAGTACAATTAAGACTGAAAATGATAAAGTAGTAAGTATTCATTTGAAATAGATGTGTGTCTGTGTATGTGTATGTTACCAGTGGGAGGGATATAATGGCTTTTAAAAATATAAAACCAAAGGAAAAAATAAAAATGAAACAGATTAAAATATGTAACTCTAGAAAAAGTCTTATTAGTTAAAAGAGCATTAACAAAATTAAGGAGAAACTCATTTATTTAATACCTTTAACATTTTCCAAACTCAGGGAGCCCAAAACCAACTCGTGATGTTACTACATCAGGCAATGTTTTATTTTATCTTATTTTATATTGTGTTTTATTTTATTTGTACAAATACTCACAGGGTAATGCTACGCATCAGGCATTGTTTGAAACAGTTTATGGACTTTTTCCTCCTGCTTGAAGACTAAAGTACTGAGAGACATGGTGACATGTCTAGTTTTCTTTAAGCGGACATGGTACTCTAAAAGTAGAATAAAAAGTGTTAAGGGGTTGTAACTTGAGGAAAGGAGGAGAATATAAATAAAAACAACTCTGTTTTCTTTATGCTTCATGAATAACACCTATTTATCGTGACCAAAGGAAACTCTTTTTAAAAAAATCATTTGAACAAAATGCACAAACACTGATACATAGACCAAGCATTGGTTCAGGAATCTCAAGCGAAGACATGTAGATATTTGAAATAAAATGTGTTACAAAATGATTTAGGATATACCAGATGTCCGTAATGTTAACATATCCTGCTTTTGAATAACTTACACTATAAGTTTTGAAAAATTTTATATGCAAAAGTGTATGCAACGGCTGAGACACAACCACTCTGTATTATTACATGCTAATGACATTATAGTTGCTAATGACCAGTTACAGATTTGTCACTGGCATTAGCTACACAAATAATAGAAGCACAAATGTTAGAATATTATATGGTACTTTTATAATTAGGTAAAAATTAATAAAAATGCTGATACTTGGCAAAAGCTAAGGTATCACAAACTTCAAAAAAAATCAGAGGAGTTGTAAATCAGCAGGTGTGCTGAGAACAGAGACTCTTTAGACTTAATGGGTTGCTCATTGGACTGAAGCCAGTCGATGCCACATTCAATCAGGAAGGAAAGAACAAAATTAAAACTACTGATGAAAGCTCAGAAATAAACCACCTGACCTATGTTTAAAGGAAGTAGGTAATTAGGGGTTAGGTAGTATGTAGCTCTCCAGAAAGTGAACCCCGACTTTGACTTTCACATATTTGAATTTAGTACGTGATTCTGAAATGCGTCATATTTTAAGGTAAAATCGTATTGATATATAAAATCAAGAAATGCTTGCAACTCATAAGTGTACAGCTGAATAAGTTACCATATTCTATTCTAAACACACTTGTTCAATCCCCACCCAGGTCAAGAAATAAAACATTACCTGCAACCCCAAAGCTTGCTTTATTTTTCCTCGCCTCTCTGCTAACCACGGATAACTACTAGGGTAGACTTGTTTTACTTGTCTTGAGTTTTTCATAGGTAGAATCATACAGTATGTATTTTTCTCCTTTCTTTCTTCCATTCTTTTTTCATCTTTTGTTTCTTCCTCCTTCCTTCTTTTATTTTCTTTCTTTTTTTTGGCTTTTTTGGTTGTCTTCTTTTGCCCATTGTCATGTTTGTGAGATATATTTCTGTTACTGCATGTTGCAGAAGCTTATTCATTGTCATTGCTGAATGATATAATGTTGCATATATATAAAACTGTTTGTCAATGCTAATTAAGAGACAGTACATTGTTTCCAGTTGGGACAGTTTGATATAATGATTGTAATTAAAAACAATGCTGTGTCTGTCCCGCGTGCCATGTATACATATTTCTATTGGACAGACATTTGGGGTGACATTCCAAGGTCATAGGACATGAATGTTTTGTACTTTCATTTTCTCAAGTGCATTTATAAATTTATGCTCACATCCTTAGTTCATATTTTTACCAACACTTGGTTTTTAACGTTTTTAAATTACAATCATTTTGGTATCTGCATAGAAGTACTCATTTAGTTTTAATTTGCATTTCTGTAATTACTAATGGACTTGACCACTTTTCATGTTTATTGCCCTTTTGAATATCTTCATTGGGAAAGAATTAATGTAAATCTATTCACCCATTTCCATCAGCCTTTCAGTGTTCTTTTTATTTTTGAACATAAACCAATTGTTAGATACATCCACATTTATTTACATATTTGTATGGAAGGTATTTTATTTTTGAATGCAAGCTCTTTGCAAATTCTATGTGTTGAAATATCTTCTCCATGTCCATGACCGGCCTTTCTCAGTTCTCTTTGCTTTCAGGCTTGTAAATAATGACACTTTTTAAAAAAATGGTCATGCTATTAATGGCTATGCTGATTTTCTTCAAGAGGATTTTCAACAAACAGGGTGCTTTTGATATGCAGAGTTTCTTGAGTGTAATAAAGTTCAAATTATAATGCTTTATTCATGGTTGACACATATTTTGAATAAGAAAAATGTTCCTACCTAAAGTTATGAATATATGTTTATATATTTGTTTTTATAAATGTTTTATTATAAAACACTTAAACTACATTAGATCTGGACTTGATTTTTCTACATGTTATGAAGTAGAAGTTTTTTTTAATAGGGGTATCCAATTGATATGAAACAATTTATTGAAATTCTCTTCCTATTTCCATTGCTCTGCAATTTCACTTTTGTCATAAATCAAATCTCCACTTATGTACAGGTATATTTCCGGATTGTCTGTTCTAGGTCATTGGTCTATTTGTCTCTGCAGACTATTTTTAAGACAGCCTTATAACAAGTCTTGGTATTGGATAGAGTAAGTCCTTTTCCTCTATTCTTTCATTGATTTCCTACAAACTTTAGAATTCTATTTTCTTCCACTAGGAAGTCCTGTGGATTTTGCTTAAGATTTTATTGAATCGTAAAAGGCATCTGAGAGAGTTGACACCTGGTCCCCAGGATCTAATGGCAGTGACATTATGTGTGTGAGGTGGATGAGGTTGGATCCTGCCAGATCTGAGAAGCTGATTGATTGTTGTGCTGCATCCTTACTGCATGTAAGGCTAACGCACCGTTCTCAAAGACACACATACCACTATCTGCGGCTTTAATGTTGAGTATTTTCAGGCATGTGAAACCCTCCTTTTAACTGGGCACCGTGGCTCGACTCTGTAATACCAACACTTTGGGAGGCCAAGGCAGGTGGCTCACTTGAGCCCAAGAGTTTGAGACCAGCCTGTGCAACATGGCGAAATGTCTTCTCTACAGAAAGATAAAACATTTTGCCAGCTGTGATGGTGCATGCATGTAGTCCCAGCTACTTGGGAGGCTAAGGCGGGAGGATTGCTTGAGCCCGGGAGGTCAAGGCCACAATAAAATATAAATAAAAAATAAAAGTGAGCCGAGATCATGCCACTGCACTCCAGCCCA
Source organism: Homo sapiens (assembly GCF_000001405.40). NCBI lineage: Eukaryota > Metazoa > Chordata > Mammalia > Primates > Hominidae > Homo > Homo sapiens. The sequence continues at coordinate 188,950,521 of NC_000004.12, read as the reverse complement.
GGAGGTAGAATAAGCCTATCTCATAATAATAATAATAATAATAATAATAATAATAATAATAGCGATAACTAAAAACCAACCAACCAAACAAACAAACTAAAGCAACAACAACAACAACAAAATATGAAACCCTTTTTGCTCTGAGCTATACTCACTGTCATCAGGGGCACACTGTCATTTCGCAGCGGTGGAAGAGCTGCTGGCAGGTAAGCACATGTGGCTCTGAAAATTATCCACGGTCTCAGAAATCTGATTACATCACATATGATATTGAATATAATGTGAACTATATGAGTGGTAATGCTTGATTGAATTAGTGAAAATATGATGAACTATATCAATTGAAGAGTTTTTCTGATAATAAAGAAAGAAGTAATCTTTGAAAATTACCTAGATTAGGGACTGTAGTAAGGTAAAAACAAGTACAGGATGCATCTGAAAATTTTAAATAAAAGGGAAATAATATAGTGTTTTAATAGTTAATATTTGTTATCAGAACATTCTAAAATTATATCTGAAATATGCAAAGTCATTTTAAGGAAAGAGAATAGCTCCTAGACCGGGAAAACGTCACTTTTATCTGCCACTTGAATACTATATGAAAAGCCAATTGCCTTCTTCAAGGGAAGTGAAATTTCCACACAAGCACAAGGTGCTGCTGTCGCTTTTCACACACGGTGATACCAGATCTTCAACTAGCCAGGGCTGCTGCTTTATGTTGCTAATGGCTTTGTTTGTAGCACTCTGGAATTCTCAGTGTCCTTACTGAATGTTTCCTCCACCTCTTTGCACTGACAGCCAAGTGTATGCACTGAATTCTGCCACTCTGCACACAACTCAGAAAGTGCACATGTGTCTTTCATGCATTCTGAGCCACTAACAGGGCACTATTTTCCATCCCCATCAAGATATTATTCTGAGTGCACTTCCTTGTTGTATGTTCTCATTTACTGAGGAGTTGACCTCTTGTATCCTATTCTAGCTGGTAGACATAGCCACAGAGACAACTCATCTAATATGAGTGCCCTGGGTATTGGCCTTCTAAACTCTAATGATCTTGGAATATTTTATTTCTGCTGCTGATTCTTTGACTGCTATATTTTTCTCCAAATCATCAGCTATTTTCTGTCTTCAATTCCTTTTTTAGCAAGTTTATACTTTATTACATTAATTCAATCAGTATACTCAAACTTTTTTACCTGATTGTTCAAGAAATTGGACTCAAACAGCTTCATACCTGGATTAACCCTTTGCTTCCCACTACTTTAACTCTTCCTACTTCCTTTTTAAAACAGAGTGATGTGGAGAAAATTTCAATATGATATAGATCAATGTCATGGCAAATTTACAATATTCACGCCAAACATATTGCTCTAGTTTGACAGATTTTCATATTTCTCTAGGTTTTTTCTTCCTTTATCTACAATAGCAATGTCCAACCTTTTTCAAACTCTTAAAATTTTTTATGTCATCCGAAGCCTCCTCACTCATAGTTGATATCCTTGTCTTATGATTGTGCAGATTTAAAAGGCAATCAGACAGGAACTGGAGTTTTCCTTATAGTAGGGAAGTAAAAAGCTGCAAGAGAGCATTTTTACACCCTAACAATGAGAGAACACTACATAATCTACAAAATTAGAACTTTTTGTTGAACATATTAGATAGCAAAGTTCACAAGATAATCAGCTGAACTGAATTCTGAAGAGTGACAAGTTTATTTAAGAAAAGATGAGGCCGGGCACGGTGGCTCACGCCTGTAATCCCAGCACTTTGGGAGGCTGAGGCAGGCGGATCACGAGGTCAGGAGATGCAGCCCATCCTGGCTAACATGGTGAAACTCCGTCTCCACTGAAAATACAAAAATTAGCCAGGCATGGTGGCGGGCGCCTGTAGTCCCAGCTACTCGGGAGGCTGAGGCAGGAGAATGGCGTGAACCCCTGAGGCAGGAGAATGGCGGGAACCCCTGAGGCAGGAGAATGGCGGGAACCCCGGGGGGCGGAGCTTGCAGTGAGCCGAGATCGCGCCACAACACTCCAGCCTGGGCGACAGAGCCAGACTCCGTCTCAAAAAAAAATAAAGAAAAAAAAAAAGAAGAAGAGATGGAAAATGCGAATTGTTTCACATTTGGCGGACTATGAGAGGAACTGGCAGGTGCCATTGAAGCAGATTTTTTTTAAAAAGCTTCAATTCTCATAAATTCTTAAAGAATTGGGCAGAAGACATATTTGAAGAGAGCAAAGACTTTCTTGTCAGAAATTGTGCATGTTAGAAGACTATAGTGATATCTGTAAAGTATTGAGAGAAAAACAAATATAAATCAAGAACTCCTTATCCACTGAAAGGGCCTTTCAAAAATGAAAGTGAAATAAGACTTTTTAAGACAAACAGAGGCTGTAAGAACTCACTGCCAGTATCCCTGAATACCAGAAATTTAAAGGACAGGCCGGGCGCGGTGGCTCATGCCTGTAATCCCAGCACTTTGGGACGCTGAGGCGGGCGGACCTCTGCTGGGAAGGCTGAGGCAGGAGAAGCACTTGAACCCAGGAGGAGGATGTTGCAGTGAGCCGAGATCATGCCACTGCACTCCAGCCTGGGTGACAAAGCGAGAATCCATCTCAAAAAGGGAAAAAAAAGAATTGTAAAGGACATTCTTCAGACAGAAAGAATATAATATGTGATAAAAATCTAGATTGACATAAAGAACACAAGAAATACAAAAATTAAGAGTAAATGTAAAAGATAATTGACTATTAACAGAAAGAAAAGCAAGATTTTGGAAATATGTAACAGGTAGAAATAAAATATAAGACAAAAAGACCACAGAGAATGATTGGAAATAGAAATGTGTTGCTGTAATATTATTATACTACATGTTAAGTAGTATAACGTTTGTTGAAGGTACAATGTGACAAGTCATAGGGGCATATTATAAACACTAATGCAACAACTGAAGTAAAACTAATCAGCAAACAGTAAGATAAAATGGAGAATGAAAAATGCTCACTTCCAAAGGACGGAGAAGTGGGAAATAGAAACAAAGAATGCATGAAGTAGGTGGAAAAGAATGAGATGGTAGATTTACTGATAGTCAATAATGTCAATAATTACATTAAGTATAAATGATCTAAACACAACAATTTAATGTCAGTATTGTCAGACTGGATAAAAGCATATATCCTGTTTACGAGAAACTGATTTTAATACAAAGACATGTAGACATGAAAACTAAAGGTTGGAAAAAATGAACAATATAAGTTTTAATCATAAAAATTTTAATAGTTATGTTTATATAAAATAAAGTAATCTTAGAGCAAATAATATTTTTCAAGAAAAAAATGGGCATTATATAACTAAAAAGGGTCTGATTCATCAATAAGATTTAATAACCTTAGGAATCTGTGAACTTTATTACAGAGCTTCAAAAATATAGTTCTTAAAAACCTAAAAGAAATGAACGGAGGAAATAGGCAAATCCACAAGTATCATTAGATACATCAACAGTACTCTATTGCATATTGATAGAACAGGTAGAAAAAAATAACAAATAAAGAGAAGACGAGAACCACCCTATGGACCGACACAAACAAGGGTAGAATAAACATTTTTTTATTTCTTTTAATTTTTTTAAGTTTTGGGGTACATCTGCAGGTTTGTTACATAGGTAAACATGTGCCATGTTTGCTGCACCTACCAACCCATCACCTAGATTTTTAGCCCAGTAGGCATTAGCTAATGCTCTTCATTCCCACCGCCCTCCCCCAACTGGCCCCAGTGTGTGTTGTTCCCCTCCCTGTGTCCATATGTTCTCATTGTCAAGGAGAGGAGGGAGGTCGAGGCTGCAGTGAGCCGAGATCATGCCACTGCACTCCAGCCCGGGAGGTAGCATAAGCCTGATCTTGTATCCTAAGAGTTTGCTGAAGTTACTTATCAGCTTAAAAAGCTTTTGCGCTGAATCAATGGACTTTTCTAGATATAGGATCATGTCATCTGCAAACAAAGACAATTTGACTTCCTCTCTTCCTATTTGAATATCCTTTATTTCTTTCCCTTGCCCGATTGCCCTGGTCAGAACTTCCAATAATATGTTGAATAAGAGTCATGAGAGAGGGCATCCTTGTCTTGTGCAGGTTTTCAGGGGGAATGCTTCCAGCTTTTGCCCATTCGGTATGATGTTGGCTGTGGGTTTGTCATAAATGGCTCTTATTATTTTGAGTTACGTTCTTTCAATACCTAGTTTATTGAGAGATTTTAACATGAAGAGATGTTGAATCTTATAAAAGGCCTTTTCTGCATCTATAGAGATAAATATGTGGTTTTTGTCTTTAGTTCTGTTTATGTGATGAATTTCATATACTAATTTGTGTGTGTTGAACCAGCCTTGCATCCTGGGGATGAAGCAAATTGATGGTAGTCTATGAGCTTTTTGATGTGCAGCTTGATTCAGTTTGGCAGGTGCTGCTGGATTCAGTTTGGCAGTATTTTACTGAGGATTTTTGTTTTGATGTTTATCAGGGATATTGGGCTGAAACTGTCGTTTTTGTTGTATCTCTGCCAGCTTTTCAATTGTTTGGAATAGTTTCAGAAGAAATATTATCAGCTCCTCTTTGTACCTCAGGTAGAATTCAGCTGTAAATCCATCTCAACCTGGGCTTTTTTTGGTTGGTAAGCTATTTATTACTGCCTCAATTTTAGAACTCGTTATTGATCTATTCAGGGATTCAACTTCTTCCTGGTTCAGTCTTGAGAGGGTGTATGCTTCCAGGAAATTATCCATTTCTTCTAGATTTTCCAGTGTATTTGCATAGAAGTGTTTATAGTATTTTCTGATGGTTGTTTGTATTTCTTCAGGGTCAGTGGTGGTATCCCCCTTATCATTTCTGATTGTGTTTATTTGAATCTTTTATCTTTACTTCAGTATTAGTCTAGCTAGTGGTCTATTTTATTTACTTTTTTTCAAAAAATCACTTGCTGGATTTGTTGATTTTTTGAAGGGTTTTTCATGTTTCCATCTCTCTTCAGTTCTGCTTTAACCTTGGTTATTTCTTGTCTTCTGCTAGCTTTGGGGTTTGTTCGCTGTTGGTTCTCTAGTTCTTTTATTTGTAATGTTAGGGTGATAATTTGAGATCTTTCTAGCTTTTTGCTGTGGACATTTATGCTATAAATTTCCCTCTTAACACTGTTTTAGCTGTGTCCCAGAGATTCTAGTACATTATCTCTTTGTTCTCATTGATTTCAAAAACTTATGGATTTCTGCCTTAATTTTACCATTTACCCAGAAGTCATTCAGGAGCAGGTTTTTAATTTTCATGTAACTGTGTGGTTTTGAGTGCGTTTCTTAATCTTGAAGTTTAATGTGATTGCGCTGTGGTCTGAGAGACAGTTTGTATGATTTCTGTTCTTTCGCATTTGCTGAGGAGTGTTTTACTTCCAATTGTGTAATGAATTTTAGAGTAAGAGAATGCGCATTCTTTTAAAGCACACATAGAAAATTCTCCAAAATAGATCATTATGGTTTTATAAACTAAATTTTAATACAGTTAAAATAATTAAATATCACACAAGGTATGATTTCAAACCAAGTGGAGCTAAAACTAGAAATCAGTAGCAGAAAGGTATTTGGAATACAACGAATATTTGAAATTAGTTCACTTTAAATAATCTGTTGATAAAAAGAAATCAGAAAGAAAATTGGAAAATGTTTTGAATTGAAGATAACTTAAACATATCAAACTTTGTAGGCCTCACCTAAATAAAGCAATACTTAGTAATTTTAGCATGAAATATGTATATTAATAAAGAAAGGGCTCAAACTAATGATCTAATCATTCATGCTAAGAAATTTGAAAGGAAAGACCAAATTAAATTAAACAAGCAGCAATAAAACAATAGTAGTAATAAGAGCAGAAATCAATAAAATTTTTAAATAGGAAAACAATAGAACAATAGAGAACATCAACAAAATCAAAACCTAGTTCTTTGAAAAGATCAATAAAATTAGAAACCTCCAGCCAGACTGACCATGAATAAAAGAGAGAAGGTGCACATTGCTTTCAACAGGAATGAGAGAGAGTGTATTACTACATATCCAATAGACATTAGAAAACAAGAAGGGAATATTAGGAAAACAACTGTATGCTACCAAATTTGATAACTTGGATGAAAATAACAGGCTTTTTTAAAGATAATATACAAACAACCAAAGCTTACTTTAAAAATAATAGATAACTTGAATAACCATAAATCCATTGAAATAATTAAATTCTTAGTTCAAAACCTCTCCACACATTAAAGTCTGGGCCCAGACTTCTCTGGAAAGTTCTGAAATAAATACTATTTGCACAATCTCTTTCAGAAAATAAGGGATATAGACACTCTCTCCAAGTCATTTTCAAAGGCCAGTATCACTCTTATATGAAATCAGAAAAAGACATGACAAAAAGAGAAAACTGCAAACCAATATCTCTTGTGAACATAGAAAGAAAAATCCTTAAGAAATTTTTAGCAAATCAAATCTAGCAATATATAAAAATTATAGTACAGCATGATCCAGTAGGGTTTATTCATGAATGAAAGTTGATCTAACATTCAAAAATCAATCAGTGTAACCCGCCATATCAATACACATATCAATATATGATCTTGAGATTATTCCATCAGATAACAATAAAGCATTGAATAAAATTGAACATCTACTTATGATAAAACATCTATTATGATAAAATTTATGATAAAACATCTATTTATGATAAAACATGTATGTATGTTAAGAGCAGAAGAGAATGGCTAAAAGACATGTATTAGTAATTCAAGAGTGAAGCTTTATTCCCCTGATGGCAGGAACAATGAAAGAACATCCCCTTTCACCACTTCTGTTACATTATAGTGAACATTTTAGACAAAGTAATAAGCTCGGAAATGGAACCTTTCAACTTCGTAGCAGGAGATGATAAACTGACTAGCGCCAATTCTCATTCCTCCCTTTTCCTTTTCTATCATAAAGGAAGAAGGCACAAGCTTTGTCTTTTTTATTTTTGCGTCTCCAACATCAGATACAGCACTTAACACAGAGGTGGTCATAACTGAATCAAAAACAAACAAATACATAGCCAATTTCTCTTTTGTTTCCTTGGTTAAATGCTGAATGAAAATATCTATTTAACTTAAAACATGTTGCTGATTCTTGTAACTGATTTTACTGGTTTACCTGAGTGTGTTCCTATCTTCTTTTTCCTTTGGTTTGTTTTCATCCTAACATCGAAACTTGATTTTTTAAAGTGATAAGAAAATACTTGTTTTTACTGTTGAGCCATTGCAAAACCAGTTTACTGCATAAAGATTTTCATGTTCAATTTTACGATATGGATATAATTATATCCATAGAAATCAGAGTTTTAGAAAACCTAAATAATTGATGTTAAATTTTATGATTCTACTCACCATAAATTATGAGCCTTTCTGTATTAGTCCATTCTCATACTGCTATAAAAGAACTACATAAGATTGGGTAATTTATGAAGAAAAGAGGCTTAATTGACTCACAGTTCCACAGGCTGTATAGAAGTATGGCTGGAAGGCCTCAGGAAAGTTACAATCATGGCGGAAGGGGAAGCAAGCACATCTTACCGTGGTAGAGCCAGAGAGAGAGAGAGAGAGAGAGAGAGAGAGAGAAAGGGGAGGTGTCACACACTTTCAAACTATCAGATCTCAAGAGAACTTACCATCACCAGAACAGCAAAGGGGAAATCCGTCCCCTTGATCCAATCACTTCCCTCCAGGCCCCTCCCCTAACCCAAGGGGATTACAACTTGACATGAGATTTAGGTGGGGACATAGAGCAAAACCATATAACCACCAGTCATGACAACTCTTATCTCATTAAACCATTAAATGTTCTTGATATAGTCATATCATAGACAAAAACGGGGCAATGATTGTTTAGAAAACTATTAGTAAAACTTGAAAATATTTACTTGAAGACAATAATAATCAGAAGCATTAGGTATCACTACACTGCTTTACTTTCTGTGTTATTATTAAATGAGTCAATTTTTTTTCAGTTTTCAATGTCTAATCCATACATAATTTAATTAGAAGACATTTAGGAACTAAAAATGAAAGTCATATTTTCTTCCCTACATACCACATGGCAAATCTTGTTTAATGATTTTAATAGTTTTTAGTTATTTTGAGAACGTATGGTTTAGGAGAAATCACTGGACAGAAAGTCTAAACTCTTGGATATTCTAGTTTAATTTCATTACTTACTTCCTGTAGATCAGCGATTTTCCTTTCTATATTTTACATTTTCCATAGCATCTATTACTAACAACAGTAAACCCACTGAGTGAATTATAACAAGTGAGAGAGAGCAACGAATATTTTCTCAGCAGCTGCTACTTACTTTACAGTAAATGTTTAGTACTCAGCCCATAATCCCACTTCCATTTTCCTTCCCACCCTTAGGTTTAAACATCTGGAGCTTAAGCTTATATAAATGATCCCATGCTGCCAGTTTTTATGACTAAGCTGTTCCAGTTAGACTCAGCTTCTAGGAATTACGAATTGGGTCTCTGAGAGTCTGAGTCAGTTAGAATGAGTGCACAAAGACATGGAAACCAGCTGAGTCACACTCAAGGGACAGTACTTCGAGTTAATATTCATTAACTCTGACTGTACATGCCACAGGAGCTACTAGGTGTATTACCACTCAATACTTTCAAACATTTAGTGAATCATGTGAGACGCATATATTTGTAACAACACTCAACTCTCAACTCCCTCAATTTGCCCACAGGTGTGACTTGAGAAACAGCAAATGGTTTCCTGTATGTTGCAACCATACAATTTTGAAAATTAGACATTATTAATATTTGCCTGATGAAGAAACAAATTTAGAGAGGTTAAGTATGTAGCCAAAAGTCCCACAACTAAGAAAAGGCACAACCAAGACACAAGATAAAATGATAATAGTATTGGGAACCATTATTTTTTAAAAGAAATGAGCATTGATAATGCTATCCATTGATAATGATGCTTTTTTTAAAAAATTGACTTCTGGCTGGGCAGCATGGCTCACGCCTGTAATCCTAGCACTTTGGGAGGCCAAGGCGGGTAGACCATTTGAGCTCAGGAGTTCAAGACCAGCCTGGGCGACATGGTGAAACCTGTCTCTACAAAAAATACAAAAATCAGCCGGGCACATTGGCATGTGCCTATAGTCCCACCCTCTCGAGAGGCTGAAGTAGGAGGATTGCTTGAACCTGGGAGTTTGAGGCTGCAGTGAGCTGTAATAATAAAAATTTTGACTTCCATAAGAGTAGAGGGGAAGATATCATTCACTTTTAGCTCAGAAAATGTATACCAATTGCAGGTGAATAGCTAAGATTTCCTTCCATTTCCTTTTTGAAGATATGGTAGCTGCAACTTGCTGCCATTTACTTTTTGTGTATATGCTCCCCTTCTCCCCAAAGTCCCCATCTCCAAGGGGTAGACTTTAGCTAATGGAGCACTTCCTCACTTTAACGTGAATCAAATTGTTTTCTGCAATGGTGAAGTTAAGAAACCAATACTAGTAAAATTTTGAAGTAGGAGAACACACTTATAAGTAGGATTTCTCTTAATCAGCCTTTGGAAGCCACTTCTTGTAGAGATTTATATAACTAAGGTTTATTGCTAATTTAATTATGCTTCTGGAGTGGATTATGTTTTAATTTTGGAATTCTTTGGGATTGGTTGCAATTTTATGACTACCTTAAGCCTTTCTCAAAGGCATAATTTTTGTACAGCAATCAAGTGCAAACATTAGGGAAGGCCAGAGGTCCTTCATCTCTCCTTTCTGCAAGCAGCACTTTTATAGAGTTGCCAGAGCTTTAAGGGAGTGCAAGAAACCATTTCCTTTTACTGCTGATACTGCTTCTATCAGACTATTCATTAATTATGCCAATTACATTTTGAATGGTACTAGAATGTGCAAAGGGTAAAATATGAATCAGTATATAATTTCAGTACTTTATTTTGTCCAGAATTTTATATCTCTTCAGGGTTATTTCTGCTCAAAAAGAAAGTATCTATAAAAATTATCTATAATTTTTTTTCTAGCCACATATATTGAATACATCAGAAGCAGGCCCATGCAGTGCTTAACAGAATCATTTATGTTAAAAACATGTGATAGTAATCGGAGTTTAAATAACAACAAAATAGGCTTCATAATAAGATAAATAATATGTAAAATAAGGTAATTGTTAATGTACATATTAAGCTTGATATAGAATAAAATATATACCCCCACACCCACAATCCAGCTTTCACCTTAGAGCATTACAAGCCTTAGAGCCCTCTCGGGCCTCTACCACGTTGTATTCTTCTACAGCGACCTAGAAAATAACCACATCCTGGTCGTGAATTGTGTACCCATTGGTCAACGGAGAAAATTACAACAAATTTAGTTTAAAGATTTTAATTGGCTTTTATGTGCAATTCTAGAATCAGGCAATAACTCATTCTACAAAATACAATGAGTGTTCTGATGAGCTGGGTGAGGAGTTTGGCTTTACAGACAGAAAAGGGCTGATGAAAGCAGAAACAAAAAACAAAATGTGGATTTGTCATTTCAAAGTTACCTTCATTGTAAAGGTTAAAGCTAAGGGCACTTGCTGAAACTGACCTGTCTCGGATTATCTCTCTCGTGTTTTCTTGGAAAGTCAGAAAAACAGCTTAGCGTTGCTCGTCGATGCTGCAGTGTCGGTATGAGTAAGGCCATTCTGGTTTGGTTTGTTGGACCTAGTGCGGGAGTTTAGCCCAAACGGCTCTCACTGAGAGTGTCACCAAAACTTAGGGCATCAGCGCTACTCTCGGTCGCCACCATTTTGGCTTACGGTGTCCTTGTTATCATGCAGTTCTTGGAAGTTTCATCATTTCAGCCGGAGAGAGACCACTTGACATTTAGCAGATGGCTGCATGTAGGTATTTAAGACTTTTTAAGTGAATACAGAATACCAGGAAGACTACCATTATGATCTCAGAAGGTAAAATTAAAACTCTGGAGTATGTCCCTTAGTCAAGGTTCCCATGAACCCAACCAACTGAAATCAGTTAAGCCAAAGAATGAGCCGGACGGCGAATCTACTCATTTTAACCAAGGAGCTTGTTCATTCATTTTTGCCGTGGAGTCTCTGTGATACCCAATGCATTTATCCATCTGCAATAAGAAGTGTCGGCAACTGCACAGACTCCTTCTCCCGGCTCAGCTGGTAGGTAGCAGTTCAATTATCTGGTATGCCACGACTCGGTTAAATTAAAGCAGAGAGTGAGATTTCTAGAAATCTTACTCTATAAAAGGGACCATTTTTAAACACAGTGAGAATTTAAACACAGTTGTATTATGGATGCTGCTAACGTTACCCACTGGGTGGACTAAAGGACCCCTTAAGTCATGTAAAGATTTGGGTTTGGTATGACGGATCCAGTGTTTCGTGAAGTCACCAGCAGAAGCTCCTGATTGTGCAATTCTACCTACAGCATTATCCTGCCCAGCAAAAGAGCTCTGCATCAGCAAGGAGAAACTAAGAGGGGCCCGGGCTCTCGCTGTGACTGGGAGTGTTTCTCCCAGGTCCTGGGAAAAGCTGTCCACAGCATGAAGTTGTCAGCTGCTTATCCTGGTTTTCAGTTTGAGGGTCCCTGGCAATGGGACCCTCAATTTGGTGAAATCTCTGTGTAGCCCACACATCAGGCTTGAGATTTGTTCCTAAAAATTTACATCAAGTTGTCCAGCTCCAGCTCAGAGGCCTTCAGAAACAAAGCAGTTCTTCTTCTTACTTGGAGAGTTGTAGCCAGATATTGGAGGAAACTAGAATTCAGAATCCAGTCCAGTCTACCAGTAGACAATAAAAACCTAAAAACAATGAATAGGGCTAAAATATAATGAGAGGTGTACTACAGTTTTCTTCATAAACATTCTTCTTTTTATAGTTACACCCATTTCTACCCAAAATAATCAGAGTAAGACAAATTTGTTTGCAAAACAGGTCTAGTCTTGTTAAACTTTGCCTGATTATATAAGTGCAGCAAGAATTGTGATTGACCACATAGGTGCTTTGTAAAGTTTGCTTTTGCTAGAACTTTTGATTAGGAATCTCAGATAAGACTTTCAGAACCCTCATAACTAGGAAGTCAAACTACAGCAGACCTCAGACTTCATCTGCAGTACCTGTAGATATATCTATGTGCATTTTCAAATATTACATCCCAGTAAAGCCTTAGTAATATAACCAATATTTCCAATTGCAACCTATTATAAAAAGAGCAGATTTTTATTGGACTTATGCAAATAACTACATTCCCATTAAAATAAGAATACCCATAAGTTTCCATATTCTAGAGGGATCAGGTAGGAAGAAAAACTGAATGTTTTAATTTTTACTCACAAACATATACTTTATCAAATTTCCAGTAACTATAAAAAGCTTTTAAAAAGTTTTCTAAAATTTGGAAAACAAAACATTAAATGAGCCAGCAATGTTTCAAATTTTTAAAAAGTCATGAAAGCCTATAATTCTTCATTATCACTGCATTCAGTACCGTGTAATTAATTCTTGTTCTGCCTGATTTTGGTTAACATTTTCACAAACCCATCAGTTTCTTTACTGAAGATCTAAAAATTCTTACGCTGTCTAATAGTATGATCTCAAAGTTACCAGAAACGTGTTTGTCAAAGTCCTTTACATAAATTCCCTTGAAAACGAATCGCTGTAGAATTGTAGAAGCCAGAAAAAAAAAAAAGCTTTCAGAAAAGCATCAGATTAAATTCTGTCTGTGGAGGACAAGACCTAAAATGACTATAGTTAGAGATCTGATGAGAGTTCATTATAATAATGTTATAACTGAAAAGGAAATTTGTTTATTTCAGTGGCATACAACATTTTAACAAGATAACAGAAATTATGGTTGATAACGTATTGGGTTTCTAGGAATTTCATACACTTTTTGAAACACATTATTAGCAGCACATCCATATACATGTAACTCAAACATCATTTCTTACTTGACAATGCCTCTCCTGCAATTCAATGTATCAAATAAGCTTAATTGCTTTAAATTGTCTTCTTCAGACATTCAAAGTCCTTCCGAATTGTCCCAAAGTTAGTTCAAAGTAAAAAAGACTTAACTTCTGATTTGATTTTGGAAAGTTTGTCAAAAATATCAAAGGTTTAAGACACTTCATCAAAATAGGATCACAGGTCACAGCGGAGTCATACTTATTAATTTAACCAGAAATCATTCTGGTTTAAAACTTCAAATTGAAAAACTTCAAAAGACAAAGACAGAAAGTTATGTAGATGTACAAAAACCCTGGACTGTTCAATGGAGAGGACTCAGTTTTCCTAAGTAATCAAAGACTAATAAAGACAACATGAAGCACAGGAAATCATCTCAATAGAACACCGAATCTTGGTTTTCTAGTCCAATTATCTAAAAGGTTAAAAAAAAAAGTACCTCTTACTATTTTCTAACAAGAGCAGTAAATACTGTAAGAAAAACTTCTTGTTGTTTTAACAAGTTTTGCATCAAATTTTAGTTTTGCGTCAGTGCGCTTTTGATATTAACGCTTGATTTAAAAAAAAAAAACCCACAGTTCTCTTTTAATCTTACCCAGCTAATTGCACGCACAATTCCTTTCACAAGGTTCATCTTTCACAAAACTTCTAGAACCTTCTCATATATCTGCAGTTTTTTGTCCAATACTTTTCCTTTTTCCATATTGGAACAACTATTCATTGTACTTTAGAACACAAATTAGGCTTTTTTAAGAAAAACACATCCTTCATATAAGTTTTTCATACCAAAAACATGTCTTATATTCCCTGAATAAGAGTTTTTTCCCTTATTTCTATTTTCAATTACAATATGATAATTAGAATTTTTAACTTTTAATAATCTTATCTTCTAGTGAAAACCCAGGAAGTGTTGTGGGCTGTCCTATATGAGCATTCACCAGTTCTTAATTTCTAGAACCGTGTTTTCTCAACTTTTTATATCTATTAATAGACTCAAATACATATAGCTTTTTATACAATACAAAAACAAGATGCCAAACATGTATATATTCTTTAAACTTATGTTCAGCAATTAATGTTTCAGTATTCTAATTTTCTTAGAAATGACTCAGATGTTTCGTGTCTGTTATTTAATTTAACAAAACTTTAAATCTCGAGCCACTGAAAAAGATATTTGAAACTATAACAAGTTTATCAACTTGCATCCTATTTACATTCACCTAATTTACTCATTCCTTTTAAATAAAGCTAGCCATTAGAGTAGTTCAGGAACTTTCACCCCAAAATAACTCACTTTGGTATATTAACTACTTTGAGCTTTAGCTCAAAGGCACTTTTAAAAATAGCAAAGTACGAGGCATGGCTTGGGCATAGTGGCTCATGCCTGTAATCCTTGCACTTTGGGAGGTTAAGGAGGCAGGATTGCTTGAGACTAGGAGTTCGAGTACAGCCTTGGCAACATAGTAAGACCTGCATCTCTACAAACAATATGTTAAGTTTTTTTATTAAAAAACAAACAAACAAACAAGGCAGGACTTTCTGAATTCCTCTTATCTGCCTAAATACTAATCTTCCAAAAGGAATGCAATTGTTAATCCTTTCCCCAGAGAGTTGCAGCAATCAAGGAAAGGGAAGATTTGCTTTTATCACAGTAGAGAAGATTTCACATCACCTACAAAGACCTTGTCACAAATTATAATCTATTCTTCTAAGATCTCATTCATCCTTTCCAAAAACTGTTTACTCTGAGGCTATTTCTTCTTCATTACCTCACCATATTTCATCAAACCTGGTAAATAGTGAGGCTCTGTAATGCTGGGGGGCCAGCAGAGGACTTCTCTGGTCTATCCAACATTTAGAAGATTTAATCTTTGTTTTAACCCCATCACTGACTGCTTTATTTATCTCATTTTTAATAACCATCTAAAAACGTTCTATCGTAAATTTGCATTTTGAAAGAAATGCCTCTTCTGTAAACTAAGGAAAAAAATTTACATATCACCAGCCCAGAACTTAGATTTCAGGCCTAAATGCCACAATTTGCCTAGAAAAGAAAAGTGTAGGTAAGAAGCCCAGTTAAGACAAAATGGTCAAAGGTGAGGCATGTTTAGATGTTTAGACTAATACTCTTTTTTTTTTTTTTTGAGACGGAACCTTGCTCTGTCACCCAGGCTGGGGTGCAGTGGTGCGATCTCAGCTCACTGCAAGCTCCGCCTCCCAGGTTCACACCATTCTCCTGCCTCAGCTTCCCAAGTTGCTGGGACTACAGCTGCCCACCACCATGCTCGGCTAATTTTTTTGTATTTTTAGTAGAGATGGGGTTTCACCGTGTTAGCCAGGATGGTCTCGATCTCCTGATCTTGTGATCTGCCCATCTCGACCTCCCGAAGTTCTGGGATTACAAGCGTAAGCCAGTGCACCTGGCCAATACTGTCTTATATTGTAAGAATTTCCAATGATTTTTACCTACATGTGTAATTTTTTTATAAGAGAGATACAAAATAGCCAACTAAATGCCAAAAACATGTATTTTGGAAACCAATTTAGTTCAACAGACGGTCATTTCAACTTAGCTTTTTTCTTAAGCAGATTACTGACTTCAGGGTGAAGTCTATTAACATATAGTACAATGAAAGCATTTTCTGTGCCTGGACTCAGAATGAATAGCTCTGAAAAAGCAGCAGATCTGCTTAACCTGAGGGCTTAACTTTTATAAACACATTATCCAGCCTTCTTTCTCCTTCAGGGCAGGATAGTAACTACGGAAAGACATTATAGCAGACTTCATTTTTCTTATTGTTTGAGTTTATCTTTTCTTTTCTTTTTTTGGCAGGAGACCAGAGTTTCATTATTACTCAAATCAGTCTCCCAGAGCATTTGGGGATCCTGTTTTTTAAGGACAGCTTGGTGGATGGGCGGAACCCAGTGAGCCAGGAATCTGATCGGTCAAGTCAGAGATGAAATCATAGGGAGTTAAAGCTGTCTTCTTGTGCTTAGTCAGTTCCTGGGTGAGGGCCACAAGATCAGATGAGCCAGTTTATCGATCTGTGTGGTGCCAGCTGATTCATCAAGTGCAAAGGCTGCAAAATATCTCAAGCACTGATCTTAGGAGCAGTGTAGGGAGGGTCAGAATCTTGTAGGCTCCAGCTAACTGACTCCTAAACCATAATTTCTAATCTTGTGGCTAATTTGTTGGTCCCACAAAGGCAGTGTAGGCCCCAGGCAAGAAGGAGATTTGCCATGGGAAATGCCTGTTATCAACTTTGTTTTAAACTATACACTACAAACTAAGTTCCTCCCAAAGTTAGTTCAGTCTATGCCCAGGAATGAATAAGGACAGCTTGGAGGCTAGAAGCAGGATGGAGTGGGATAGATCAGATCTCTTTTACTGTCTCAGTTACAATTTTGCAATGGCATTTTCAATACCTCCCTTTGGGTTTCATAACACCTTAGTCTTAAGGTGTTGGCTAAGGAAGATGGAAAAAGGGCAAAGACCACTCTAATTTCTTCCTGCTGATCAGGGGCATAGTGGGGGTAGGTGTTGACCGAAAGTGAAAGGAGTGGAACCTCTTTGCAATTGGCTGAGTGTACTCATGCAGGCCTGGCAGGGGTTCTGAGGCTTGCATGGCAAAGGCGTTCATACTGTCGTCTATAGTTTTAGTACCACATTTAAGGGAACAGCATACTATAAAATAAATAAAGAGTACTAGGGTAAGGAGGGTAATTCCCAGTTTTAAAAGTAAAGATTTAAAAGCATTAGCTTGGAGACTTGTAGCCCACAAAGAATTTAGGGTTTAGCCCAAACTGCAGAAAAAACTCAAGAACAGCTAACAACAGGCATACTATAGTTTTTCTTTTGAAGCATACTTTTTTTCTCTTAAGTCCCCCTTTTTATTAAGAACAAATCATCAGAGAACTGATTTGTTTACAAAATAAATCTTAGCCTTATTTTACTTGACCTGATTATTTGTGTAAAGCACAGCAAGAATAATTATTTTTCACACAGGCTTTTTAAATTGCCTTTGATAGAACTCGGTTCCATAAGTAATCTCAGGTAAGACTTTTTTAAAGGTGAACCCAGCCATGGGTTTGTACCCTCAAATACCTATATCCTGGGTACATTCCTCTCCTCTTGAGGTCTCAAGATAACTTGGGGCTCCTGAGCCTGTTAGAAAGTCACATTTTTTACTTACCACAGGTCAGTACAGCATGCCATTCCAGCCATAGCCTTAGTAAAATAAACAGTTGTTCCAATTGTGTCCTGTTACAAAAGAAAACAGATTCTTATTGCATTTATGCAAAAACTGTGCTGCCATAAGTTGAGAATACTCACAAATAGTTTCCAAATTCTGGAGAAATCAGATAGAGGGAAGCAAATATGCTTCAAATTTTGTTCACAGGAGCGTCTTTTACTCACTTGTTAAAAGTTGTAAACAGCTCTAAAGAAATGAGTTCTCTTGACTCTGAAAACAAAAGGATTAGCAATGTTTAACACATCAGCTCTCCATGGGAGTCTCAGAAGTTTAATTTTTTTTCCTCCATTCCAATAGCATAATTTTTAAAGTTATCATAGACCTGCACTCAGAGTCCTATATCTGATTATAAACTGCCTTATGAAAACAACTAAAGCAAGACAATATGTCTGTGAATGACAAAAGTCTTAGGATAGCCACTATTAAAGCTAAAATAGATTAGGAATTTTGGTTACTTCTATGGCATACAACAATTTTATATTACAATTATAATTATTAATAATGTAAACTGAATCATATCAGAATTATATGTTTCCCATAGTCTTGGAACACATACTAATAATGTGTTGCATTATTAGTAATTACAGCCGAAAGAAAGCCAAAATCATTTCATACTTGACAGTGCTTCCTGTATGATTTTTATAACAAATTAGCCAAACCATCATTTTTGGACTTCAGGGGACCTATTGTCTTTAGGATTAATTAGGTCAGAAAATGATATACTTTATAATTTGATTTTGGAAAGTTTGTCAAATATCAAGGGTTTAAAATACTAGATATCACAAAATAGAATCGCAGGTCACTATAAATCATTCATTTTGCCAAAATGATAACTCCAAAATTTTTTAAAAGAAAAATCTTTATGCTGAGAGAGGAGACAGCTTTCCAAACAAGACCCAGTGAGGATAGCATGAGGCTGACTGAATCTGCCTCTTCTGTCTCCTCCCGTTTTTTCCCCAGCCATTTACCCAAAGGAGCAAACAAAAACCTTTCATTATCTTTTAATATTATGTAAAAATCTTTGTCAAAAGAGAAAACCAAATTTCATGTTTGCATCCATGCATCTTTAATGCTAAAGATAGTTTTTAAATAAAATTTTATAAATCTATCAAATTTTAATTAGTGTAACCATAATGTAAGATTTTCATAAACCTTTTAGAACCCTTTACAATTTTCCATTAAACAACAAATCAATTTTCTGAGAAAGCCCTGTTGTTCGGATACATGGGTCTAGATTCTCACACTGTATGCCTGTGCTTTTATTTTTATGTTCAACCTATGGAAAAAAAAAATGAGGCCCTTCAGATCTTAGCCAACTTGCTCATAACCACAGAAGTTTCTTTACAAGACCAACTCTTCACAAACCCTTTTCAACTTGCTTAAACCTTCAGTTTTGTCCCATTACTCTTTTAGTTTAACACAATCTTTAAAACCCTCTGAACTACACAAAATTACATTCCCTATAACAAAAGCCATATTCCCATACCTTCTTATAATCTTTTACCAAAAATGTGTTCTATTTCCTTACATACCTCGTAAGTAAAATTGTTTCTCCAGTTGTCTCAATTGCATGTTACAACATTAATTCTTAGCAACTTATTTTTGGTGAAAATCCTGATAAGTAAGTGATTGTAATTATGTGCTAAGTGTGGCGCCTAGGACATCAGACAGACGAGTGGGTAAGGTCTGATACTTCTCAGCATAGCTAGGCAGCATGGCTCTCCATATGTCCCCAGGCCTTATTTAGAATCTACTGCTCCAAAGTAGGTAAATTGAACAATCTTTAAAAGTCAAAAAAGCAGTTCATGACCTTAAAGCATTGAGCAAATCTGACCTTAATTTAGATGAAATGTTTAAATTTTAAATACAGTTTTATTTTAGTAATAATTTTTAAAGCTGTCTTTATTTCCAAAAAAATTAGTAAAGTCACATGAACAAAAAGAATTAAAGTTTCAATTTTTCTGACAAAATATGATTTAAGTGCTTATTTTGCTAAGCCAATTAATCAGAGCTCTTTTTATGTAAACATCATGTACACAACACACATAAATACAAAGACAGGCAGACAGAAGATTTAGCACTTGTAAGATTTTTCATTGGCCAGTTTCTTAATTGGATTACTGGCTTCAGGATGGAGCCCTTGGAGGAACAGGACCAGGAAAGCATGCAACTCCTAGGGCCTAATAAGCAGGTACAGCTGGAAGGCAAAGACAGATCCCCAAAATTAAGGGTACCGCTTTATATTGGACCCCGGGTCCCCAAAAAGGAGGCAAATACTATGCAGTGCTTCTATCATGCATTTCATTGCAAGGCAACCCAAAGCCAGTCAGCCCATTAGGTAATCAGCTCATCCCCCATGGGGGTCTCATCTATCAGCATAGGCTGGGGATGTTTCCATATCTTCCAGGTGACCGAGAGCATGCTTCTCTGATCCAAGTGTGCAAAGAGTCCAGTATCCCCCCATAACTACTATTAGCAATCCCTAAAAGTATATTTCCTACCTAATAATTATACACCAAAATTCCTTCATAATGCGAAGTAATTTCTTGTACCCACAAAAGTCAAAACTGTCAGCTAACACAATACAAAACAGAACAGAGCCTTAGATTTTGAGAAAGATCTATTTTCTTTCAATTCATGGGCTTCTGTGAGGAAAACAGAGGTTTTTCCCAGAAAGGGGTCTGTGGTGCATCTCTGCTTTTCCCCAGGAGTCTGTTAGAATTTATGTTAGGTTCTCTCATGTGTGCATCAAGAATGGCAAGGAGACAAAAAGGTTGTATGATTATGAGTTAATTTATTTATTCTATTGAGTTGTTTGATTTTTTTTGTCATGGCAAATGATGCATCTCTGAACATTTTTGTATCAATTTCCTGTTGCCACATGCAAGAGTTACTCAAGGGAAATGGTTCCCCAACTTCTCCATGCATTAAAGCACATATATTCGTGTATTTTTTAGCATAAGTAGTTGGAGCTGCTCACAGTAGGTGGTGTCAAACCCGTGAGCTGTGACTGCCCCAGACCCTGCCCTTCATTTCTGAGGGTGAAGGTGCAGAAGTTCTCAGGCACAACCTGAACCTACTCATGGTTTATCAGTGTGCCTCAGGTGATACCAGCAGATGAAATGTGAACTTGTGGGAATGAATACCTTAATTTCTGCGTAATGACAGTTTTTGGAAACAGTTTTATCAAAGTAGCAGCAGGAAACAGATGTTAGAGTTAAATAGTGATAATTGAAAACAATCAATAAATGCATATTTATAAAGTTGTAGGCAGAGAAAAGAAAGGCTAGGAGCCTCTAGGAGCTGTTATTCAGCCTAGATCTGTAGGGAAGGGACAAGGGAAGAGAGAGCAGTTACAAAAACTTAGAGAAAGTAGCTAGAGCATTGAACTACCTGGCCTCACGGAGAGGGAAATGACCAAACTCCAAGACCTGGCAGAAAGGGAGTCAGGGAAATAAATATCTGATTCCTTTTAGCTCCCACCTTCTGATCTTCTGTTGATCTCCCACTGCCAAACCCAGTTGGATACCAGAGGGCAAGGGAGACTCACAATGTAGGATATTAAAGTCAGCTTTACTGCATTCAGAGAAGGACGGACAAGAATGGACAGTGCATACGGTGTGGCAAATCAGAGGATCACAGGAATGACAGCAACTTACACTCTTGCAAGAAATGTGTAGATCTTTTTACACTTCCTATGCACGCCAGCATTTTGTATTATGAAACAATGATATTATCTCTCCATTTATTCAGATATTTAAAAGTCTTCCAATAAACCCTAGTAATTTTCTCTAAGATAGATCTGGTCCAAATTTTAAAAATTTAATCCTTGAGATAACATTGAATCCAAACTTAATTTTTGGTATAAACTGGTTGTTTTATTATGATTTTAATACTGAGGTTGCACATGTTTTCTTATGTTTATCAGCCATTTTTTAATCTTTCTCTGAGATTTTTCTCTTCAATTTTTTTGTTCATTTTTCTATTGGGTTTAATATATTTTTGTATTTTGATGAATTTATTTTCTAATATAATACTTTGTTACATATTTCCCCCTAAATGCAACATTCACTGCATTCCATGTATTAATTTTATTTTAGTATTTTCATTATTATTCTGTTCAAATAATAATTTGGTATTTTCACATTTCTGGCATTATTTTCTCTCAGAAATGATGTCAAAGTTGCTTCTTTTTTGGTAATATTCTAAATGACTTTTTAAAATACATATATTATTGCATTTTTGTTATTCATGTTTTTACCTAATTTCTTTGAGTCATGAAATATTTTCTGTATGATATTAATTATTTAATATTTACTGAGATAGGAGTTGTGACCTCCTTATTTTTTAAATGTGCACATGAAAGGAATGTGTGTTCTTCAATATTTGCATGCAGTGTTTCATATATTCCAACAGATGTTCCTCAAAAATAACTCGTTTCTTTATTAATACTTTACTTTTCTACTTTGTCTTTAATTACTGCAAACTATGTGTTAAGATTGCTCCTTTAGGTGGTGATATTTTTCCATTTAGAAATTATTCAAATGGATGTATGCAATTTTAGAATTGCTATATATTCCTGGTGACTTGAACATTTATTAATAGTTAGTGACCTTCCTTATCTCTAGTATTTAATAATACTTTAAGTCTCTAATGCATGGTAAAAATATAGATACCCCATTATCACAATTATTGGATATGATCAATTTTTTGTCTGGGTATACCCACATATTTATCATTTTCATTATTGTCTACTTCTAATTTCCTTTCCCACCTTTCATACCAGCTGACTTTTTCTTCCTGAAACTTATCATTTATAAGTTCCTTTTGTGAATGTTTTGGCCTTATCTTAATATATTTTAAAGTTTTCCTGGATATTGAAAGATAGTTCAGCTGGCTGTATAATATGAAGTTGATCATTATTTTTGTCTAAGCAGTTGAAGATATCCTGCTGCTCTCTTAACAGTTTAACTTTTGCTGCTGAGAAATAAGCTGTTTGCCTAAATGTCATTGTGTGTTGGTAAACTTTCTCTTTGATTTATCCTAAGAATTGTCCTCGGTGTTTTATGTTCTACATCTTTACTATGATACATCCAAGTGTTCATTTCCTTCCACTGATTTCACTTTGGATTTTTGATTTTCCTAGATCTATCAGTTTGTGTGTGTGCGCTTGTGTGTCTGTGTGTGTGTTTCAGTTTTCAAACATCCAAGCCAATATCTCTTCAAATATTTCCTGTAACTTATATTAGACTTTATTCTCTACTTCCCGAGGCTATCGTGCTTTATCCATATTTTTCACCTAATTATCTTTCTATGCTGCACCCTGTTGCTTCCTCAGATATATATCTTTCTACCTCATTTATTTTCAATCAATCTGCTGTTTAATAAATCCATAGAATTTCTTTTGTCAATAATTATATTTTTCTATTTTAGATAGGTTTTAAAATTATTTTCTATTATTTTCTCATACACCAGTTTTATTGTTTCTTACTGTCACGAACAGATCGTGGTTAGAAATAACCAGGTCCACACATATTTGTCTCTTTCCACCATGTCAGGCTTTTATTGATGCCATTTCAGTCACAGAAGCCATGCACCCCATGGAGTTCCCAAGGAAGGAATTCTCCTTCCTATTTCCCAGTCACTCGCTAGGCAGAGCCAGGAACACACAGGCTCAAGCCATTCCACAGGCCAGTCAATACGCAAACCAAACATAATAGTATACTTAATCAGTATATCAATGGTGTAGGTTAAACATTTCACAACAAATAAAGTCATGTTTAACATCAAAAGGAAAAAGAGATAGGAGAATGGGTTAACCAATCAGTCCAGGGGAAAGTGAAGAAGACAAAAGGTGTCCTGGTCTGGCCAGGTGGTCCTTTGGTCCTCCAAGGAAGTCTCTGAGGAGGCCGGGTCCTCAGTGGCAGATGCCAAGTTTTTATCACAAGTGACTGCAAGACGGTGTCAGTTAAGATGGCCATTTCGAGCGGCTGATAGTCAGTCCTGTGGTGAGAACTGAAAATGGAAGAGAGTGTTTGTGTCCTTATCTGGTTGGAAGCAGTCTTTATTTGTTTTATGTGTTTATTATACAAAACATCTTATTGTTGGCAGAGTACCCTGTGAAATATAAAATAGAGTCTTTTTCTAAGATAGAGTTAGTTATGTCAGGGGTGTTCTATATCTAATACTGTTTCATAGTTTCTTACCTCGTTATACTTTGAATATCCTCTTCTGCTTTATTAAGCTTTCTAAAAATACTCATTTTATATTTTTATTAATATCATTTCAGCAGCCACACTGGCAGCATCTTTTCTTTTGCCTTTACTATGTTAATTTGTTTCTATAAGTGCTGCATAATTCCCATTGCAAACTCATCTTTTATGAAACATAGTTTAAAATGGATTCTTCCAGGCTACAGAATGTTTGTGGTTTTTCGGTACTACGAATGCAGTATTTTGCATTACCAGTGCAAGGCAGATTTAAATTTAATTATCATCTTACTTTTTTTGTGGGAAGGGGATAAATTGTGAATTGTAGCCAAACCTACTTGAGAGTCACATTTTTTATAAATTATCAAGGGGACCTTATTTTATGCTAGATCCAAGGGAGTTTCTTTATTTCTTTGTCTGCTTTTTTTGAGGAGTCAGTTTTTTCCCCTCTTCTAAGTCATCCTTTCATGGGAGTTGCTTTTTGTAATTCCCAGCATTATGTATTAGTTTTGAATTTGGTACGCTTTTTACACTACAGACTTTATCTCCTGCTGAAGTCAAATTTTTAAAGAATCAAGTATACGGATGCTACTGATATAGACAATATATATCTTTGTTTTCCTTGTATTACACATGATGTTGAAATGATTTACAGCTAAGAAAGAGGATTCCTGTCTAACATGTAATTCAAAATACAGCACCTCTGCAACCTCACATCTGCAGGGATACTATTTCAGAACCAGGATAAATTATTTATACAATTGATTTCTGCTAGTTCTAGGGTATAAAATTTTGTAAATTACTGAAATGATGACAAGTTACAGGAAATTAAAAAATATAAACCTTAGCATCTTAGATTCCTAAAAATCATCCACTAATATACGACAGAAGGATTTTAAATATCTCAGGCTTAGTATTTAACATTTGAAAATATTTGTTCACCTTATTAGAATTCATTTTTTATGAAAATATTTTGCCTTCTTTCTAAAAATAAATTCCTTATGCACTTAGAAGAATAAGAGAGGAAAACTTTATATTTGGGACATCAGTAAACTTGACACTTATAATAGCATTCCATCTGGGCTTTGTTGCAGTAGAATTACATCCTTTTTAATTGTCTCTGATTTGAATCCTGCTGGTTTATTCTTCCAAGCACGTGGCCAGCCCCCAGCAATTTCCTGCCCTGCTAATAGGTATGCAGGCTCAGAGGAGGACGAGAGGCCCCATTATTCACTGATGGCTGCCGCGTCAGCAGCAGACACAATTTTGGGGGTTAAGGTTGCCTTTATTTTATTCTCTTTGAGATAGTTATTCCTAAGAGGAAGTTGCTCACTACATTGATGTAGGATTTTACAAATTCTCTTTGTCTCCTTGTAGAGGAAATCAGAATAGTTGCCAGCAAAGTTCGTCAAAATAGAATACTGACCAACAGTGCTGAAATAAATTATGGGAAGCTGAAAATAATAACAAAATGCCTAGATGGCTTTCTCCCTTCATGTGCAGCCTTCCACTTGAGAATAAAATTGCCCATGTAAATCAGTTTTGTTTAATATTCTCAAGTAGAACTAAGATTCATATTATTAACAATTAAGAAAAGAAATGAAGTGAGCATACTAGTTTTCAATTAAGGAATTCTTAGTAGAAATTGAGCAATATGTAGGTTTTTTTGTTTTTATTTTTGTTTTGTTTGAGACGCAGTTTTCTCTTGTTGCCCAGGCTGGAGTGCAATGGCACGATCTCAGCTCACTGCAACCTCTGCCTCTCGGGTTGAAGCAATTTTCCTGCCTCAGCCTCCTGAGTAGCTGGATTACAGGCATCCACCACCAAGCCTGGCTAATTTTTGTATTTTTAATAGAGATGGGGTGTCATCATGTTGGCCAGGCTGGTCTCGAACTCCTGACCTCATGTGATCCACCCACCTTGGCCTCCCATAGTGCTGGGATTACAGGCATGAGCTGCCATGCCCGGCCTAATATGTTGGTATTTTTAAGGAATATATATGAGTTGAGGAAGAAAAAAAACCAAAAACTACATATTTAGAGGCTGTCTCCATGAAACAGAGTTGACCTTATAAATGACATAAAGTAGATTTTTTTTTTTTTTGAGACAGAGTCTCACTCTGTCACCCAGGCTGGAGTACAGTGGCACACTCTCTGCTCACTGCAAGCTCCGCCTCCCGGGTTCACGCCATTCTCCTGCCTCCGCCTCCTAAGTAGCTGGGACCACAGGTGCCTGCCACCACACCTGGCTAATTTTTTTGTATTTTTAGTAGAGACAGGGTTTCACCGTGTTAGCCAGGATGTTCTTGATCTCCTGACCTCGTGATCCGCCTGCCTCGGCCTCCCAAAGTGCTGGGATTTACAGGCATGAGCCACCGCGCCCGGCCAACATAAAGTGGATTTTAAAAAATAATTTATGTAGATAGCAGTGAATAAGGTGAAAAAAATTGAAGAAAGAATGTAGAGCAGAATTTCACAGTGAGTTCTTCACTCTCTGCGTATAAATTATTGGGGATAAGTCTGTGTGGATTCGATTTTTTTTTTTTTCTTTGAGACAGAGTTTCACTCTTGTTGCCCAGGCTGTAGTGTAATGGCACAGTCTAGGCTCACTGCAACCTCTGCCTCCCGGGTTCAAGTGATTCTCCTGCCTCAGCCGCCCACGTAGCTGGGACTGCAGGCATGCACCACCATGGCCGGCTAATTTTTTTTTTTTTTTTTTTTTTTTTAGTAGAGACGGGTTTTCACCATATTGGTCAAGCTGGTCTCAAACTCCTTTCCTCTGGTGATCCACCCTCCTCAGCCTCCCAAAGTTCTGGGATTACAGGCATGAGCCACCACACCAGGCCCAGGTGTTTAAAAAGTATCTTATCTATATTATCTGCTTCCCAGCCTGAAGTCAACTTCATGTGAACAATTGTTGTCTGTGTTATTACAACAAAGACACTGTAAGTAGGACCTGTTTATTTAATTTCTATTGTTGTTTCTTATATGGTAGGTATGTTTTATGTTGTCATGGAGTGTTTTTTTTAAGAAAGCTAATAGATTTTTACTTAACAGTTATTTTTTGTAGGATTGGATTATCATGCTTTTATTGCCTTATTTTATTCAATCATTTATTTTTAGGTTAAAAAAAGTTTACACATATTTATCAACAACTTACTTTGTGTAGTATTTACTATTTCTAAATAATTTTGTATCTATTATTCATGTAATTTTTAAACCAAGACTGTAAATTAGGAAAGACAAATGTTAGATTTCTACAACACCAGACTAAAAATCATTTATTCAATATTCCTATTTTACACGAGAGAAATTCAAAAACTTCAGAGCCAAATCTAGCTAGTTTGCAGACCCATTAGCACCATTTTAGGTTTGAATAAATAGAGGATTGATGAAGTTACCAAGAACAAAGTTAGCATGGTATAGTGCAGACAGCTGTTCAAAACCAAACCTTCTATCATTAATATTCTATATTTGTTTCCATTTTATTATTTTTACTTTTTACTTTTCTTTCTGGAGCTATTCATCATGAACTGTTGTTTCCATTTTATCCTATTTTTTTAGGTTGGTTTTAAATTTCTGACAAATGTTTCTTGAGTTATTTAAATCAATTAATCTGGTCCTTTCATGATAGACTGTTTTATTTGCTCGATTTGGTATATTTTTAAATTTCACCTATCAAAGAGGAAACCAAATATCTCTTACTATTTTTACAAACCACGTGCTGGCCAAATCGTGATTTGAGTAGATTATAGAAAGTAGGGTTAGAAATGTTTGGACTGAAAACCCCAAATCCTGACCATTAGATCACTGACCTTCATAAGTACATAGGAAATTTCCAGGAGGATTTATTTCCCAATGGACCAGATTACATTCACAGAGAAGGTGCAATTGAAATTGCATATAGGGATTTTAAAATGTGCCATGAACTGCACTTTGTTTTTGTGTTTCTACTTTTATGTAAGAAGTTTGGCATTAAATGTCTTGGATACACCTATTTTTAAAGAAATCATTCTGATAATAAACCAGAATGAATTACCATAACTTTTATAGTTTCAAATATCAACACTTCAATTCCAACAAAAACCAAGTTCATGTTATGATTTGTGTTTAAATCCTTACCTCATTAATGACTTTATGAAAAAAAGTCATTTAGATTTTAAAAAATTCCTTTGCATATATAAAAATATATCACATATTTTGGAATTAGCAGTATAAATAGAAAATAACAAATTTCTAGTGAGAACAAACAGAACAAGTAAGATAAATCACAAAATAGACTAAATAATTTGAGCTGGCTGGGCAAACTCATGTTAAGTCTATTGAAAGGTGACTTCATGTATGAGGTCACAAGGGAGGCTACCACTGAGATTGCCTGTGACCAAGATGTTTTTGATCTTCTACCTTTGAAAAGGTGTGAAGCACAGAAAAATGTTGATATAATTTCTGTGTTAGTTTATTTGCATTCAGTAGCAAAACAAACAGAGAGGGAAATAATTTGTATTAAGGGCTAGCTATGTTGCTTTATAACCATGAATTTACCTAATTCTCACAACCCAAATATAGATTGGATTATACACATGAACAGATTAGCACACTGAGGAGTATCCGTCATGAATTTGCATACGGAAATTGCTTTAGTGAGAGCTCTTAGTGCCAATACTTGCATTAAAGGCAATGAAGAAGAATTGAGCAGGCAAAGACATTGAGTGGTAGCTCAGGCCTCAACTGACACAGAGCACTTCCCAAGCTGGAATGGCCGTTCAGAGGTGGTGGGAATTGAGGCAAGGAGGTTGTGTGGTGGCTCCAGTAATTTGGCAAGCAGGAGGGAGTGGCACCCAGCAGCTTCTTCACTCCTGTAATTCTGCGAGTGGGCGGAAGTGGTGCCCAGTAGCCTATTCTCTTCTGTTGTTCAGTGAGAAGGAGGAAGGGTTACAGCTCTTTCACTCCCACCACCCACAGCTCAGTGGATGGGAGGGTTACAGCTCTTTCACTCCTGCTGCCTGCAGCTCAGCAAATTCCAAGTTCTTGTCTCACAACCAAGAGGAATAAGGTATGCAGCCACTGGAGAGTGAGTAAGGCAGAGAAGAATTCTATTGAGTGACAGAAGGAAAGCTCTCAGCTGCAAGAGGGGACCTGAAAGTGGGTGACCATCTATGAGGCTGAGTCTGAGGTTCTTAGTGGGCTTAGAATAGGGGAGCATGTGCTGATTGGTCCATGAGTGGCCTTGGAAAAAGCACCCTTCAATGGGGTAAAAGGCATCATTCCAAAGGAACTAATCGAGAGAGAGTGGGTAAGACAGAGACGGAAGTTCTCACTCCAGTTGCGGACTCTGTCTGGAACTGGCAGTTTGGTTTTCAGGTTTTGAACTGTCCTTGGCTTGAAGGTTGGGTTTCACTGGGGACCTGTCCTTGTCTGCCTAGGAATCTATCTGTCTCCTGTTACTATCAGCTGGATCCTATGCCAGTGCACTGACCAGTCATTGCATGTAGGCTGCCCTCGGAAGAAGTAGTGTGATCTTCAGCAGGTGAAGATGCTTTTTGTAATTAAGGGAAATTCTTGGAGAATGCTCACAGCTGAAATCTGTCAGCTGACAACCTTCTCAGGAGCTGGAGGATTCAATT